>NC_000016.10:24850122-25153152 GCF_000001405.40 Homo sapiens
AGAGGAGAAAAAAAAAAGGGTCTCACTACATTGCCCAAGCTGGGCTCAAACTCCCGGCCTCAAGCGATCTTCATGCCTTGACCCCCCAGAATGCTGGGATTATAGGCATGAGCCATTGAGCCCAGCCAGGATCTGTCTTTTTGGCCTTTTTGTAGAGATCTCTCTGTTTCTATGAACCCCATGGCATCAACGGGTGGAGGAGGCCAGGGGTGGTCATTTAGCTCCTTATTCCTGCAGTTCTAGTCCCAGACAGCCCTTCTCTGCCTTCCAGGACTGACTCTTTTCCTCTTGTAGGGCTGCCTCCACTAGGCTCCCTAGACCCAGGCCAGGCCAGGGCACAGCTTGCTGCAGTGCAGCAGGCAGTCAGCGCCACTGCAGCCCAGGAGTGGTAGGAAAGGGTGCGAGTGGCTTCCAGCCTGGGTGATGAGACCCGTGCCAGTCCTTATCACATCTGGAATTTTCCCCACCAAGGTCCACGTGTCTCGGGGTAGTTAGGAGCTCTAGAGTTAAACCTGGGTTGGAGCCCTGCTTCAGTCATTTACTAGCAGTGTGGCCTTAGACCCGGCCTCAGCTTTGTTTTCCTCACCTGTACAATGGAGTTAATCAGAGTCCTTGTAGGGAGGCTGTGACTTCAAAACATGATTCATGCACATATGTGGCCAAGGTTTGCCTAACCACAAAGTTTATTCGTTTTTTTTTTTTCTTTAAGACAGAGTCTTGCTCTGTCACCCAGGCTAGAGTGCAGTGGTGAAATTTCAGCTCACTGCAACCTCCACCTCCCAGGTTCAAGCGATTCTTCTGCCTCAGCCTCCCAAGTAGCTGGGATTACAGGAGCCCACCACCACGCCCTGCTAATTTTTGTATTTTTAGTGGAGACAGGGTTTCATCACGTTGGCCAGGCTGGTCTCGAACTCTGGACCTCAAGCAATCCACCTGCCTCAGCCTCCCAAAGTGCTGGGATTACAGGCATAAGCCACTGCACCCGGCCTAGTTTATGCTCCTTTTATTTTTATTTTTATTGTTTTTAGAGATAGGGTCTCACTCTGTCACCAGGCTGGAATGCAGTGGTGCAATCATAGCTCAATGCAGTCTCAAACTCCTGGGCTTGGGCCCAGGGCAGTGGCTCACGCCTGTAATCCCAGCACTTTGGGAGGCCAAGGCAGGCGGATCACCTGAGGTCAGGAGTTCAAGACCAGCCTGGCCAACATGGTGAAACCCCATGTCTACTAAAAATACAAAAAAAGAAAAAAAAAATTAGCCGGACGTGGTTGCAAACGCCTGTAATCCCAGCTACCTGGGAGGCTGAGGCAGGCGAATCGCTTGGGGGCAGGAGAATCGCTTGAAGCCAGGAGGCAGAGGTTGCAGTGAGCCAAGATTGCACCACTGCACTACAGTCTGGGGGACAGAGTGAGACTTCATCTCAAAAAAAACAAAACAAAACAAAACTCCTGGGCTCAAGCAATCCTCCTGCCTCAGCCTCCCAAGTCATGCTTTCTTTAAAAAAAATGGTTTTATAAAATGGACGGGGAACAGAACAAGTACTCTGTATTTAATCACATTACACATACAATGAACATGCCTACTGCTTTTTACAAACCTGTGACGTATGTCTAATTATTAACCTCATTTCGTAGATGGGAAATTGAGCCTCAGAGAGGTGACTTGCCCACGATGAAGGAGCTCACAGGAGGCAGAGCTGGGATCTGAGTCAGGGCGGTGCAGTTCTAAAGTATTTACACTTTACGCTTTATCACGACATATCTATTTCCTGGAGAGTCTGTTGCTCATAATTAAAATTTGTAATTAGTCATTGTCATTTTCATTCAGAGCAGGGAACTTCCCTTGCTTCTCTCTCTCTCTCTCTCTCTCTCTCCCACTCTATCTGTTTCTCCCCCGATTCCTGCCACCCCCTCTAATGTGTTTGATACTCATCTGGAAATACGCCTGCACTCTGGCAAAATAGTACTATTTTGTGTCTTTGAGTGCTTTGGCTTCATGCTATAAATTGTGCTCTGTTTATTTCCCTCCTTTTTCTTTCATTATGAAACGTTTCAGACACACAGAAGTTATAAAGAATCACGCACATCCAGAAGCCAGCCTAAGGCATGAAATGCGGCAAATACAATCACAGCTCACCTTCCCACACCTGTGACCTGGGAACCTCTTTTCTGATCTTTTCCTTGCACTGGGGTGTGGAAATTTTTCACATCTCCTGGGGCGTGGAAAATTTTCACATCTACCATAGCAAATTATGTCAGTGGCCAAAAGGAAGGGATGAGAGAAGTCCCTGCTCCACTGAGCTTCCTTTTGTGCATTGGCCAATAGGCGACCTCAAGGGTAGGCTGTTCTCCTTGCCAACAAAGCCTTTGTTATAACACAAGCTGCCGTGAATCCTCCCCGCGGGCACAGGGAGGGTTCTTCACAAGAGGTGAAGAAGGAGCCACCCCCAACCACCCCAACCAGACCCTCCTGAGGCAGCCTGGGAGCCAAACATCACCATGCAAGGGACAAAGGGTGCCCGGGGTCACTTCACCGAGTGGGCCCAGGTACACACAGGGTGCAGGGGACTGAGATGAAAACCCAGAGGACGGGGCCAAGTCTACGCTTCTCATTGTTTTGTCCTTCATGCCAAACACAGAGCTTGGCACACAGTTGTTGCTTAATAAATGTTTATTTCACTGAGTCCCCAGGGCCTAGCACAGAGCATGGCACATAGCTGATGCCTAATAAATGTTTGTTCTACTGAGTCCCCAGGGCCTAGCACAGAGCATGGCACACAGCTGATGCCTAATAAATGTTTGTTCTACTGAGTTCCCAGGGCCTAGCACAGAGCATGGCACACAGCTGGTGCCTAATAAATGTTTGTTCTATTGAGTCCCCAGGGTCTAGCACAGAGCATGGTGCACAGCCGGTGCCTAATAAATGTTTGTTGTACTTAGTCCCCAGGGTCTAGCACAGAGCATGGCACACAACTAATGCCTAATGTTTGTTCTACTGAGTCCCCAGGGTCTAGCACAGAACCTGGTACACAGTTGGTGCCTAATAATGTTTGTTGCACTCAGTCCCCAGGGCCTAGCACAGAGCTTGGCACCCAGATGGTGCCTAATAAATGTTTGTTTCACTGAGTCCCCAGGGCCTAGTACAGAGCCTGGTACATAGTTGGTGCCTAATAAATGTTTATTTCACTGAGTCCCCAGGGCCTAGTACAGAGCCTGGTACATAGTTGATGCCTAATAACATTTGTTTTACTGAGTCACAAGACCTAACACAGAGCTTGGCACACCGCTGGTGACTAATAAATGTTCCACTGAGTTGCAGGGCCTGGCGTGGAGCCTGGCACACAGCTGGTGACTAATAAATGTTCCACTAAGTCCTCAGGGCCTGGCATGGAGCCTGGCACACAGCTGGTGCCTAATAAATGCTTGCAGGAAAGAAATAGAGCCAGAGGGAGGGAAAGAGAGAATGAAGGAGAGAAGGGCGGGAGGAAAGAAAGACCAGCCAGGAATGGCCACCTCCAAACCTGGGTTGGGATCCCACCCGCGGCACTGACTGCGGCCTAGAAGCAAGCAGCACAGCTATGCCTGAGTTAGGCTCACTTTCCCCTCTTGTGCCTCTGATTCCCACCTGTGAAATGGAGGTGAAATCACGTTTGCCTCAAAGGGCTGTGCTCCATGCCTGGCACTCAAATAGAAATCGTGCTCACCAAGTGTTAGGGCCGATTCTCAGTATACCTACTGCATGAATTTGCAGAGGGTGGAGCGCATGGAGGGTTCCTCCTGGGATCCTGTGGCCGAGGCTCCACAGCATCTTTGGTCGCTGTTCCTGTCTCCACCGTGAAGATGGAGCCACGTCCCTCGCGGCCCCTGGCTGGGCCCCACCTCCCGGAGACTCAGGAAGGGCTTGGAATCGGTGCCAGTTTCGCCGGCTGTGGGCCCCACGGCGATGATGAATAACTTGTTTATCTGCTGGAGCTTCTCCCACTGCTCTCTCGGTGCCTGGCAGGCAGAGGTCTGGAAGGGGCGGGCAGGGACAGGGAGGACTGGCTCACCAGGCAGCCGCCGCCCCTCCTCCCTCCTCCCTCTGCCCCACTCCCCAATTCAGCATCAACCTCCACCTAAACATGCTTCCTGCACTTTTCTACTCCTCATCTTTCCCCAAATCCTGTTTTAGAAGCAGCAGGTTGAAGTGTTTGAAAACACAGACTCTGAAATCAGACTGGATTCGAGTCCCAGCTTTGTCACTTGTCAGCCATGTGACTTTGGACACGACTTAAACTCTCAGAGCCATCACTCCCCCTGTAAAGTAAAGTTTTTTTTTTTTTTCCGGAGACAGAGTCTCACTCTGTCCCCCAGGCTGGAGTGCAGTGGCATAATCACAGCTCACTGCAACCTCCGCCTCCCGGGTTCAAGCGATCTTTCTGCCTTAGCCTCCAAAGTAGCTGGGATTACAGTTGCATACCACCACACCCACCTAAAAAAATTGCATTTTTAGTAGAGATGGGATTTCACCATGTTACCCAGGCTTGTCTCAAACTCCTGACCTCAGGTGATCCTCCTGCCTTGGCCTCCCAAAGTGCTGGAATTACAGGCATGAGCCACTGTGCCCAGCCTCCTCCCCTGTAAAGTCTGATGAGAACATTACTTACCTAATGGGGCTTCACCCTTGAGACAACCCACAAGGGTCCCCTCACCCCCTCCCCTCCTGAAGCTGCCAGAATGCTTTTCCTGCTTGGAACCTCCCTTAAGAGCCTCCACCCTTACCCTGAAAGGGAGTCTCCACCTCTAGGCCTTCTCTCACTTTCTTGCACAGAGAAAGGTTAGGTTAGGTTAGCCTTGTGTGTGTGTGTGTGTGTTTGTTTGTTTGTGGCAAGGTCTTGCTCTGCCTCCCAGGCTGCAGTGCAGTGGGGCAATCATAACTCACTGTAGCCAAGCTCCTGGGCTCAAGTGATCCTCCTGCCTCAGCCTCCCAAGGTGGTAGGATTATAGGCTGGAGCCACCACACCTGGCCTCCAAATTATTTCTCTAATCTACTCCCTCTGCTATGATCTGATTGTGCATGTCCCTCTGTCCCCAGATTCCTACATTGAAACCTAAATCCCTAATGCAATAGTATTAAGAGGCAGGGCATTTGAGAGGGTTAGGGTTATGAGGACTCTGCCCCCATGGATGGGATTAGCACGTTTATAAAAGAGGCTTGAGGCCAGGTGCGGTGGCTCATGCTTATAATCCCAGCACTTTGAGAGGCGGAGTTGGAGGAATTGCTTGAGCCCAGGAATTTGAGACCACCCTGAGCAACATAGACTTCATCTCTACAAAAAAAAAAAAAAAAAAATTAGCCAGGCATGGTGGTGCATCTATAGTGCCAGCTAATTGGGAGGCTGAGGCAGGAGGATCTCTTGAGCCTAGGAGGTTGAAGTTGCAGTGAGCTGTGATTGTGCCACTGTACTCCAGCCTGAGTAACAGAGCAAAACTCTTGTCTCTTTAAAAAAAGAGAAAAAGTGATTGTGCCACTGCACTCCAGTCTGGACACCAAAGTGAAACCTTGTCTCAAAATAAATAAATAAATAAATAAATAAAAATAAAACAAAAAGGCTTGAGAGAGCCAACTTGACCCATCCATCTACCATATGAGGACATAGCAAGCAAGTGCCACCTATGAGGAACGGGCCCTCACCAGACACTGAATCTGCTGACAGCTCGATCTTGGACTTTCTCCAGAACTGTGAGCAATAAATTTATGTTGTTTACAAATTACACAGTCTAAGGTATTTGATTGTAACAGTAGGAATGGACTAACCCCTGCTTATGTATGGTCTCAAGCCGGAGTCACTACCTCCAGAATAACCTCCCTGCCCGCGTTCTTGCTTCTCATCAAGGCTGCCCCCTGTCTGATCATACCACTTTCTTATTAGAAATTCCTCACTGACATCCTTTAACCCAGAGCACATGTGTGCACTGGAGGTGTTCCTGGCCTTCAGAGATGTTTCAAAATGTATGAGAGCATTTTTGGTTGTCACAATAATTTGGGAGTGCTACTGGCATTCAGCAGGGGGAGGCCTGAAATTCTAGACTTCCTGAAATGTGTATTGCCCACGCAATAAAGATTTTCAGAGGACCCACCAGACATTCATGTGGGCGAAAATCCCATTTATCACTATCTGAGTCCACAACCTACCTTCAGATTGCATAAAATGAAAAGTGTTGGAGTTTTTTCTTACTTTAAAAATGTACCTTGGCTGGGCTGGTAATCCCAGCACTTTGGGAGGCCAAGGTGGGAGGATTTCTTGAGGCTGGAGTTCAAGGCCAGCCTGGGGAACATAGGGAAACCTTGTCTCTTAAAAAATAAAATAGGCCGGGCGCAGTGGCTCACGTCTGTAATCCCAGCACTTTGGGAGGCCGAGGTGGGTGGATCACGAGGTCAGGAGATCGAGACCATCCTGGCTAACACGGTGAAATCCCATCTCTACTAAAAATACAAAAAAAAAAAAAAAAAAAAAAAATTAGCTGAGCGTGGTGGTGGGCGCCTGTAGTCCCAGCTACTCAGGAGGCTGAGGCAGGAGAATGGTGTGAACCGGGGAGGCAGAGCTTGTAGTGAGCCGAGATCAGGCCACTGCACTCCAGCCTGGGAGACAGAGTGAGACTCCATCTCAAAAAATAAATAAATAAATAAAAATAATAAAATAAAATAAAATAAACTTAGCTAAGTGTAAATGGTGGAGTCAAGGTCTTGCTCTTTTTGCCCAGGCTGGAGTGCAGTGGTACAATCTCAGCTCACTGCAACCTCCACCTCCCAGATTCAAGCAATTCTCATGCCTCAGCCTCCTGAGTAGCTGGGACTACAGGCATGCGCCACCACACCCAGCTAATTTTTGTATTTTTAGTAGAGACGGGGTCCACCACGTTGCCCAGGTTGGACTTGAACCCCTGGCCTCATGGGATCCACTCACCTCGGCCTCCCGAAGTGCTGGTATTATAGGCATGAGCCACTGAGCCCGGCCAAGGTGTACAGCTTCGGAGCCTGAATTCTTAACATCTCTCCCCATGAACCTGCCCTCTGTGAAACATCACGTTGTGCTGTTGTTGTCCATGGGTGGCTTTGTCCCATCACTGGGCTGTGCATTGCAAGATGGCAAGGATCAAGTATTTTCATTCCGGAATGCCCAAAGGCCAACAGAGTGGAGTTGCATCTTAACACAGAAATAAGTCAATGCCCTGATCACTTGTGGTCAAAAATCACCCTTGGAAATTTTATTAGTTTCTGACTGCTGCTTTAACAAATTACCATGAACTTAGTGGCTAAAACAACATAAATTTATGACCTTACAGTTACAGAGGTTAGAAGTTCTAAATGGGTCTTACTGGGCTAAAATCAAGGTGTCAGCAGGACTGAATTCCTTCTGGATGTGCTAAGGAAGAATCTATTAATTTGCCTTTTCCAGTTCCTAGAAGCCACCTGCACTCCTTGGCTTGTAGCTCCATTACCCCATCTTCAAATCTAACAACGTTGAGTGAAATCCTTCTCATGCTGTCATCTCTGTGGCTATCTCTTCTGATTCTGTTTTTACTGTGATTACATGGGGCCCACCCAGTTAATCCAGGCATCTCCCTATTTTCAGGTTAGCTGCAGCTAGGCATCTCCCAATTTTAAGTGATTTGACTACCAACCTTAATTTTATCTGCAAACTTAATTGTCCTTTGATATGTAACAACATATTCACAGGTTCTGGGGATTAGAGGTAAGCATCTTTGGGGGCCATTTCTCTGTCTACCACAAGATTTCCTTAAATTGCCCATGGATTTGCAGGGTACTGAGAAAACTGCTTAGATTAGTGGCTCAAAGCATGGATTCTGGAGCAAGATTATTGAGTTCAAATCTCAGCTTTATGACCTTGGGCACTTACTTAACTTTTCTGTGTCTCTGTGTCTCAACTTCACCATCTGTAAAATGGGGATGATAACAATAGTGCCCACTTTGCAGGTTAGTAAACACTTAGAATGATGCCCAGGATATAGTAGATGCAATATGAGTGTTTATTAAATATATTAAATTTCATGGTATATGTAGCATTGGAACAAGATTATGGTGTCTGGCTGAGCCTTGGACAAAATTGTTGACTTGACTCTCACCCAGCTGTGAGGTACCACGGAAGTGGAGACTGACTCAGGTGTCTCATTTTTCTTTCACTCTGGGACACGTGCTTGCTGAAATCATCTGTACTATTGCAATTGTTTATGCTTCTTTCTATTTTGCCAAGTGAGTGACAAAATTGACTGCAGATTTGATGTGACTTCATTATGAATATGTGTTGAATGAATGAATGAGTGAGTGGATGGTGGATGGATCGATGGATGGATCTGTCTTCCCTGAAGATCTGTCTTCCACCACACATCCCTCCACATGGGTCCTCTTTCATGGATGGCCTAGGGAGGTAGCTACAGAAAGGGTGAGAAGAATGATGCTAGGATCTGGCATTTGACTGGCATTTGCCCTTCCTCAGGATCCAGAGGTCTCGTTCAGGACCATGGAGAGCGGCACCAGCAGCCCTCAGCCTCCACAGTTAGATCCCCTGGATGCGTTTCCCCAGAAGGGCTTGGAGCCTGGGGACATCGCGGTGCTAGTTCTGTACTTCCTCTTTGTCCTGGCTGTTGGACTATGGGTAAGCCAGGCCACTGGGGGATGGGGGATGAAGAGAGAAGGAAATGTCTGTTTAGAGGTCCGGAGTTAACCTCATCCTTTTGGAGCTAAGATACTGACTGTGAGAGGAAGAAACTAACACAAGGTTATAGAGTAATCAGAACTTAAAAATTTTAAACATGCATTGGGTGTGGACTATTGTCAGACACTGTTTTAAGCATTTTCACTTACATTTCTCATGTAATTTTCACAGGCCCCTGTGAGAAAGATGCTGTTACAATACCCATTTTACAGATAAGGAAACACAGGCCCAAATAATTTAAGATCCTCATCCTGTAAGTTAGGAGAGTTAGGGTTAGAATCCCTGTCTCCCTTACTTCGAAGCTCATGTTTTGTTTTTGTTTTTGTTTTGTTTGTTTTGCTTTTTGAGGTGGGATCTCCCTCTGTTGCTCAGGGTACTAGAACGCAGTGGTGGCAATCATAGCTCACTCCGGCCTCGACTTCTTGGGCTCAAGTGATCCTCTCACCTCGGCTGCCAGGTAGTTAATTTTTAAATTTTTTTTTGTAGAAATGGGATCTCAGTATGTTGCCCAGGCTGGTCTCAAATTCCTGGGCTCAAGCAATTCTCCCATCTTAGCCTCCCAAAGTGCTGGGATTACAAACAGCCCAACTGTGTTTTTTTTTACTTTAAAGAAAACTTTAAAGGCAATACAGTCACATGGCTCACAAATAAAAATCACTTATGACAAGCGATGAAAAATCTCAATATTAGCCTTCTCTCCACAGGTAACCAATATTATTAGCTTGTTAGTACATAAGCGTGTGGTTCAAGTGTCTTTATGCAAATCCAAGCAAATTTTAATTGCATATTTCCCTCTTTCTTAAACAGAAGGTAGCTTATACTGTTTTTTAGCTTTCTATTTTTCACTTCTCAGTATCTTTTAGATATCTTTTCACATTAGCACGTAGACATTCCTTATCTTCTTAAAAGTTGCATAATATTTCCTTAGATGATTGTGTTGTAATTTATTTAACTAGTCTCGGGCTGAAGGTCATTTGGATTGTTTCCAATCTCTTACTATAATAAACTATACTATAATAAACAAACCCTGGCCCAGCGCAGTGGCTCACGCTTGTAATCCCAGCACTTTGGGAGGCCAAGGCAGGCAGATCACTTGAGGCCAGGAGTTTGAGACCAGCCTGGCCAACATGGTGAAATCCCATCTTTACTAAAAATACAAAAATTAGGCCAGGCGCGGTGGCTCACGCCTGTAATCCCAGCACTTTGGGAGGCAGAGGTGGGCAGATCACTTGAGGCCAGGAGTTTGAGACGAGCCTGGCCAATGTGGTGAAACCCCATCACTATTAAAAATACAAAAAATTAGCCAGGTGTGGTGGCGGGTGCCTATAGTCCCAGCTACTTGGGAGGCTGAGGCAGGAGAATGGCATGAATCCGGGAGGCAGAGCTTGCAGTGAGCCGAGATCGTGCCACTGCACTCCAGCCTGGGCGACAGAGTGAGATTCCATCTCAAAAAATATATATAAAAAAATTAGCCAGACGTGGTGGTGGGTGCCTGTAATCCCAGCTACTCAGGAGGCTAAGCCAGGAGAATCACTTGAACCTGGGAAGCAGAGGTTGTGGTGAGCTGAGATTGTGCCATTGCGCTCCAGCTTGAGCAACAAGAGTGAAAATCCGTCTCAAAAATAAATAAATAAATAAACTCTGTACACTGTTTGGGAGTGTAGCTATAAGATAAATTCCCTGCAGCAGAAATGCGTATATTAAAGAATATATGCATTTGTGATTATACTAGTTTGTGTCAAATTGCACTCCTTAGGTGTACACATCAGAAATGATGAGAAAGTCTGTTTTGTCACATTCTCACCAACAGTGTATTGTCAAACTCATTTTTGTCAGACTAGGAAAAATAATATCTCAAAGTTTTTTTTGTTTTTTGTTTTTTGTTTTGAGACGGAGTCTTGCTGTCGCTCAGCCTGGAGTGCACTGGTGCAATCTCAGCTCACTGCAAGCTCCACCTCCCAGGTTCATGCCATTCTCCTGCCTCAGCCTCCCTAGTAGCTAGGACTACAGGCATCCGTCACCATGCCCGGATAATTTTTTTTGTATTTTTAGTAGAGATGGGGTTTCACCGTGTTAGCCAGGATGGTCTCAATCTCCTGACCTCGTGATCCGCCTGCCTCGGCCTCCCAAAGTGCTGGGATTACAGGTGTGAGCCACCGCACCCAGCCAGTATTGTTAATATGCATTTATCTTACAATGAATGAGGTTGGGCCCCATTACGTATGTTTAAACACCACATATTTTCTTTATGTGAACTATGGCTTCATATCTTTTGCCTTATTTCTATTAGGTTCTTCTTCTTTTTCTTATCAATTTCCAGGAGCTCTTTTTGTATTAAGGATATTAACAACTTTGAGATAAAAGGTCAGGCACAGTGGCTCACACCTGTAATCCCAGCACTTTGGGAGGCCGAAGTGAACAGATCGCTTGAGCTCAGTTCGAGACCAGCCTGGCAACATAGTAAGATACCATCTCTACAAAAAACAGAAAAATTAGTTGAGCATGGTGGCATATGCCTGTAGTCCCAGATACTTGGAAGGCCGAGCCAGGAGGACTGCTTGTGCCTAGCAGTTCAAGGTTACAGTGAGCCATGATCATGTCACTGCACTCCAGCCTGAGTGACAGAGTGAGAACCAGTCTCAAAAAAGAAAGAAAGAGAGAGAAAGGAAAGAAAGGAAGGAAGGGAAGGGAAGGGAAAAAGAAAGAAAAATAAAAGAAAAGAAAGAAAGAGAGAGAAAGAAAGAGAAAGAGAAAGGAAGGAAGGAAGGGAGGGAGGAAGGAAGGGAGGGAAAGGGAAGGGAAGGGACAAGAAGAAGAAAGAAAAAGAAAGAAAGGAAGGAAGGGAGGGAGGAAGGAAGGGAGGGAAAAGGAAGGGAAGGGGCAGGCAGAAGAAAGAAAAAGAAAGAAAGAAAAAGAAGGAAAGAAAGAAAGAGAAAGAAAAAGGAAGGAAGGAAGGAAAGAAAGAAAAGAAAAAAGAAAGAAAAAATTAATCACCAATGTGATAGTATTAACAGATGGGGCGTTTCGAGGGTGATTAAGTCATAAGAACTGAGCCCTCATGAATGGGATTACAGACTTTATTAAAGAAGCTCAAGGGAACTAGTTTTACCCCTTTTTGCCCTTCTGTTCCTCTGGCATGTGAAGACACAGAGGAGGTACTATCTACGAGGAACAGGCTCTCACCAGACACCAAACCTCTCGGTGCCTTGATATTGAACTTCCAAGTCTCCAGAATTGTAAGAAACAAATTTCTGTTGTTTAAAAATCACCCAGTTTCGGGTATTTTGTTATAGTAGTGCAAAGCAGACTGAGACATGAGCCTCGGTTTCTTCCTTTATCAGATTGGCCTAACGACACAAACCTCATAGGGGTTGGTAAGGATTAAATGAGGTAATGCATATAAAGTGCTTGGCACAGCATCTGGCACATAGTAAACACTCAATAAATGGTATCAGTTATAAAACATCATAAACAAGCCATGAGCCTAAGACTCAAATGTCTAGGGAGACCAAGTAGGTTATCATAAAATAAATGTTTGTAGCAACAAGTGGTAGGAGCTTTGTTGACCTGAAGAGTTTATGTTTCCTCTAAAGACACAAAATTAAAATTTTATCCAAAACTCTGGGAGAAACAAAATATATTTGATATCCGAATCTGGCCCTCAGGACTCCCAGTTTGCAATCCCTGCCTGGCCTAGGCCATTTTGAGATGCCTCTGATTGCTAACGTCTTCCCTCACCCACCTCTCTTCTTTTTTTTTCAGTCCACAGTGAAGACCAAAAGAGACACAGTGAAAGGCTACTTCCTGGCTGGAGGGGACATGGTGTGGTGGCCAGTAAGTGGTCTTTGGTTCAATTAAAGTCACTTCTTAAAGAATCTTCAAGTGCTGGGATTCTGTCCAGCCTTTGATATCTCAGGACTCTCTGGTCTCATGTCGTTTGGAAGTCATTGTCTAAACTAGAGAAGGCTTAGCTCCAGCTCAAATTCGTTTAAACAACAACAAAAAAAAACAATTTGTCACCTCATCTAAGGGAAAAATCTGGAGTTAGGTTTTAAAAATATATATTTATATAAATATATTTATATAAATATATATTATATAAAATATATAACATATAATTATATATTATATAATATATAATTATATAATATATAATCATATATTTATGTAATATATAGTTATATAATATATAATTTATATATTTATGTAATATATAGTTATATAATATATATGATTTATATATTATATATAATAGATATATATTATATATAATAAATATGTAAATATATATGTATAATCACAACCTTAAATAGAAAACCAGTATCATTTGCTCTACATAGAAAAGCAGGGAATCATAAAAATAAAATTTAAAAATGTGCTTTTCTCCTCTGGACTCATTCATGCAGCTGCATTTAGTTGGTGACTAGGCTAGACAGAAGTCCAAGATGGCTTCATCCACATTTGGGGGGCTTTGGCAGGGGTCACTGGAATACTGGGACCTCATTTTCTCCCTATTCTCTTTCATCATTCAGTGGCCTAGCCCAGGGTTTTGTGGTTTTTCTTGCTGTTGTTTTTGTTTTTGTTTTAACCAGGTAGCTGAATCCCAAGAGGGCAAAAATGAAAGCTACTAGGCTGTTAAGGTCTTGGCCTGGAAGTCACTTCTACCACATTCTGTTGGTTAAAGTAAATTACAGGCCCGCACAGTTTCTGTATGGGCCATGTGGAAAAGTCACATTTGAACGGTGTCATTGGGAAAGGCAGAGTAAAGAGCTTCAAAAATTCTCTCCTCCATAAAAGCTATGAGAAGTGAAGCAAAAAAAAAAAATTGTCAAAATCAACTTTTTCAGAACTCTGGGGATTAACCACATGCTGCAATAATTCAGGAAGCATTTATTCAAGAAAAACAGCTGGGTCTCAGAAAAAAACAGTGAGCTTTGGCCCTGTTTCCATCTCTCTCTCTTTAGCTGTGTTGTAGCCTTGGGAAACCACCAGCCTAGAAGCAACTGAAGAGGTCAGAATGGGATTAGAACTCTTTCAAAACTCCATTCTCTAAAAAAGGTCACTGTTTTACCCGTCACCTGTTCCCTGGAAAGCCCCACCTGCTGGGCTCATCTTTATTTGACCTTACGTAGAACTCATTCAGTGTGCATAGCCTTTTCCCTAGACACATTTGTAGAAAAACAATCAGTGGTAATTGTTTAACATTGCAGCTGTGGCAATAACAGTTTGGCAAATAATATTCTAGTAAGACAACTTAAATAGAAAAGCTGGGAAGTGAGATGCACATAGGGTGCTTTGAAAAACTCAGACATATTTCTGGGAATCTAGAAGGCCATGTGCATAGGCCCACACACATGCTTAGAAAAGTCCCGAGAAAGCCCTAAGCTCTTGCCTCTGGCTGACCTTGGGGCTCTGCACAAGCAGGAAGTGAAGGCTAAGGCAGAGTTATAAGCTGGGAGAATTGCAAAGACTGGGAAAATTATTGGTTTCAGGGATTTAAGAAAATGTCTTTTCAGTCATTAGCTGCCCAATAAACTGAGCATAGATTTTGGTGGCCACACATGATAAAGAATTCAGACTTCATAAACTTAATTTAAGAAAGTCATGAAACAAACAATAGAAGCAGCAACAACAGCAAGAATGAATAGAAGAAACAACAATAAACCCTGAAGAGTCAGGAATTATCAGATTTCTAGAGTTACCAGTGACATCATTTTAAATGTCCACCTTTAACAAGAAATTATAAGGCATGCAAAAAAACCCAAGAAAGTATGGTCCATACACAGGGGAGAAAAAGCAGTCAATAGAAAGTGTCCCTGAAGAAGGCCAGATGTTATATTCACTAAACAAAGGCCTTAAATCAGCAATTTTAACTATATCCAAAAAACACACAAAAAAGCCATGTCTTGAAGACTAAAGAAAAGTATGAGAACAATGTTTAACTAAACAGAATATATCATTAAAGAGATAGATTTTTTTTTAAGTGGAAATTATGGAGTTGGAAAGTAACAATAAGTGAAATAACATACTCACTAGAGGGGTTCAACAACAGATTTGAGCAGGCAAAAAAAATGAATCTGTGAAATTGAAGATAGATTAATTGAGATTATGAAGTCTGAGGAACAGAAAAAAAACGAAGAGAAACAGAGTCTCAGAGATCTGTGGGACATGATTAAGCATAATTAACATACACATAATTGAAGTTCCAGAGGAGAGGAGAGAGAGAGAAAGGGGCAGAAAGAATAATAAAAGAAATAGTGGTTTAAAATTGACTAAATTTTATTAACAATATTAATCTACACATCCAAGAAATATAATAAACTGCAGTAGAAGAAATTCAAAGAGACTCATACCTAAATACATCAAAATCAAACTGTCAAAAGTCAAAGATTCTTGAAAGCAGCAAGAGAGGAACAATCCATTACATACAGGAAGTCTTCGGCTGGGCACGGTGGCTCACACCTGTAATCCCAGCACTTTGGGAGGCCAAAGCAGGCGGATCACTTGAGGTCAGGAGTTTGAAACCAGCCTGGCCAACCTGGAGAAACCCCATCTCTACTTACAAAAAATTAGCTGGGCGTAGTGGTTCATGCCTGTAATCCCAGCTACTCAGGAGGCTGAGGCAGGAGAATTGCTTGAACCTGGGAGGCGGAGGTTGCAGTGAGCTGAGACTGAGCCACTGCACTCCAGCCTGGGTGACAGAGTGAGACTCCATCTCAAAAAAAGAAAAGTCTTCAATAAGATTATCAGCTGGTTTTTTCATCAGAAACCATGGAAGCTCAAAGTACCAAAAGAAAAAGGCTACCAATCAAAACTAATGTTGAGCAAAACTATCCTTTGAAAAAGGGGGAAATGTATACATTCCTAGACTTTTTTCTTTTAATGAGAAAATTCACTGGTAGAAGACCTACCCTATAAGAAATTCTAAAGGTAATCCTTCAGGCTGAAATAAAGACATCAGAGAGTAACTTGAGTCTACATGAAAAAAATAAACAAAGAGCACTGGTGAAGGTAACTATGTAAGTAAATATAACATACAGTATAAATTGGTTTTCGATTGTAACTCTCTTTTTCTTCTCTCTAATTTAAAAGACAGTTGCATAAATAGCATAAAAGGTAAGTAGCTAATAATCCAAAATTGATTTTTATAAGATGTTAATTATAATCCTCAGAGCAATCACTAAGAAAGTAATTTTAGAAAATAGTAACAGAAACTATTGTTTTAATAAAGGAATTTAAATGGCATACTAGATAATATCTAGCACAAAAGGCAATGGAGGAATAGAAGAATAAGAAGGACACTAGACATATATTAATTGCATGGTAATATGGCATATGTAAATTCTACTTTACCAGTATTACATTAATTTAAATGGATTAAACACTCCAATCAAAAGGCAGAGAATGGATTTTTTTTTTAATGTGATCCAACTGTATGTTGTCTACAAGAGATATACTTAGATCAAAGATACAAATAGGGCTGGGCATGGTGACTCAAACCTGTAATCCCAGCACTTTGGGAGGCCAAGATGGGTGGATCACTTGAACTCAGGAGTTCAAGACCAGCCTGGGTAACATGGTGAAACTCCACCTCTACCAAAAATGCACATGTGCCTGTAGTCCCAGCTACTCAGGGAAGCTGAGATGGGAGGATCACTTGAGCCCAGGAGGTGGAGGTAGCAGTGAGCCAAGATCACACCACTGCACAGCAGCCTGGGCAACAGTGAGATCCTGTCTAAAAAAAAAAAAAAAGATACGAATGACTGAAAGTAAAAGTAAAAGGATGGAAAAAGCCTGTTTAACCAAACACAATATATTTCAAATATGTTGAAAGTAAAAAGATGGAAAAATATATAACATACAAACAGTAACCAGAAAAAAGCAGGAGTGGCTATACTAATACCAGACAAAATAGACTTTAAGATAAACATTGTCACTAGAGACAAAAAAGAAAATTACATAATGATAAAAGGGTCAATCCCTCAAGAAGACATAACAATTATAAACATAATTGCACCTAACAACAGACTCCCAATATATATGAAGCAAAAACTGACAGAATGAAGGGAGAAATAGACAATTCAAACACTAATAATTGGTGACTTTAATATCTCATTTTCAATAATGTATGGAAAAACAAAATAAGATCAACAAGAAAATAGAAGACATGAACAACACTATAAACCAACTGACCTAACAGACATATATAAAATAATTCATCCAACAACAGCAAAATACCTATTCATCTTAAGTGCACATGGAACATTCTCCAGAATAGACTGTATGTTAAGCCATAAATAAATCTCAAGAAATTTAAAATGATTGAAATAATACAAAGTGTGTTGTCTATCCACAGTGGAATGAAATTATAAATAAATAACCTTGGAAAATTCCCAAATACATATCAATTAAACAACACACTTCTAAATAACCAATGGGCCAAAGAAGAAATCACAAGACAAATTAGAAAATACTTTGAGATTACTGAAAATGAAAACAGCATGCTAAAACTTATGGGATCCAGCTAAAGCAGTGCTTAGAAGAAAACTTACACCACAATGCCCATATTAAAAAAGAAGAAAGATGTCAAACCAATTACCTCATCTTTTACATTAAGAAACTAAAAAAGAAGGGCAAATTAAACCCAAAGCAAGCAGACAGAAGAAAATAACAAAGATTAGAGTGGAGGTAAACAAAATGTAGAATAGAAAACTGTTAGAGGAAATCAAAAAAATCAAAAGTTTGTTCTTTGAAAACATCAACAAAATTGACCAATTTCTACCTAGATTAAGAAAAACAAGACAGAAGATGCAAATTAATAAAATTAGAAATGAAAAAGGGGGAATTTCCATCAACATTATGGAAATTAAATATAGTTATAAGGAAATGCTGTGAGCAATTATATGCAAAAAATTAAACAACCTACATGAAATGAACAAATTCCTAGACACAGAGTACCAAAACTGACTCAAGTAGAAATAGAAAACCTGAATTATATCTATAAAAAGTAAAGACAGGCCAAGCACAGTGGCTCACCCCTGTAATCCTAGCACTTTGGGAGGCTGAAGAGGGCGAATCACCTGAACTCATGAGTTTGAGACCACCCTGGGCAACACGGTGAAACCCCATTTCTACTAAAATACAAAAAATTAGCTGGTTGTGGTGGCATGTGCTTGTAATCCCGGCTACTCAGGAGGCTGAGATAGGAGAATCACTTGAACCCAGGAAGCAGAGTTTGCAGTGAGCTGAGATGGCACCATTGCATTCCAGCCTGGGTGACAAAGCAAGACTCCATTTCAAAAAAAAAAAAAAAGTAAAGACAGTGAATTAGTAATCACAAAACTTCTCACAAAGAAAAAGACCAAGCACCAAGGATCAAGATGGCTTCAACGATAAACTCTTCCAAACATTCCTAGAATAATTAACACAAATGCTTTACAGATTCTTCCAAAAAAAAAAAAAAAATTAGAGGCCAGGTGTGGTGGCTCATGCCTGTAATCCCAGCACTTTGGGAGGCCAAGGTGGGCAGATCACGAGGTCAGGAGACCCAGACCATCCTGGCGAACACGGTGAAACCCCGTCTCTACTAAAAATACAAAAAAAAAAAAAAATTAGCCGGGCGTGGTGGCGGGCGCCTGTAGTCCCAGCTACTCGGGAGGCTGAGGCAGGAGAATGGCATGAACCTGGGGGATGGAGCTTGCGGTGAGCTGAGATCACACCACTGCACTCCAGCCTGGGAGACAGCAAGACTCCGCCTCAAAAAAAAAAAAAAAGAGACTCACACTTCCCAATTTGAAAACTTACTACAACGCTACAGTAATCAAAAGAATATGATACTGACAGAAGGATAAACATGAAATCCATGAAATAGAATTTGATAAGAAGCAGAGACAGGAAAGTCAATAAGGAGGTAAAATGGCTCTTTCACAATTCTCTCTCCTCTCTTCTCTTCCTTCACCCTTCTCCTCCTCCTTTCCTTCCTCCTCCTCCTCTTTTTCTTCTTGCTCCCTCCTTTCCCCTCCTCACTGGATCTGCCTTTTTTTTTTTTTTTGAGACGGAGTCTCTGTCGTCCAGGCTGGAGTGCAGTGGTGCAATCTCGGCTCGTTGCAACCTCCACCTCCCGGGCTCGAGCGATTCTCCTGCCTCAGCCTCCTGAATAGCTGGGATTATAGGCATGTGTCACCACGCTCAGCTAACTTTTGTATTTTTAGTGGAGACGGGGTTTCACCATGTTGGCCAGGCTGGTCTGAAACTCCTGACCTCAAGTGATCCGCCTGCCTCAGCCTCCCAAGGTGCTGGGATTACAAACGTGAGCCAGAGCGCCCGGCTGGACCTGCCTTTCTTGCAGGTCTCATTCTCCCCTGTCTCTGAACTGGCAGTGATGAGCAGCACAGGGTGAAACATGCCTCCACACCACTCCCTCACCCCCAGCACACACACACCTCACTGGTTCAATATCTCCAGTCCAAGGGACCCGCAGAGACGGTGTCCCCGTTCCAAATTCCCAGGAAAGAGAATATAATTTGCTCAGCTTGGGCCAGGTACCCAGGCCTGTCCAGCCCAATCAGTTGAGACCAGGGAGACCAGGGATTGGCATCAGCAAGTACAGCACTAGCCATTTAGTGCTATACCAAGAAGACTATCTACTTTGATAAGTAAGAAGCAGATCTGGGGGAGTAACACAGGCTTCCTGATTCTCATCATGAATCACTTTCTACATTACCTGTCACCTTCTTTCCCGACCCCCGACCCCCGCAGGGATACTGCATATAGTTGTTGAAGCTGTGCACTGCACAACCCTACAGGGTGCAATCTGCATTTTAGGCCCTGTAGTCCTGAATATTTATTCTACCAATTTCTGACAGGTGGGCTCTGACCAAGTAAGAGTCTTGGGGAAGAAGAATCTCATTCTAATGTAAACAAAAATGCCAGATAGGCTAGGGGTGGCCCTGCCTTCCTCTACTTCTCTTCTCTGTCCCTTTGGAGCATGGAAATAATTGGGGGTGGGGAGCAGGTACCCTTGACTTTGTCTCCAAGATCTGACCCGTCCATCTCCCCACAGGTGGGTGCATCCTTGTTTGCCAGCAATGTTGGAAGTGGACATTTCATTGGCCTGGCAGGGTCAGGTGCTGCTACGGGCATTTCTGTATCAGCTTATGAACTTAATGTAAGTATTTTACCTAGGGCATAGATGACATCTTACCTCTACCTAACAGGTAGATCTCAGGGGAAAGTTGTGTGAATGCCCTGCACTTTAAAAATAGAATGGTGGGGCCAGGCGCGGTGGCTCACGCCTGTAATCTCAGCACTTTGGGAGGCCAAGGCAGGTGGATCACCTAAGGTCAGGAGTTCGAGACCAGCCTGGCCAACGTGGCGAAACCCCGTCTCTACTAAAAATACAAAAAATTAGCCGAGTGTAATGGCGGGCGCCGTAATCCCAGCTACTCGGGAGGCTGAGTTAGGAGAATCATCTGAACCCGGGAGGCGGAGGTTGCAGTGAGCAGAGATTGCACTACTGCGCGCCAGCCTGGGTGACAAGAGTGAAACTCCGTCCCCCTCCCCACAAAAAAACAAAACAAAACAAAACAAAAAAAACAAAAAAAAACACACACACACACACACACACAAACCCAAAAAACACAAAAAAAAAACAATAGTGGGTTGGGCGCGATGGCTCAGGCCTGTAATCCCAGCACTTTGGGAGGCCAAGGTGGGCGGATCTTTTGAGGTCAGGAGTTTGAGACCAGCCTGGCCAACATGGTGAGACTCCATCTCTACTAAAAATACAAAAATTAGCCAGGCTTGGTGGTGCATGCCTGTAATCCTAGCTACTCAGGAGGCTGAGGCAGGAGAATCACTTGAACCTGGGAGACAGAGGCTGCAGTGAGGTGAGATTGTAACACTGCACTTCAGCCTGGGCGACAGAGTGAGACTCTGTCTCACAAAAAAAAAAAAAAAAAAAAAAAGGGTGTGTGAAGAAGAGGGCTCAGATTCCTGTCCTAGAGATGCAGAAGAAAGATGGTGAAGACTGAAGCGTATTTCTGTGTACTTTAGACGTCAATCGGCCATCACAAAAATTTTACAGCTCAGTAGTTTTTGACTTTGTTTGCTACCTCTGAGATACTCAAGGGATAAGATACACTCTCGTATATAGCAGGGCTCATTTGGGATATGATTTTTACTGGGGTCAGGGCAGGGAGGGGATTATTAATAATGATCATTGCCTTCATAATGTCCAATATTTTTGGATGCTTATTCTATGCCAGGAACAGACTTTGATATGTTCCATATGCTATCACATTATAGGATTCATTTACAAATTAGACCCACACTGCCTGGGTTTACATTCTTGCTCCAACACGTATAAACTTCAGCAGCAAGTTGCTTTTTGTGTGACCTTGGGTGGCAAGTGTTATTTCTGCTTGTTTGTTTTGTTTTGTTTTGTTTTTTGAGACAGGGTCTCGCTCTGTCGCCCAAGCTGGAGTGCAGTGGTGTGGTCATGGCTCACTGCAACCTCCACCTCTCAGGCTCAAACCATCCTCCCACTTCAGCCTCCCAAGTAGCTGGGACCACAGGTGCACGCCACCATGCCTAGCTAATTTTCATATTTTTTTGTAGAGACGGGAATTTCACTATGTTGCTCAGGTTGGTCTTAAACTCCTGGGTGCAAGCGATCCACTGGCTTCTGCCTGCCAAAGTGCTGGGATTACAGGCGTGACTCACCGCACCCAGCTGGGCAAGTTTCTTAACCTCTCTGAGCCTCATGTACATAATAGGCATATTAATGGTACCTGTTATGTAGAACCATTATGAGGGTCAAATGAATTAATGCTTGTAAAGGGTGCAGAGAGGCGCCTGGCATACAGTACTCATTAAGTATCATCTTCCTGATTTCCTTGCAACCACTTAGTGAGGCACTGATATGCCCATTTTCCAGGTGAGAAAAATGAGTCTCGGAGACCTGTGTTAACTCTTGTGGTCGTCTTTGAACCCAGATCTGCCTGCTGTCATGGTCTTGTTTTAATCACTGCTGAGGAGGGGAGGGGGCACAACTGGATGAAGTGATGACATGATGTTTAGGAGACACAGAACTAGGAAGCATCGCAAAGGCCTTCTTTTTCCACTCTCCTCTTCCTTCCCGAATCCATTCCCCATGTTAAAAAAGGAAATTTGAAGGCCAGCACAGGTGAACCACTCAGCGAGTAAGAGACTACACCAGAGGTGGAGTTCAGGCCAGGCTGCCTCAGGGCGCAGAGGGAAATCCAAATGGGTACCTTGTTGTGAGCTGGGGGCCAAGTCCTGACTGTGTTTTCTTGAGCAGGGCTTGTTTTCTGTGCTGATGTTGGCCTGGATCTTCCTACCCATCTACATTGCTGGTCAGGTGAGTCGGGGGACATTGGGATGCTGTAGAATTGAAAGATGCTTTGGGAATCTCAGCCCTGCAGTCCCTCCCTCATCCCGCCATCCCTCCCTCCTGCCCATGGTCATGTATTCGATTGCCACTCAGAGGCCCCAGTAAAGGGGAGGGATGATCCACAGGTGAGACAATGAGGAACCCAGTCCATAGCACTTCCTGCCAGTACCCAACATCCAAGGCACACAGAAGGCATTTGGAGGTTGGAAAAAATATGGACCCCAAAATTTTAAATACCAAAACACAAATGTAAAGCTCACAATCTCTTTTAAATGTTTAAATCACAACATGTTTCTGCTATATTTTTTTGAGACAGGGTCTGGCTTTGTCCCCAGGATGGAATGCAGTGGTGCAATCTTGGCTCACCTGGTCTCACCAGCCTCCCCAGCAGCTAGGACCACAGATGCAAGCCACCACACCCAGCTAATTTTTGCATTTTTTTTTTAGTAGAAAATACAAAAATCCTGCCATGTTACCCAGGCTGGTCTCGAACTCCTGGGCTCAAGTGATCTGCACACCTCAGCCTCCCAATCTGAGTAGCTGGACTTACAGGCATAAGCCACCATGCCCAGCCTATGTTTCTGCTTTTTGCTAAAAAATAAAAATAAAAGTATATAGCTTATGCCTGTAATCCTAGCACTTTGGGAGGCCAAGGCAGGCAGGTCACTTGAGCCTAGGAGTTCGAGACCAGGCTGGGCAACATGGTGAAAACCTGTCTCTACTAAAAAAATACAAAAATTAGCCAGATGTGGTGGCAGGTGCCTGTAGTCCCAGCTACTCGGGAGGCTGAAGTGGGAGAATTGCTTGAACCCAGGAGGTGGAGTAAAGTAAGCCAATATCACACTACTTAACTCCTGCCTGGGTGACAGAGTGGGACTCCGTCAGAAGGAAAGGAAAGGAAAGAAGGAAAGGAAAGGAAAGGGGAAAGGGGAAAAGGGAAAGGGAAAGGAGAAGAAGGAAGGAAGAGAGAAAGGAAGGAATGGAGAGAGGGAGGGAGGAAGGAAGGAAGGAAGGAAGGAAGGAAGGAAGGAAGGAAGGAAGGAAGGAAGGAAATAAATATAATGTACCCTGCAAGCCTTTAGAAAATCACAATGCTGGCTGGGCACAGTGGCTCAGGGCCATAATCTCAGCTCTTTGGGAGGCTGTGGTGGGAGGATTGCTTGAAGCCAGGAGTTTGAGACCAGCCTGGGCAACACAGTGAGACCCCCATCTCTACAAAAATAATTAAAATAAAGAATTAGCTGAGACTGGTGGTGTGCACCTTTAGTCCCAGCTAGTCAGGAGGCTGAGGCAAGAGGATGGGAGACTGAGGAGGAGGATTGATTGCTTGAACCCAGGAGATCAGGGCTGCAGTGAGCTATGATTGTACCACTGCACTCCAGCCTGGGTGACACAGCGAGACCCCGTCTCTAAAAAAGAAAAATCACAATGCCTTCCCTTCTCCTTGGCTTTCCTATTAAGTAATTACTCCCTTGCTTTTATTTACAGTTTTAATTCTGCATACCTGAACAATGCAGTTGAATTTTACTTTTTTTGGTGAAGGGTGGGTCATAGATAATTGAAAACTGGAGTAATTTTTTTTTTTTTTTTTGAGGCAGAGTTTCGCTCTGCTGCCCAGGCTGGAGTTGCAGTGGCATGATCTCAGCTCACTGCAACATCTGCCTCCTGGGTTCATGCAATTCTCCTCCCTCAACCTCCCAAGTAGCTGGGATTACAGGTGCACACCACCACGCCCGACTACTTTTTGTATTTTTAGTAGAGATGGGGTTTCCCCATGTTGGCCAGGCTGTTCTTGAACTCCTGGCCTCAGGTGATCCACCCACCTCAGTCTCCCAAAGTGCTGGGATTACAGGTGTGAGCCACCGCACCCAGCTTGGAGGTAATATTCTTTTGTTACATGTAGCTGATGTGTTAATTTTCATTGCTATGCGGTATCGTGTAGTGTGACTCACATTCCAATATATTTATCCATTCTGTTGTGCATGGGCGTTTAAGTTGCTCCCAGTATTGGTCTATGATAGACAGCACTGCTGTGAACATTTTTATAAATGTGTTCTTCTACACATAGACAAGCATTGGTGAGAGAATCTACCTCTAAGTGGAATTTCTAGGTCATTGGATATGTTCATCTTTGGCTTTACAAGATATTGACAAACATTTTCCCAGAGTAGTTCTATCCATTTATATTCCCACCAGCAGTGTATGAAAATTCCCTTTCCTGCAATTCAGCGTATCCTTGGTTACATTTTATATTCTCCAACTTAAAGATTCTTGCGAATTTGGTGCATGTGTAGTGATATCTCACTGCTTTTTAAAATTTTTTTGAGACAGAGTCTTGCTCTGTCGCTCAGGCTGGAGTGCAGTGGCGTGCCCTCAGCTCACTGCAACCTCCGCCTACCTGGGTTCAAGCAATTCTTGATTCTCCTGCCTCACTCCGTCCCCCACCACACACACACTGCCCCAGTAGCTGGGACTACAGCCACCATGCCCAGCTAATTTTTGTATTTTTAGTAGAGACGGGGTTTCGCCAAGTTGTCCAGGCTGGTGTTGAACTCTTGACCTCAGATGATCCTCCCACCTCACCTCCCAAAGTGTTGGGATTACAGGCCTGAGCCACCGCACCTGGCCATCTCACTGTTTTTAATTGGCAACTCTTTTTATACATTTTCCGGCCATTTGGATTTCCTCTTTGAGGAAGTAACTTGTCTAGGACTTTTGTCCATTTTTCTATTAGGTTATATGTCTTTAAAAAAAAATAGAGATGGGGTCTTACTGTAGCAATAGAGATGTTGCCCAGGCTGGTCTTGAACTCCTGGGCTCAAGCAGTCCTCCCACCTTGGCCTCCTAAAGTGCTAGGATTACAGGTGTAAGCCATCGTGCATGGCCTCACAATTAAATCTATTATCCGCCTAGAATTTGTTTTTGTCTACCATATGTATGTCTTTTGAGGCAGGGTCTCCCTGTCACTTAGGCTAGAGTGCAATGGCATGATCATGGCTCACTGCACCCGCGACCTCCTGAGCTCAGGCTCAAGTGATCCTTCCACCTCAGCCACCTGAGTAGCTGGGACTACAGGCGCCTGTCACCACGCATGACTAAATTTGTATTTTTTGTAGAAATGGGGTTTCACCATGTTGCCCAGTCTGGTCTCAAACTGCACTCAAGTGATTCCCCTTGCCTTAGTCTCCCAAAGTGATGGGAACCAACTGTGCTGGGCCCCTCTCCTCCCTTCTTAAGTATCAGGTTGAGAATCCCAAGAAGACCATCTGTGCTCTGAGTTGCGGGGGCAGGAGCAGATGGGAAGGGCTTGTGTGGGGGGGTCACGTGCTGGTGGTGAAGTCCGCTGGTGGTGAAATCTCAGCTCTGGCCCTCAGGTCACCACGATGCCAGAATACCTACGGAAGCGCTTCGGTGGCATCAGAATCCCCATCATCCTGGCTGTACTCTACCTATTTATCTACATCTTCACCAAGATCTCGGTAAGGCAGGGACACAGCCTGGCCTCACCCATGCAGCATGGGGAGAAGATAAGGCACAGATCATTGCTCAGGAGTGTCTCCTCGCTATCCCCTTTCTCCTCGTCTTTCATAGGCTGCAGGGAGATTAGAGGAAGATGGCATGGGGGGAGGTAAGCGTGGACAGAGGGAATTGGGAGAAAATGGTTGGGTGCAGTGGCTCACGCCTGTAATCTCAGCACTTTGGGAGGCTGAGGCAGGTGTATCACTTGAGGTCAGGAGTTTGAGGCCAGTCTGGCCAACATGGCGAAACCCCATCTCTACCAGAAAATACGAAAATTAGCCAGGCGTGGTGGCTGATGCCTGTAGTCCCAGCTATTCGGGAGGCTGAGGCAGGAGAATTGCTTGAGCCCAGAAGGCGGGGGTTGCAGTGAGCCAAGATCATGCCACTGTACTGCAGCCTGGGTGAAAGAGCGAGACTCTGTGTCAAAAAAAAGAAAAAAAAAAAAAAGAAGAAATTGGGAGAAAAGGTAGAGGAAAGGAGGGAAGGACTTTCTCTCCTACTCCTGCCAAAGCTTCTTTGTCAACATCTCAGGATGATGTGGGTTGATCAATGGGACTCCAAGAACCCTGCCAACCCTTGGATAGGACTGTTCTCTTCCTCCTGGAATTAGACAGTGATCAGCTGTTTATCCGATGTGCTGTTGGCTGATTGCGCTGCCCCACCCTGACCTTTGGATGGGCAGATCTCCTAGGAAGTGGCAAAGAACAGGTGTATTGCAACCTCCAGACATGTGCCCCTCAGCAGAAGCTGTCTTCGCTTCCAGCCAGGGAGGAGGGAGGAGCTTGTCCTATGGGAAGGGGTGAGGGGGAGCAGAAGGGGTTCCGTTCAATCCAAACAACAATAAGTGAATCTACGCCAGCTCCAGACTGCAGGACAGACAACACAGGCTCCTTTCTAGAATGTTCACTTGCAGTCTGGTGGGAAGCTGCAGATGTGGGAAGCCTTCTAGGGGAAGTTACATCCCAGGAGGAACTTACAGTTAGAGAAAGGGGATTGGCCCTCCAGACGGAAGCACCAGCACAAGTGAAATCTGGGAGGCCCAGGTACACATGACTTGTTGAGAAACAGAGGGTATTTCAGAGTCTGTGGAGGTCTGGGAGTACGAAGTGAGTATTTAGCCTCATTTATTTAGCCTTTATCTTGGGGGCAATGGGGGAGTCACTTAAGAGTTTGAGTGGGGAGGAGAAGGGTGATGTGATCATTATGGTATTTAATGAAGGTTGCAGTGTGGAAGATGGAGTGGGAGAGGACCAAAAGCAGAAGCAGGAAGACCATTGAGGAGGCTGCTGCATCAGCCCAGGGCCCACAGGGCTCCAGCTGAAGACCCCTGATCTGGGATGCAGTGGATTAACAAGGGATGACGTATGACTCTTCTGTGTTTGTCAGCATCTAGGCTAGGCCCTGATCCCAGGGAACCTGTGCTGCAAATGTCCACTCATTCATTCATTCGTTCATTTGTTCATCCATCAACCTCCTTTCTTCACAGGTAGACATGTATGCAGGTGCCATCTTCATCCAGCAGTCTTTGCACCTGGATCTGTACCTGGCCATAGTTGGGCTACTGGCCATCACTGCTGTATACACGGTTGCTGGTAAGACTGAACAAAGGGTAACACCTAGCAGAGGCAGTGGGCAGGGGCTGTGGGCCACTCTACCTTCTCCTTGCCCATCTTCTGATGTTCCATTGTGCTAAGACCCATTTATTCATTAAACGTCACTCCTTTACCCTAGATAAAAAGATTTCTCCTGACCATTATCCAAAGGAAGGGGGTTACCTGATAAGATAAAGCTTTTTAGGTTGGGCTCGGTGGCTCATGCCCGTAATCCCAGCACTTTGGGAAGCCGAGGCAGGTGGATCACTTGAGGCCAGGAATTCCAGACCAGCCTGGCCAACATGGCAAAATCCCATCTCTACTAAAAATAGAAAAATTAGGCCAGGCACGGTGGCTTACGCCTGTAATCCCTGCACTTTGGGAGGCCAAGGTGGGTGGATCACGAGGTCAGGAGTTCAAGACCAGCCTGACCAACATGGCAAAACCCCATCTCTACTAAAAATACAAAAATTAGCCAGGCATGATGGCCCGTGCCTGAAATCCCAGCTACTCAGGAGGCCGAGGCAGGAGAATCACTTGAACCCGGGAGGCGGAGGTTGCAGTGAGCCAAGATCGCGCCACTGCACTCCAGCCTGGGTGACAGAGCGAGACACCAGCTCACAACTACAACAACAAAAAATTAGCCGGGCATGCTGGCAGACTCCTGTAATTCCAGCTACTCAGGAGGCTGAGGCAGGAGAATCGCTTGAACCCCGGTGGGGCGGACGTTGCAGTGAGCCAAGATGGTGTCATTGCCCTCCAGCCTGGGTGACAGAGCGAGACTCCGTCTCAGAATAAAAAAAGATAAAGCATTTTTAAAATGCACCACAATGGCATAATGTTTTTTCCCATTCATGTATCCCAGAACTGTTTCTTGAGCACCTACTAACTGCTGAGCCATGTGCACTCACAGGCACAATACAAGGCTGGATAATAAACTACTGCAATCCTGGAGCCTGAGGGCAGGTAACCTCATCTCTCCGCCTCATACCTGTATCCTAGAAGAGTGCCTGGCACGCAGTAGGGCCTTGAGAAGTACCTGTTTTTAAATATTTATTATCTCATCTTCCACTCTATTTTCACCCTTTTCCGCCTCCTCTTGGCTTGATATAACTCATTCCATATATATGTGTGTGTCTGTTTGTGTCTGTGTGTGCCTGTGTGTGCACAGACACAAACACACTGGTATCTCTATATTATGTACCTTGTATCTATATATCATGTATTTACATACACAGGTATGTGTATATGGATATACATTTCCTACTGTGTGCCAGACATCATGCCAGGGAGTGAGGCACAGATGTAAGCAAGACAAATATCTCTACTCCAGAGGAACTTATTGAGGATGGGAGACAATGAACAGGGAAATCAATAAATAATGTTAGGCCAGGTGTGGTGGCTCACGTGTGTAATCCCAACACTTTGGGAGGCCGAGGCGGGTGGATCACCTGAGATCAGGAGTTCTAGACCAGCCTAGCCAACATGGCAAAACCCGGTCTCTACTAAAAATACAGAAAAATTAGCTGGGCATGATGGCACATGCCTGTAATCCCAGCTACTCGGGAGGCTGAGGCAAGAGAATCACTTGAACCTAGGAGGCGGAGGTTGCAGTGAGCCAAGATCACACCACTGCACTCCAGCCTGGGCAACAGAGTGGGACTCTGTCTCAAAAATAAATAAATAAATATGTCAGTGTATATTATTATAACCTGAGAAGTGCTATAAGGAAAAATTAATTGGGGTGAAGAGATGGAGGACAGGTTTTTTTTGGTTTTTTGTTTTTTTTTTACATAGAATATTCAGCTAAGGCCTCTCTAAGGTGATATCTCAACCAATTTTTTTTTCACCTTCGACTTTGATTTTAGATTCAGGAGGTACATGCAGGTTTGTTAATAGGTATATTGCATGATGCTGAGGTCTGGGGTACGAATGGATCCATTAGTCCACGTAGTGAGCATAGTACCCAATGGGTAGTTTTTCAACTGGTATCCCCCTCCCTCTCCCTCCTCTAGTAGTCCCCAATTCCCTTATTCAAGTCCATGAGTACCCAATGTTTATTCAGTTTCCACTTATATGTGAGAACAGGTGGGCCAGGCATGGTGGCTCACTCCTGTAATCCCAGCACTTTGGAAGGCCAAGGTGGGAAGATCACCTGAGGTCAGGAGTTCCAGAGCATCCTGGCCAACATGGTGAAACCCATTCTCTACTAAAAATACAAAAATTAGCAGAGTGTGGTGGCAGGTGCCTGTAATCCCAGCTATGTGGAAGGCTGAGGCAGGAGAATCTCTTGAACGCAGGAGGCAGAGGTTGCAAGGTTGCAGTGAATGGAGATCACACCACTGCACTCCAGCCTGGGCAACAGAGCAAGACCCCATCTCAAAGAAAAAGAAAATAAACAAATAAGTGAGTGGTTTTCTGTTCCTGCATTAATTCACTTAGGATAAGGGCCTCCAGCTGCATTCATGTGCTGCAAAGGTTATGATTTTGTCCTTTTTAATGGCTGTGTAGTATTTCGTGGTATATCTGTACCATATTTTCTTTATCCAATCCACTGTTGATGGGCACCTGTGTCAATTCCATGTCTTTGCTATTGTGCGTAGTATTGTGATGAACATATGAGGGCATGTGTCTTTTTGGTAGGATGACTTATTTTCCTTTGGGTACATACCCAGTAGTGGGATTGCTGGTCAAATGATAATTCAATTCTCAGTTCTCTCTCCACAGTGGCTGAACTAATTTACACTCTGTATTAGTCCATTCTCACACTGCTATGAAGAACTACCCGAGACTGGATAATTTATGAAAAAAAAAAGAGGTTTAATTGACTCACAGTTCCACAGGCTTAACAGGAAGCATGGCTAGGAGGCCTCAGGAAACTTACAGTCATGGTGGAAGGCAAAGGGGAAGTAAGCACGTCCTACCATGATGGAGCCGGAGAGAAAGAGTGAAGCGGGAGGTGCTACACACTTTTTTCTTTTCTTTTCTTTTTGAGATGGAGACTTACTCTTTCATGGCTGGAGTGCAATGGTGCAATCTCAGCTCACCACAACCTCCACCTCCTGGGTTCAAGCAATTCTCCTGCCTCAGCCTCCCAAATAGCTGGGATTACAGGCACGTGCCACCATGCCCAGCTAATTTTGTGTTTTTAGTAGAGACAGGGTTTCTCCATGTTGGTCAGGCTGGTTTCGAACTCCCATCCTCAGGTGATCTGCCCGCTTCGGCCTCCCAAAGTGCTGGGATTACAGGCATGAGCCACCGTGCCTGGCCTAGTGCTACACACTTTTAAACAACCAATTCTCATGAGAACTCTATCACCAGACAGCACTGGGGATGGTGCTGAATCATTAAAATCACCCCCATAATCCAATCACCTCCCACCAGGACCCTCCCCCAACACGCGGGGATTACAATTCAACATGAGATTTGGGTGGGGACACAGAGCCAAACCATATCACACTCCCACCAACAGTGCATCAGCATTTCCTTTTCTCCACAACCTCGCCAACGTCGGTTATCTTTTGACTTCTTAATTGTTTTTAAGTTTAAAGCTGTTCTGGCCGGGCACAGTGGCTCACACCTGTAATCCCAGGACTTTGGGAGGCCAAGGCAGGAGGATCAACTGAGGTCTGGAGTTCGAGACCAGCCTGGCCAATATAGTGAAACCCTGTCTCTACTAAAAATACAAAAAAATTAGCCAGGCGTGGTGGCGGGCACCTGTAATCCCAGCTACCTGGGAGGCTGAGGGAGGAGAATCGCTTGAACCCTGGAGGCAGAGGCTGCAGTGATCTGAGATCGTGCCACTGCACTCCAGCCTGGGCAACAGAGCGAAACTCAAATTAAAAAAAAAAAAAAGCTGTTCTGACTGGTGTGAGATGATATCTCATTGTGGTAGTGATTTGTTTTTGTTTGATTGTTTGTTTGTTTGTTTTTCTTTTTTTGAGACAGGGTCTCCCTCTGTTGCCCAGGCTGGAGTGCAATGGTGCAATCTTGGCACACTGCAACCTCCATCTCCCAGGTTCAAGTGATTCTCCTGCCTCAGCCTCCCAAGTAGCTGAGACTACAGGTGCCAGTCACTATGCCCGGCTAACGTTTGTATTTTATGGTAGAGAAAGGGTTTCACTGTGTTGGTCAGGCTGGTCTTGAACTCCTGGCCTCAAGTGATCCGCCTGCATCAGCCTCCCAAAATGCTGGGATTACAGATGTGAACTACTGTGCCCGGCCTGTGATTTGCATTTTTCTGATGATTAGCGATGATGAGCATTTTTTCGTATCTCAACCAAGTTTAAATAACACCCCATGAGCAATGCAGGGGAGGAGAATTCCAGGCTGAGAGAAGGGCTGCAGTAAACACTCTGAGATGAGAACCTGCTTGAGCAAATGGTTATGTAGGCTGTGCCCTATTCCACTCCAGGGGGTGCCATTCACACCAACCAGAGTGAAAATGGCACCCCGTGGCACTGTGCTAAGCAGCAACCCTGGTGGTAAGAGTGGGATTGGAGAAAAGGGCAGGGACCAGAGCTTTGAAGGAAACAAAATGAGCCTTACATTTGTTCTAAGTGCCATGGAATACTATTGGATGCTCTAAACAGAAAATTGACAAAATCTAACATATGCAAAGTCCCCTGATACAGAAAGACCTTGGCTGAGTTCTCAGAACTAGCAGAAGCAATGTGCCTGGGGCAGGGGAAAAGGGGAGGGCAGGCTGCCATAGCTGATGAATGTTGGTGTTCCTTGTTTGGAGGTCTGTGTCCCCCATTAGACTGTAGACTCTATGAGGGCAGGGAACATGCCATTTTGTTGGCCTCTGCATCCCTACCACGTAGAACTTGGTGGGGAGCTCACCGGCTATTTGGTGAAAGACTGAACAAAATGATCCCCACAGTGCCTGGCATATGAGAGATTCTCATCACTGTTAATATAGAAAGGATGGTGGGGTTAAGTGGTACCCAACACCAGGATCTCACCACACTCAGGCTGACTCACTGCATGCGTGAACGGCAGGGAACTGAGGCCAGAATCAAAGCCAGTTCTCCTCCCCTTTGTGAGAGCCCTATTCCTGCTGGGAAGGAAGGAGGGATCCTGGAGAGCACCTCACCCACGGGCACAGGGTTTTTAAATTGTACAGTGACTGTGCCCTCTAGTAGACATGTTTCTATTGGATAAGTGTCCCTTCTCCTCAGGGAAGGAGGAAGAACAGAGGTTTAAGGAAGAGACTGGAAAGATTGCTCTTTCCAGATGCTGATGGATTTGCTACCAGGATCATCATTATGAATTTTTATGTATTTATTTATTCTTTTGAGATGGAGTCTCGCTCTGTTGCCCAGGCTGGCGTGCAGTGGCACGATCTTGGCTCACTGCAACCTCTGCCTCCTGGGTTCAAGTGATTCTCCTGTCTCAGCCTCCCGAGTAGCTGGGATTACAGGCATGCCCCATCACACCTGGCTAATTTTTGTATTTTTAGTAGGGACAAGGTTTCACCATGTTGGCCAGGCTGGTCTTGAACCCCTAACCTCAGGTGATCTGTCTGCCTCAGCCTCCCAAAGTGCTGGGATTACAGGCATGAGCCATCTTTCCCAGCCCATTTCGAAGATTTTTGCAGGTGGCAAACCCAACAAGAATCCTCTGAGGCACCATCACGATCCTCTCCAGGAAGTCTAGGGGGCCTCTGAATACCTAATACTCACATCCTTTATCCAGTCTTAAAAATAAAGGTGTTGGCTGGGTGTAGTTGCTTACACCCGTAATCCCAGCACCTTGGGAGGCCGAGGCAGGAGGACTGTTTGAAGCCAGGAGTTCGGGCCCACCCTGGGCAACATAGCAAGACTCCATCTCTAGAGAAAAGTTAAAAATTAGCCAGGCATGGTGGCTCATGCTTATAGTCCTAGCTACTTGGGGGACTGAGACAGGACAATCACTTGGGCCCAGGAAGTCTAGGCTGCAGTGAGCTATGATCACGCCACTACACTCCAGCCTGGGTTGACAGAGTGAGACCCTGGCTCTAAAAAATAAATAAATAAATAATAAATAACTAAAGGTGTTCAGAGCTTGGGGACTGTGGCCTAAGCACCACTTCCTATATCAGTTGAAAATTGCTGTGTTAAAAAACCACCCACAAATTGAGGGGCTTGAAAAATCAATGGTTTATTATTCCCCACAAGTCCATGGGTTCCTGGGTGGATATTTGCTAGTCTAACCTGGCTCTGCGAATTATAGTTCGGTGTTAGGTGGAGCAACTGGCTGGAAGAGGATGGCCTCACTCACATGGCTGGTGTTAGCTTGGGCTGTCGACTGGGCTTCCCCTCCGTGGGGGCCCTCTTCCTTCACTAGGTTAGACCTGGCTTCTTAAAGCAAATGGTCTCAGGGCAACAGGAGAGTAAGTGCAGAAGCTGCAGGGCTCCTTGAGGCCCATACCACTTCCCCCACATTCTATTGGTCAAAGCAAGTCACGTGGCCAAGCCCATGTGAGAAGCGGAGAAATCAACTTCACCTCAACGTGAAAGGAGCAGCAAAGTCACATTGCAAAATGGGCGTGCACACAGGGAGGAGTGATCGTGGCCATCTTTGCAATCAGTCAGCACTAAGAAATCTCCCATCGGGTCCTGGCCTTCCAGGTTCCCTTGGTGACCCAGAGTAACCCCTTCTCGTTAGACTCCCTGACCCTCACCTCCGTGCTCATCCCACCAGGTGGCCTGGCTGCTGTGATCTACACGGATGCCCTGCAGACGCTGATCATGCTTATAGGAGCGCTCACCTTGATGGGCTACAGTAAGTGGGGTCCCCGGGTCACTGGGGCGGACAACAGCACCTCTCTCCAGCAGGGATATCTGCTCTCCACACTGTGAACGGCAAACCTAGCTGTCAAAGAGCATACTACTGGGGAATTTTTTGTCACAGGTGCTTTGCTTGAGGCACGGTTATTTTAGCTAGAAGAGAAATGTGCTTATTGTGGAAACTTACTGTTTTTGTTTTTGTTTTTTGTTCTGAGGCAGGATCTTGCTCTGTCAGTCAGGCTGGAGTGCAGTGCTGTGATGATTGCTCACTGCAGCCTTGAGCCCCTGGGCTCAAGTGACTCTCTCACCTCAGCCTCCTGAGTAGCTGGGACTACAGACATAGGCCACTATGTCGAGCTAATTGCTTTTTTATTTTGTTTTTTTTTTTTTTTTTTGTAGAGATAGAGTCTCACTATGTTGCCCAGGCTGATCTCAAACTCCTGGCCTCAAGTGATTCTCCTGCCTCAGCCTCCCCAAGCTGCCCCACCTGGCACTGTTTTTTTTTTTTTCAAGTAAAAATCTCTTTCTATACTAATATGGAAAAATAACTGAATGAATAAATAAAAGAATGTGAAGAGACAGCTTTTCCTTACAGAGGTTTTTGTTGTTGTTTGTTTGTTTCGAGACAGGGTATCACTCTGCCACCCAGGCTGAAGTGCAGTGACACAGTCTTGGCTCACTGCAACCTCTGCCTCCTGGGCTCAAGCAATCCTCCCGCCTCAGCCTCCCAAGTAGCTGGGCCCACAGGTGTGCACCACCATCCCTGGCTAATTTTTTTCATTTTTTTAAATAGATGGGGTTTCGTCATGTTGCCCAGGCTGGTTTCAAACACCTGGGCTCAAGCAATCACCTGCCTCGGCCTCCCAAAGTGCTGAAATTACAAGCGTGAGCCACTGCATCCAGCCCAGAAGCTTTAAACTCTAGCACTAGCCCACACCTAGACTTTAGCATTTCATTTCAAAATATTCGCCCAATTCTTCGTACCAGCTTGTGTGGTGATCCTGTCTTTGTTTTGCTGCCAACGGTCATGTCTCTTTGGAGGCTCCTGTGTTTTCTGAGATCTCAGGCCAGTTGGTTGCTCTATGGCCTCAGCTCTCTGATAGGTTCAGGGGAAGTTATTTTGTTGATTAGCCAACTTCTTATTATTGTTAAGCGGGGGACACTACTCTCCACAGGTTTCTATCTTTTAGAGGTAAGCCACTCATTAAGCCTTAAAGACTACAACAAAGGCCGAGTGTGGTGGCTCACACCTGTAATCCCAGCACTTTGGGAGGCCAAAGCAAGAGGATCGCTTGAGCTCAGGAGTTTGAGACCAGCCTGAGCAACATAGTGAGACTGTCTCTACAAAAAATAAACATAAACTTACCCAGGTTTGGTGGCATGTGCCTGTAGTCCCAGCTACCTGACAGGCTGAGGTGGGAGGATGGCTTGAGCCTGGCAGGTTGAGTCTGCGGTGAGCTGAGATTGTGCCACTGCACTCCGGCCTGGTCTCGCTTTGAGACAGAGTGAGACCCTGTCTCAAAAAAAAAAAAAAAAAAAAAAAAAGGCTATGAAAACTAATATAGAAAACACAGAAAAGCGAAAGGGATCAAAATCCTGAAAGATGGCAGAATATAGTGCTGAAAATTATATATTTTAGGACTCAGAAGAAAATATCAAGAGAGTGCCATGCTTGGAATCCTGAACTCTATGAAACATGTATGAAAGATAGAAGTAGAGGACAAACTGAGGTGAAGGGAGAATAGAAGCGGATAAAAAGGAAAAAGATTACAGAAGATTACAATACATTTTCTAAAATTTTCTAAAAAAATTAGCAGAATTAAACTCCCCACAGGTGGATGTAAAGAGCAGAACAAACGCTAAAGAAAATCAAACCCAGGATGAAAACAAATAGGAGTTCTTTTTTTTTTTTTTTTGAGATGAAGTCTCGCTCTGTCACCCAGGCTGGAGTGCAGTGGCATGATCTTGGCTCACTGCAACCTCCACCTCCCGGGTTCAAGCGATTCTCCTGCCTCAGCCTCCCAAGTAGCTGGGACTACGGACACACGCCACCATGCCCAGCTAATTTTTGTATTTTTAGTAGGGACGGGGTTTCACCATCTTCACCAGGATGGTCTCCATCTCTTGACCTCATCTTCTGCCCGCCTTGGCCTCCCAAAGTGCTGGGATTATAGGCATGAGCCACCACGCCCGGCTGAAAACAAACAGGAGTTCTAATAAAATGCAGAGAAAAGGGATAAATAATAAAATTATAAAAGAAAAGATGACAAATATAGAAGATAGAGAGCAGAGATATACCATTTGAGAAATGTTTATTCTTTTTCTTTCTTTCTGTTTTTGCTTTTTGAGAAATGTTTATTCTTAGAAAAAAGGTCAGAAAAAAATGGAACAAAGTAAATAATTAAAGTAATCACAAAAGAAAACTTTTCTTAGAAGGAGGATGATATATCTAGCTAGGTGTGAAGGGTTTGCTGTGTCTTAGGCAAAATCGATGAACAAGATCTCCAGGTAGAAGAAGCATTATGAAAAAAATGTGAAGTATAAGAATACTTTTTAAATACTAAAGAATACAGACAGAGAGGTGGGAAGATCATTTGAGGCCAGTAGCTTGAAACCAGCCTGGACAACAAAGCAAGACCCCACTCTATGAAAAATGGAAAATTAGCTGGATGTGGTGGTGCACACCTGTGGTCTCAGGTGGGGACTGGAGGATCAGGGAGGTTAAGGAGGTTGAGGCAGGAGGATCACTTGAGTCCAGGTGCTCGAGGCTGCAGTGAGCTATTATTGCACCACTGCACCCCAGCCTGGGTGACAGGGTGAGACTCTGTATATAAGAAAAAAAGAATCCAGACAGAAAAAATGTAGTGAGCTAAAAATAATAAACAAACTGGTCTCATTCCCCTCCTTCATAACAATAAAATGCCAAAAGACAGTGGAGCAAGGGCTACAGATGTGTTTTATGGGAAAAGTTGTATCCTAAGTAAGGATCAGATACCAGCCAAGTTCTCTGTTTGCCAGGGCTGCAGAAATATTCTGAACCATGCAAAGACTTAGTAAAGGGAGGACCTATGTGCCTGTCTTGAAGGTACAAGACAGAAACAAAACAAAATCGAGAGTTGGTATTATGACTAAAGAGAAAATGGTAGTAAATAATGATCCAGTTAAAATCATTACAGATCTGAAAAAATTGTGTGGTCAAGGCAAACGTTACATAAAGAATATAACAATTTAATAAAAATTGGATCTAAAGCCCCCTATTTTACTAACAAAAACTTTAAAATGTTGGGAGAGATAGTATGCTAGATTTCCCATCAAATAGGAAGAAAAACATCATGAAGAAGAAATACTGAACTCCAAGCAGACACTCATATAAATCTCACCCTTTATGTAGGAAATATGTGTGCATATAAGTTTTTTTTTCCTAAAAGAGAATAACAAGAAATCACAACCAAAGGGAAAGAATAAAAGAGAATGCAAAGTAATAGTAAAAATATCAGTTATTACAATACAAGTACATGGAATAAAATTCCCTATTGAAAGACAAGGCTTCTTATAAGCAGTTACAATCTGTGTGGCTGTTTGTTCTGTTTTTCTCTTCCTTAGCTATATATTATTTATTTTCTCAACAAAACTCAAGATTTATATTTTGGGTTAAGAAAATGTAACTTGATATAATTTGCAAGTGGCACATATAAAACAAAGTATAACATAAGGCAAAAAGCGATAAACGGGGGATAAGTAATTTTATATTGAAAATAGAAAATTCATAATAAAGAGATAATCTTTGCTTATTAAATAACATTGCAACAAGATACACAAAGCAGAAGCTGTTATAGGTTGACAGAAACCAAAACAGTACTAAAATAGTTTAACAGAACAAGAACATAATAAGGATTTAGAAGATATAAATTCTACAAATGAATAAGCGTTCTCCTATCATGAATGTATCTTTTTCCAGCATTCATGGAATCACCCGCAAAAATTAATCATTGAAAAAAATTTTTTACAAAAATATGTATAAAAGCGTTGTTCAGATTATATTATCTTACTCATATACACCCCAAAAATTAAACTCATTAGGAAAAGTGTAAATTTTTAAAAAATCTAGTTACTTAGAAATTTAATAGCCATCTTCTAAATAGTGCCTGGGTCACAAAGGAAGTAAAAGCTGCAATTACAGACTATGCAGAGAAAAATGAGAACATTACATTTCATACTTAATACAGTCAAAGCTGTACCTCTATCAAAACATTTATATTCATAAATATGAAAGCCCAATTTAGTGATTTAGAAAAAAGAAGATGACATTATGGGTTACTCCAGTTACTCCAGTATCTATTTCTTTTTTTTTTTTTTTTTTTTTTTTGAGATGGACTCTTGCTCTGTCACCAAGCTAGAGTACAGTGGCACAATCTCAGCTCACTGCAACCTCCACCTCTTGGGTTCAAGTGATTCTCCTGCCTCAGCCTCCCAAGTAGCTGGGACTACAGGCTCGCGCCACCACATCCAGCTTATTTTTGTATTTTTAGTAGAGATGGGGTTTCACCATGTTGGCCAGGCTGGTCTCAAACTCCTGACCTCAGGCGATCTGCCCACTTTGGCCTCCCAAAGTGCTGGGATTACAGGTGTGAGCCACCGTGCCTGTCCTTTTTTTTTTTTTTTTTTTTTTTTTTTTTCTGAGACGGAGTCTGGCTCTGTTGCCCAGGCTGGCATGCAGTGGTGTGATCTTGGCTCACTGCAACCTCCACCTCCCGGGTTCAAGCAATTCTCCTGCCTCAGCCTCCTGAGTAACTGGGACTACAGGCATGCATCACCATGCCTGGTTAATTTTTCTATTTTTAGTAGAGACAGGGTTTCCCCATGTGGGCCAGGCTGGTCTTGAATTCCTGACCTAAGGTGATGCACCCGCGTTGGCCTCCCAAAGTGCTGGGATTACAGGCGTGAGCCACCTGGCCCGGCCCAATATCTATTTCTTTGAAAAGAACCATAAAATGCAGCTGCAAATCAAACCAAGAAAAAAAGAGAAAACAGCATAATTAAGAATGAGAAAAGAAACAAAATATAAGCCATATGCGGTGGCTCATGCCTGTAATCCTAGAACTTTGGGAGGCTGAGGCAGGAGAATTGCTTGAGCCTAGGAGTTCGAGACCAGCCTGGGCAACATAGTGAGATCCATCTCTACAAAAAACTTTAAAAGTCACTGGATGTGGTGGTACATGCCTGTAGTCTTAACTACTCTGGAGGTTGAGGCAGGAGGATAGCTTGAGCCCAGGAGTTCAAGGTTACAGTGAGCTATGATTGTAGCACTACACTCCAGCCTGGGTGACAGAGTGAGACCCTGTCTCTAAGAACAAAACAAAACAACAAAACCTGAAACCATTATTAGACCTACTACAAGGTCTTACAATTTTTTTTTTTTTTTTTTTTTTTTTTTGAGATGGAGTCTCGCTCTGTCACGCAGGCTGGAATGCAGTGGCGCAATCTTGCCTCACTGCAACCTCTACCTCCAGGAGACGTTCTCCTGCCTCAACCTCCTGAGCAGCTGGGATTACAGGCACCCACCACCACGCCTGGCTAATTTTTGTATTTTTAGTAGAGACAGGGTTTCACCATGTGGGCCAGGTTGGTCTCGAACTCCTGACCTCAGGCGATTCGCCCACCTCGGCCTCCCAAAGTGCTAGTATTACAGGTGTGAGCCACTGTGCCTGGCCAGTCTTACAATTTAATGGAGCAAATAAATAAATTACTATGTCACATTTTTAATATTTTGATGGTTCAATATATTTGATTTCTTTGCAATCCTATGTATTTTTGCATTATTTAGAAGTATTCTTCTGAGAAGCAATTGTAGGAGCGAAGGGAAGACTGGAAATCTCACTGGAAAATCAACCCACAAGAGGCAGATTAATAGAAGAAAAGGCATACAAATTTATTAGCACACACAGGGGAGAATTACAGAGGGATTTCTCAATATCCTAATGTCATACAGATGTTTCTATACCGCACTTCTTAAGGAAAAAGGAGATGGACAAGTGTAGATGATTTTAGGGAGGTAGTAAATTATTTTTGGGAGAATTCAATGGGCTTAAATAACATACAATGGCATGGGACAATGGCCAGGAGTATCACTTGAGGTCAGGAGTTCGAGACCAGCCTGGCCAACGTGGTGAAACCCCATCTCTACTAAAAGTACAAAAATTGGCCAGGCATGGTGGCACATGCCTGTAATCCCAGCTACTCAGGAGGCTGAAGCAGGAGAATCGTTTGAACCTGGGAGGCGGAGGTGGCAGTGAGCCAAGATCATGCTACTACACTCCAGCCTTGGTGACAGAGCAAGACTTCATATCAAAAAAAAAAAAAAAAAAAAAAAAAAAAAAAAGAAGGAAGGAAGGAAAGAAAGGAAGGAAGAAAGAAAGAAAGAAAAAAGAAACTTGGATAGATACATTCATTACTTTGTGACGGAGGTTTCATGGGTGAATACTTATGTCAAACACCAAATTTTACATTTTACATATTTGTAATTTATGGTTAGGTCAATTATAGTCCAATAAAACTCTAATATTAATTTTTTTAAGTTAAAAAAATGTGGGGAGGAGGTTAAGAACCCTTAAGGGGATTAACATTTTTGGTGGCTCTGGTCCTACTAGAATTTCACCAGTCTCCAGCCATCTCCTCATCACTTGCCATGGACCAATCTGAGTTCCCGGAAAATAGGCTTCCTCTGAATTCTAGGTTTCGCCGCGGTTGGTGGGATGGAAGGACTGAAGGAGAAGTACTTCTTGGCCCTGGCTAGCAACCGGAGTGAGAACAGCAGCTGCGGGCTGCCCCGGGAAGATGCCTTCCATATTTTCCGAGATCCGCTGACATCTGATCTCCCGTGGCCGGGGGTCCTATTTGGAATGTCCATCCCATCCCTCTGGTACTGGTGCACGGATCAGGTACAGGACAGTGGCCTGAGCAAGTTTTTCCTTCTCTTTGCTTCTTTCCTTAGGGTGGCTGAAGTCGGTGCTTTTTTCTTCCTCCATCTCTTCTCTCATTTGCGTTTTCCCTGCTTCCTTGACTACTTCCTCCTTTCCATTGCTCTACATGCTATTTTATTTCTTCCTCTGTGAATGGGAATGACAAATCCAAAGCTGCTGATATTTGCAAAGGGGAAAACTCAACACACTCTGCCTTTTTTTTTTTTTTTTTTTTCTGAGACAGGGTCTCACTCTATCACCCAGGCTGGAAGGCAGAGGCACGATCATAGCTCACAGCAGCCTTCATCTCCTGGGCTCAAGAGATCCTCCCATGTCAGCCTCCTGAGTAGCTGGGACTACAGGCACATGCCACCATGCCCAGCTATTTATTATTATTATTATTTTTTAGTAGAGATGCAGGTCTCACTACACTGACCAGGCTGCTCTCAGGCTCCTGAGTTCAAGTGATCCTCCCGCCTCAGCCTCCCAAAGTGCTGGGATTATAGGTGTGATCCACTGCAGCTGGCCTAATACACTTTGCTTAATGTATGAGAATATCCAGTAAGCAAAGGAGATGATACCTTTTAAATGGGGGTAAAACTCCTATTGGACATCATTTGTTCAACAAATACACACTGGGTGTCCTCTACGTACCAGGCACTCTTCTGGGCACTTAAAATCAGGAGCTAATAAATCAAACAAAGCTCTCTGCCCTTGTGGAGCTTCCCTTCTTCTAATGGGAGTAGACGGAGATAATAAGTAAATTATGTGAGATGTTAAAGTTTGATAAATATCATTTTAAAAAGTAGAGTGAGGTCAAGGAGATTGAGAGTGTGGGAGTGCAATTTAAAATGGGGTGACAGGTGGCTCACACACTTTAGGATGCTGAGGCAGGAGGCTCACTTGAGCCCAGGAGTTTGAGACCAACCTGGGCAACATAGTGAGACCATCTCTAAAAAAAAAAAAAAAAAAAAAGTAAAAATTAGCCAGGCACGGTGGTGTGCAGCTGGAGTCCCAGCTACTTGGGAGGCTGAGGTGGGAGGATTGCTGGAACCCAGGAGGTCAAAGCTGCAGTGAGTTGAGATTGCACCACTGCACTTCAGCCTGGGCAACAGGCTTGAGACAGTAAGATCCTGTCTCAAATAATGTAGGGTGCTGAGGGGAGGTATCATTCAGAAGTGACCTTTGACCAAAGACTTTGTAGAAGAGCGAGAGCTTCCTGTGATTTTTGGAGGAAGAGTTTGCAGCAGAAGGAACACCCAGAGCGAGGCAGATACATAACTGGTGTGAAAAAAGAAAGGAAAAAAATCAGAAAGCAGATCCATGTGTACAAGAAGTCCTTTTGTGTTAAAAAAAAAAAAAAAGGAGAATAGAATCAATATTTGCATTTGCTTATATGTCCATAAACTCTGGATGGATGTATACAAAACTAAGAAGAGTGGATACCTGTGGGCAGGGAGGCAGGGCGGGTGGGAAGGATGAATGAGAGCCGATTTACTGCATGTTATATTTTCTCGGGTTTTAAACTGAGTGAATATATCACGTGTTCAAATATTATTTTTCTGGTACATGAAACATCAGAGATCAATGTACCACTTGGGGAGTTATACTGCATAGTGAGGGCTGATGACAGTTTAATTAAAGCAATAATCATGGCATTGGACATTGATTTGATGCAGGAGACTTCAGAGAATGAAACCCAGGTCTCATCCATAGGCCAGCCCTCCTTTGAGCGGAGAGCTAAGGACCAAGGCAGTGATGAGAGCAATGCACATGTACTGCCCCATTAAGAGAGAGACCCCCTTCTCCTCCTTAGCACATCTCAGGTAGGAGAGACCTTGAGAAACAGGACTGATCCGGGCTAACATCATGGGCTTTAAATTTAACAGACCTGGCTGGGTGCGGTGGCTCATGCCTGTAATCCCAACACTTTGAGAGGTCAAGGCGGGTGGATCACCTGAAGTCAGGAGTTTGAGACCAGCCTGGCCAACATGGCAAAACCCTGTCTCTACTAAAAATACAAAAAAAAAAAAAAAAAAAAAAAAAGCCAGGTGTGGTGGCAGGCACCTGTAATCCCAGCTACTCAGGAGGCTGAGGCAAGAGAATCACTTGAACCCGGGAGGTGGAGTTTGCAGTGAGCCGAGATCATGCCATTGCACTCCAGCCTGGGCAGCAAAGTGAGACTCCATCTCAAAAAATTAATTAATTAATTAATTAATTATGCCGGGCACAGTGACTCATGCCTGTAATTCCAGCCTGGGCAACAGCAACACTCTGTCTCAAAAACAAACAAAACGAAACAAAAAAAGACAGTTGACCCATTCTGCCACCAGGAAAAAGCCGTTTGTAAAAACCAGCCAGAGACAATTTCACCTGCCCAGGTATTCCCCCAAGACCATCTTCCTCCTTCCTTTATTGAACCAATGTTTACTGTTTTCAGGTTTCTGAACTTCTTTTTTATTATTTTTATTATTTATTATTATTTTTAGTTTTGAGACAGAGTCTCGCTCTGTTGCCCAGGCTGGAGTAAAGTAGTGCAATCTCGGCTCACTGCAACCTCTGCCTCCTGGGTTCCGGCAATTCTCATGCCTCAGCCTCCTGAGTAGCTGGGACTATAGGCGTGCACCACTATGCCCAGCTAATTTTTGGTATTTTTTGTAGAGATAGGGTTTCGCTATGTTGGCCAGGCTAGTCTTGAACTCCTGACCTCAAGTGATCCACCCACCTCGGCCTCCCAAACTGCTGGGATTACAGGCGTGAGCCACTGCACCCAGCCAGATTTCTGAACTTCTGACCTACAGCTCTCTGATCCAGTTTCCACTATCTAATCCTACTCTCATCTATTTCTATTTCGTTGACCTGTTGGAACTTCTTTCTCTGGTTTCATCTAACAATAGCAGTGATGATGACAATGCCAATAATCACAACTGCTCTCTTTGCTAAAGAGCTGCTAGACACCTGAAAAGCAAGCACAGTTATCATCCCCATTTTACAGATGAGAGAGCTGAGCCTGGAAAGGTTAAGGAACTCATCCAAACTCACAAAGAGCTGGTGGGGGGATTCACACCTAAGTCCGTCTGCACTTTAAATCGCTCCATTGACTCATTGCACCACACCTATTGGATGCTCTCAATTCTGGGAACCCACCCCCAGCTGCATTTCTGTGCAGATGCCTGCTCCCTGGTCACCATGCTCCACCATGACAGCTCTCCCTCCTCCTTTCCCACCCCAAGGAAGGGAAAATTTATACATGATTAATGTGGAAAAAGCAAGGAAAGATAAGGTGGCTAGATGACAGATGCCATAACAGATGGCTGACATAGCTAATCATGGCCCCTCCTCCCCACATATTCAGGTTGCATTTTCATTCCTCTTAGCTCACTTTTTCCCCTGCAACTGAGATGTTTCTTACTAAGAACCACTTGGCTGGGCACAGTGGTTCACGCCTGTAATCCCAGCACTTTGGGAGGCTGAGGCGGGCGGATCACGAGGTCAGGAGATCAAGACCATCCTGGCTAACACAGTGAAACCCCGTCTCTACTAAAAATACAAAAAATTAATTGGGCATGGTGGTGGGCACCTGTAGTCCCAGCTACTTGGAAGGCTGAGGCAAGAGAATAGCTGAACCCGGGAGGCGGAGCTTGCAGTGAACCCGGATCGCGCCACTGCACTCCAGCCTGGGTGACAGAGCGAGACTCCGTCCCAAAAAACAAACAAACAAACAAACAAAAAGGAACCACTTGGCTGGGCACAGTGGCTCACACCTGTAATCCCCGCACTTTGGGAGGCTGTGAGAAGACGATTGCTTGAGCCCAGGGATTTGAAACCAGTGGGTAACATAGCGAGACCTCATCTCTACAAAAAAATTTAAAAAATATTAATAGCTGGGTGTGGTGGTGTATGCCTGTGGTCCCAGCTACTTGGGATGCTGAGGTGGGAGGATCACTTTAGCTCTGGAGTTCAAGGCTGCAGTCAGCCATGATTGCACCACTGCACTCCAATCTGGGTGATAGAGTGAGATCCTGCCTCAGAAAAAAAGAAAGAAAGAAAAAAAAAAGAACCATCCGACTACTCTCCCTTTTAGGATCTGATGGTTACAGAAAACAGACCCGGCTGGGTGTGGCAGCTCATGCCTGTAATCCCGGCAAGTTAGGAGGCTGAGGTGGGTGGATCACTTAAGGTCAGGAGTTTGAGACCAGCCTGGCCAACATGGTGAAACCCCATCTCTACTAAAAATACAAAAATTAGCCGGGCATGGTGGCAGGATCCTGTAATCCCAGCTACTTGGGAGGCTGAGGCAGGAGAATTGCTTGAACCCAGGAGGTGGAGGCTGCAGTGAGCAGAGATCCCAGCACTGTACTCCAACCTGGATGACAAAGCAAGACTCCATCTCAAAAAAGAAAGGAAAAGAAAAGAAAAAAAAGTAGGAAAGGAGAGGAGAGGAAAGAAGAAAGGAGAGGACAGGAGAGGGGAGGGGAAGGGAGGGAAGGGAAAAGGAGGGGAGGGGAGGGGAAGGTGGGGGAGGGAAGGGACCCCTCAGTTGGACAGCCAGCTTGTGACCGGAGCTTTTTTGAATTCTGACCGGCTGAATGTGCTGTGTCCAGTGGGCATGAGTACCTGTCCTTGAAACGTGTCCACCAAGCCCGGTTTGTGTCACTGCTAATGCAGTTAGGTCATTAACAAAAACTGCATATTTCACACTGTCCTTGAGCACATTGATGCCTTCGGGCAACTGTCTCTGACAAGGTACAGTCCCATGGACTCTGCAGATGAAATACCGCCCAAGGTGACATCTCTCTCCCCATCAAAATGTGCTGTGAAATCTAAATTATTGGGGCTGTGGTATGGGGTTTGCAGCAAGTCTTAACCTCACTACACTCTTCTCATTAAGGGTTCTTTGATGATTTAGTGAGGACTCATTTAGTTGTTTATGTGGAAAAAATTGTTTAAGGATAAAAAGGCTCTTTTTTTTTTTTTTCTGGGCGTGGTGGCTCACGCCTATAATCACAGCACTTTGGGAGGCTGAGGCAGGAGGGTTGTTTGACATCAGGAGTTGGAGACCAGCCTGGGCAACATAGTGAGAGTCTGTCTCTACAAAAAATAAAATTAAACATAAAATGTAGCCAAGTGTGGTGACATTGCTACTTAGGAGGCTGAGGCAGGAGAATTGTTTGAGGCCAGGGGTTCAAGACCAGCCTCCTCAATATAGCAATATAGCAAGACCCCATCTCTAAATAAAAATTTTAAAAATTAGCTTGACATGGTTGTTCATGCCTGTTGTCTCAGCTACTTGAAAGACTGAGGCAGGAGGATCATTTGAGCCCAGGACTTTGGGGCTACAGTGAGCTGTGATCACATCATTGCATTTCAGCCTGGGCAACAGAGTGAGACCCCATCTCTTAAAAAAAAAAGGCATTTTAAAAAATTTACATGATGGGGAGTCCAGAGGTGGCTAATGGCAATGGAAGCAACTAATATTTATGAAGCAGTTACTATGTGTCATATTCTAAGTATTCTAAGTACTTTCACTTCTCTAATTGTCAAAACTGGGCTGGTACTATGCTCATTTCATAGATGAGGAATCAGAGGCCAAGAGAGGTGAAGTTGCTTGCCCAAGGTCAGATAGGCGGGAAGTGGGGAGGTAGTATTTGAACCCAGACTGCCTGTCTCTGATACTACATCATCACACATTGCCTTTCTCTCCATTTCCTGGTTTTCTTTCCTCTGTGATGACTTAGTTTCAAAGAGGCCTTCCCATATCATGGCAGAGATGCAGCCAGCAGCTCTACACTACCTTCACAGTTAGGAATTGCGAAGGAGGCACCAGGAGTTAGACAACCTCCTTCCTTTTTTTTTTTTTTTTTTTTTTTTTTTTGAGACAGAGTCTCACTCTATCGCCCAGGCTGAAGTGCAGTGGTGCGATCTTGGCTCACTGCACCCTCCACCTCCCGGGTTCAAGTGATTCTCCTGTCTCAGCCTCCCAAGTAGCTGGGATTACAAGTGTGCGCCAATGCACCCAGCTAATTTTTGTATTTTTTTATAGAGATAGAGTTTCACCATGTTGGCCAGGCTGGTCTTGAACTCCTGGGCCCAAGCAATCCTCCTGCTTTGGCCTCCCAAAGTGCTGGGATTACAAGCGTGAGCCATTGCACCCAGCCTCCTTTGCCTTTTTAAGGAAGAAGTTCCATGGAGAGCTGTGGTTGGATTGCCTTGGGGACATGCTTTTCCTTCATGGATCATAGTAGCCAGAGAGGTGAAATAATTCTGTGGAGGACTCTAATTGGCAAGGCGTAACCCCTGGATAAAAGAGTAAGGAGGGAATGGGGTGGGTGTCTAAACTACCTGAATTAGACCACAGGGACTGAGCATAGGAAAGAGATGTTTCTTCAAACAGAAGCTTGGCAAACCAAGATCCTAAGTCTCCTACAACTACCAAGAGGCTACACACCCCGTTTGCCTTAAGAGAAAGCCTTCTAATACAGTCTGTTCTCACACTGCTGATAAAGACATACTGAGACTGAGTAATTTATAAAGAGGTTGAATGGACTCACAGTTCCACATGGCTGGGGAGGCCTCACAATCATGGCAGAAGGCAAAGAGGAGCAAGTCACGTCTTACATGGATGGCAGCAGGCAAAGAGAGAATGAGAGCCAAGTGAAAGGGGTTTCCCCTTATAAAACCATCAGATCTCATGAGACATATTCACTACCATGAGAACAGTATGGAGGAAACTGCCCCCATGATTCAGTTATCTCCCACTGACTCCCTCCCACAACATGTGGGAATTATGGGAGCTACAATTCAAGATGAGATTTGGGTGGGGACACAACCAAACTATATCAGCATTCCCAGTTTCCAACCCCCTTGATCTTTTCCAGGTGATTGTCCAGCGGACTCTGGCTGCCAAGAACCTGTCCCATGCCAAAGGAGGTGCTCTGATGGCTGCATACCTGAAGGTGCTGCCCCTCTTCATAATGGTGTTCCCTGGGATGGTCAGCCGCATCCTCTTCCCAGGTGAGAACACAGCTGGGGGAAGAGGTCATTGGTATGTGAGTCTCAGACCATGTGAATTATTCTAAACATATTATTAGAAGCCTCAAGAGAATGTGACTACAGTCCTTTCTCTCTTTTTCTAAGACAGAGTCTCATTCTGTCATTCAGGTTGGAGTGCAGTGGTATGGTCATAGCTCACTGTAACCTTGAACTACTGGGCTTGAGCAATCCTCCCACCTCAGCCTCCTGAGTAGCTGGGGCTACAGGTATGCACCATGATGCCTGGCTAATTTTTTGAAAAAATAGAGATGCTGTCTTGCTATGTTGCTCAGGCTGGTCTTGAACTCCTGGCCTCAAGCTATCCTCCTGCCTTGGCCTCTCAAAGTGCTGAGATTGCAGGTGTGAGCCAACATGCCCAGTCCTTTTTTTTTTTTTGCATTTTTTTTTTGAGACGGAGTCTTGCACTGTCGCCCAGGCTGGAGTGCAGTGGCACGATCTTGGCTCACTGCAAGCTCTGCCTCCTGGGTTCACGCCATTCTCCTGCCTCAGCCTCCTGAGTAGCTGGGACTACAGGTGCCCGTCACCATGCCCAGCTAATTTTTTGCACTTTTAGTAGAGACAGGGTTTCACCATGTTAGCCAGGATGGTCTCGATCTCCTGACCTCGTGATCCACCCACCTTGGCCTCCCAAAGTGCTGGGATTACAGGCGTAAGCCACCATGCCTGGCCTTTTTTGCATTTTTTTAAAGACAGGGTCTCACTTTGTCACCTAGGCTGGAGTACAGTGACATGATCATAGCTCACTGCAGCCTCAGACTTCTGGGCTGAAGGGATCCTTTCGCCTCAGCCTCCCAAGTAGCTGAGACTACAGGCATGCACTACCACACCTGGCTATTTTTCAAAAGTTTTTGTAAAGACAGGGTCTCACTATGTTACCCAGGCTGATCTCAAACTCCAGGCCTCAAGCGATCCTCCTGCCTTGACCTCCCTAAATTCTGGGATTACAGGCATGAGCCACCATGCCTGGCCATAGAGTCCTTTCCTAGTGATGAGACTGAGGCATCTCTGTCTAGGCATCTAGTGACTCTATGCTGTTTCTCAACATTGGTTCAATGGGCAAGTCCTATAGGTATCCCAGGCCAAATTGAGTGGAGACTCAACTGGGATCTTGCCTCAACTATATTTTTTTGAAACCAACTAGGCTAAGGTCTTGTGGTTCCAGAGCAGTTCTCTGAAGTCTCATGTGAAAGTTTGTCCCTTACTTTAGTGTTTGAGCTCAGTGGTTGGGTTGGGTAACTTTGGCCCAGTGAAATCCTTTTTGGATTTTTTTTTTTTTGACAGAGTCTCACTCTGTTGCCAGGCTGGAGTGCAGTGGCACAATCTCAGCTCACTGCAACCTCTGCCTCTTGGGTTCAAGTGATTCTCATGCCTCAGCCTCCCAAGTAGCTGGGACTACAGGCATGCACCACCATGCCCGGCTAATTTTTGTATTTTTAGCAGAGATGGGGTTTCACCATGTTGGCCAGGATGGTCTCGATCTCTTGACCTTGTGATCCTCCCACCTTGGCCTCCCAAAGTGTTGGGATTACAGGCGTGAGCCACCACAGCTGGCCTGCGGTACTTTTTCTTTTTTTTAGGTGGGTCTCACTCTGTCACCCAGGCTGGAGTGCAGTGGCATGATTATAGCTCACTGCAGCCTGGAGCTCTCAGGCTCAAGCAATTCTCCCACCTCAGTCTCCTTAGTAGCTGGACTACGGGTGCCCACCACCATGCCCAGCTGATTTTTATAATTTTTGTAGCTATGGGGGTCTCACTGTGTTGCCCAGGCTAGTCTTGAACTCCTGGGCTCAAGCAGTCCACCCACTTCAGCCTCCCAAAGTGCTGGGATTACGGTGTGAGCCATTGTGCCCAGCTGGGTGTACTTTTCTTAACAAATCTCATGGGATATCGAGGCCTCTAGAGCATTTGCTTTAGTTTTTTTCTTAATGTGGTAAGGGAATAGGTTTATACCATGGGGATAAATGATACCGAGGAGGGGCAATGTCACCAGAAGACACTGTGGTGTCAGAAACTGGTGATCTATACAGAAGAAAGCTCCTCTCTTTTCCCCTGAAACAGTGAGCTTTCCAGTGTACTCACCAAGGATGTTATTAACTAAAGGGGATGGAAAGCAGAAAGTTTCCTCCCCTGTGCCTTATCCTACATAATGTTACACAGAAGCTAAGAAAGGGTAGGATGAAGTGGTTTGTAGTTGGCTCAGAAGCTTAGTCAAAATAATTTAGGACCCTTAAGAAGCAGGAGAAAAGAGATGGGGAAGGCAAATGGGGGCACTGTCCATGGTGCTAGACCTTGAACCCTTGTGTTCCTCCAGCCCTGGTGGGATGAGGAACCCACAAATAGTCCCTAGTCCTGCTTCCAGGAAAGGGCAAAAGCCTTGGGAAGATCCAGAGGGAGTTAAGAACTGGGATCTGGGTTTTGCAGTGATTTGGAAAATATACAGCTGTTCAGCAAGTCTTGACATAGGAACACAGAAATAGCTTCAGGCCAGGTGCAGTGGCTCACGCCTGTAATCCCAGCACTTTGGCAGGCTGAGGCAGGAGGATCTCTTGAGGCCAAGAGTTCAAGACCATCGTGGGTAACGATACCAGACCCGCTCTCTACCAAAAACAATTTTTAAAAATTAGCCAGGTGTGGTGGTGCTCACCTGTGGTTCCAGCTACTTGGGAAACTGAGGCAGGAGAATTGCTTGAGCCCAGGAGGTTGAGGCTGCAGTGAGCTATTATTACACCACTGCATTCTAGCCTGGACAACATAGCAAGACCCTATCTCTAAAAAAAAAAAAAAAAAAAAAGGAAAGAATATGGCTTCAAACAACCACATTCATTGTGCACTTGCTAAGGGTCAGTCCCTATGAAAAGAGCTTCAGAGTGGAGTGTGGATATGAATATGGATTCTGATCTGGAAGGCCCAGGCCTGAATTTGCTCTGCCGCTTATGAGGTGTTTGAACTTGCATAAGCCATTTAATGTCTCTTTGCTTCGTTTCCTCACTTGTAAAATGGGGGTAATATTTTACAAGGCTTAAAGCAGCTCCTGGCACACAGTAAGCTCTATCCAAGTGTTTACTATTATTATTTTATACATGTATTACCTCATTTCATCCTCAAAACAACCTTATATGGTAGGTACTATTATACTTTTCATCTTACAGATGAGGAAATTGAAGCTTAGAGAAATTATTCATTTGGCCAGGAGCAATGGCTCACACCTATAATCCCAGAAATTTGGGAGGCCAAGGCAGGCAGATCGCTCGAGCTCAGCAGTTTGAGACCAGCCTGGGCAACGTGATGAAACCTCGTATCTACAAAAAATACAAAAATTAGCCAGGCATGGTGGCATGTGCTTATAGTCCCAGCTACTTGGGAGGCTGAGGTGGGAGGATCGCTTGAGCCTGGGAGGTTGAGGCTGCAGTGAGCCATGATCAGTGCACTCCAGCCTGGGTGACAAAGTGAGACCTTGTTTAAAAAAAATCATTCATTCACTCATTTATTTATTCTTCCATGAATTCAACAAATATTTTGAGAGCCAATTATCTTCCAAGCGTTATTCTAGAACACTCTGGGGGCCCATAAGTGAACAAGACTACAGGATCCTTGCTGTAGAGGGACTTACATCCTAGTGGTGGAGGACAAAGACAGAAATAAGTAAATAAATAAGGCCAGGTGCAGTGGCTCACGCCTGTAATCCCAGCTCTTTGGGAGGCCAAGGCAGGAAGATCGCTTGAGCCCAGGAGTTTGAGACCAGCCTGGGCAACATGGCAAGATCCCATCTCTGGAAAAAAAAATACACACACACACACACACACACACACGCACACACACACACACACACACACATATATAGTAGTCCCAGCTACTCAGGAGGCTGAAGTGGGAGAATCACTTGAGCCTGGGAGGTCGAGGCTGCAGTGAGCTGTGTTCGAGCCACTGCATTCCAGACTGGGTGACAAAGTGAGACTGTGTCTCAGAAAAGAGTAAAAACATAAATAATTTTTGACTGTGCTAAATGCCAGGAGGAGGATGCACAAGGAGATATCAAAAAGAATGTCAGATCAGAGCTACTTCTGACAAGGTTTCCCGGGAAGTCCTTTCTGAGGAGGCAACAGTTGACCCATGCAATGGTTTGAAAGTACATCATAGAGCCAATCAGATTAATAATGGATTGAATGTAAAGGTTAAGGGGGAAAAAAAAAAGGAATCCAGGATCACTCCTAAGCTAAGTGACTTTCTGGGAGTTACTGAGCTAGTGCCAGATGAGCCAGGATTTGAATCCAGATGTAGCTGATTCTAAAACTTGACTCTTGTTTATGCAAATTATGCCTGAAGACCTGGGTTGATATATGGAAGATCAATAACAAGACCTTGACCATCTGTCTTAACAACCAATCAGCCAATCAAGTCTTTTTTTTTTTTTTTTTTGAGACGGTGTTTTGCTCATGTTGCCCAGGCTGGAGTGCAATGGTGCGATCTCCACTCACTGCAACCTCTGCCTCCTGGGTTGAAGCGATTCTCCTGCCTCAGCCTCCTGGGATTACAGGCATGCGCCACCAACCCCGGTTAATTTCATATTTTTAGTAGAGATGGGGTTTCTCCGTGTTGGTCAGGCTGGTCTCAAACTCTTGACCTCAGGTGATCTGCCCATCTCGGCCTCCCAAAGTGTCGGAATTACAGGCGTGGGCCACCGTGTCCAGCCAACAGTCATTATTAAATGAGACATAACACCATGTTCCATGAACCTAGGACTTTGTAATGTAGCAGATGAGTCTCATACTCATGGAAAAATAACATAAACTATATATTGAAATACTCTATCATATGATACAAGCAAGAGGTGCAAAATAAATTTTAGAGAGTAAGGTGAATTAGAGAGAGTGAAGTGGGCATTGTGTATTTGAAGTCTCTCTCCCTTCTCTGGAGGCCCAGACCAGTGCTTTTCAGAGTGTGGTCCCCAGCCCAGCAGTGGCTCCTGGGAACTTGTTAGAAGTGCAAACTTTCAGTCCCGATTCAAAACCTTCTGAATCAGAATCCCTGGAGGGACATCTGTTTTTTTTTTTTCTCTTATTATTTTTAACTAATTATTTTAATACAAATTGTACATACTTATAAGGTGCAGTGTGATATTTTGATACATTATACAATGTGTAATGACCACATCAGTGTAATTAGCTTATCTATCACCTCAAATATTTATCATTTCTTTGTGTTGGGGGCAATCAAAATCCACTCTCGACTATTTGAAAATGTACAATAAATTGTTGTGAATTATAGTCACCCTATAGTGCTATAGAACACTACACATTATTCCTCCTGTCTAGCTGTACTTTTCTATCCATTTACCAACCTTTGGCTACCCTCCTCCCCACTACCCTTCCCAGCCTCTAGAAACCACTATCCTACTGTCTACTTCCATGAGCTCAACTTTTCAAGCTTCCACATATGAGTGAGAGTATGCAGTATTTATCTTTCTGTGCCTGGCTTATTTCACTTAACATAATATTCTCCAAGTTCATCCACGTTGCCATGAATGAATATGAAAAAGAATTTCATTCTTTTTTATGGCTAAATAGTAGTCCACTCTGTATGTATATGTACCACATTTTCTTTACCCATTCATCTGTTGACAGACACTGAGGTTGATTCCATATGTTGGCTATTGTGAAGAGTGTTGCAATAAATGGGGTGCAGGTATCCATTTGCTATATTGATTCCAATTGCTTTGGATATGTATTAATCCATTTTCACACTGCTATGAAGATATTACCTGAGACTGGGTAATTTATAAAGGAAAGAGGTTTAATTGATTCACAGTTCCACATGGTTGGAGAGGCCTCAGGAAACTTACAGTCATGGTGGAAGGCGAAGGGGAAGCAAGGACCTTCTTCACATGGTGGCAGGAGAGAGAAGTCCAAGCTCAGAAAATGCCAGACGTTTATAAAACCATCAGATCTCATGAGAACTCACTCACTATCATGAGTACACAAGGGGGAACCACCCCCATGATCCGATCACCTCCCTCCCTCGACATGGGGGGATTACAGTTCCCTCCCTTGACATGTGGAGATTACAATTGGAGATGAGATTTGGGTGGGGACACAGAGCCAAGCCATATCAGGATATATGCCCAGTAGCAAAATTGCTGGATCATATGGTAGTTCTATTTTCAGTTTTTTGAGGAACCTCCATAGTTTTCCATACTAGCTGTAGTAATTTACATCTCCACCAACAATGTATAAGAGTTTCCCCTTCTTCACATCTTCACCAGCATTTATTATGTTTTGTCTTTTTGATGATCCCCATTCTAACTAGGGTGAGATGATATCTCATGAGGTTTTGATTTGCATTTCCTTGATGATTAGTGATGTTAAGCATTTTTTCCTGTCTGTGCCAGCCACCTATTTTTTTAACAAGTCCACTAGAAGGTTGAGAACCCCAGGTCTAAAGGGCCAGTTTCAGGGCCAAGCACTCTGCCTCCCTATTTGCACTTCTCTCTCCACCACGGCTCCACTGGCTCCCTCCTAAATCTTCAACGGAGTCCACAGCTGCCTAAAAGTATTTTCTGATCCTGAGTTCTTGTGAGCCTGGAAAAAAACCCTCTTCTGCTAAGTCCATCTGAGAAATGGCACATATTTTTATTTTTTCATTAAACTTTAAGTTCTGGGATACATGTGCAGAACGTGCAGCTTTGTTACATAGGTATACATGTGCCATGGTGGTTTGCTGCACCAATCAACCTGTCATCTAGGTTTTAAGCTCCACGTGCATTAGGTATTTGTCCTAATGCTCTCCCTCCCCTTGCCCTCCACCCCCCGACAGGCCCCAGTGTGTGATGTTCCCCTCCTTGTGTCCATGTGTTCTTATTGTTCAACTCCCACTTATGAGTGAGAACATGTGGTGTTTGGTTTTCTGTTCCTGTGTTAGTTTGCTGGGAATGATGGTTTCCAGCTTCATCCATGAGAAATGGCACATATTTTTAAATAAACTATATGGAAATTAAGAGAGAAGCAAAACAACCCTCAAAACACAATCCCAGCACTTTGGGAAGCCAAGGCGGGAGGAACACTTGAGGCCAGGAGGTCAAGACCAGCCTGGGCAACATGATGGAACCCCGTCTCTACTAAAAATACAAAAAAAAAAAAAAAAAAAAAAAAAAACCTGGGTGTGGTGGCACGCCTATAATACCAGCTACAGGCTAGGAGGCTTAGGCAGGAGAATCGCTTGAACCTGGAAGAGGAAGTTGCAGTGAGCCGAGATTGTGCCACGCACTCCAGTCTGGGCGACAGAGTGAGACTCCATCTCAAGAAAAAATAAAAATAAAAATAAAAAAATTAATTAAAGAAAAAGAAATTAGCTGGGTGTGATGGTACATGCCTGTAATTCCAGCTACTTGGGAGGCTGGAGCCTGTGAGGCTAGGGTTGCAGTGAGCCAAGATGGCACCACTGAACTCCAGCCTGGGCGACAGAGCAAGACCCCATCTCAAAAACACGCGCGCGCGCGCACACACACACACACACACACACACACACACACACACACACACAGAGTTTAGAAATGCAGTATTTACAGAGCCAATCTTCTCTACCTGAGCTTTGAAATAAACTAAGGGTTTGCCTCCTGGCCATAATACTTACTAGCAATATAATCTGGAGAAACTAACCTCTGGGCCTCAGTTTATCTGTCTTTGAAATAGGGATAATAACAGTATCTTCCCCCATAGAGTTGTGAAAATTAAATGAGGTGTATGTACAAAGCTTACTGCAGCTCCTGAGTCATAGTAAACCTTCAGTTAATGTTGGGTTTGTGGAAGAAGAAGGTTTTGTGCTATGTTTGGATTTAACTGGGCTAGAGGCATCTTATTTCAGGCATCAGAGGGTGTGAAGCATTCTGACAAGAGAATCTACGTATAGGAAATGATTCATTAACCAGGACAGGTGAGCAGATGTTACTGAACAGTGAGTTAATGATCATGGACGGATCACTTGAGGTCAGGAGTTCGAGACCAGCCTGGCCAACATGGCAAAACCCCATCTCTACTAAAAATACAAAAATTAGCCGGGCATGGTGGTGGGTGCCTGTAATCCCAGCTTCTCGGGAGGCTGAGGCAGGAGAATCACTTGAACCTGGGAAGCAGAGGTTGCAGTGAGCTGAGATCGTGCCACTGCCCTCCAGCCTGGGCGACAGAGCAAGAGGCTCCGTCTCAAAAAAAAAAAAAAAAAAGACATTATTGTAAGATTGGCCACTAGGTGTCCCAGCTTCATCTGGGTTACGATAACAATAGCTGAATTTTTTCCAGCACTTCCTATAAAGTCGTGTTATTATCCTAGTTTTACAAATAGGGCAACTCGTCTCAGAAAGCGTAAGTAACAAGGTCACAGCTTATAAAGTCTAGACTCTTTTTTATTTCATTGAGCTATAAACTTCCATATGATAAGCCTGTGTCCGGCCCCATGTTGCCTGGGCCTGGGGCTCTGGGGGCCTGACTGCTCACCTCTGGGCCTGTGTTTCCTTCGTAGATCAAGTGGCCTGTGCAGATCCAGAGATCTGCCAGAAGATCTGCAGCAACCCCTCAGGCTGTTCGGACATCGCGTATCCCAAACTCGTGCTGGAACTCCTGCCCACAGGTAATGTCCCTTCACTCCTGAATCAAGTCCCCTGGAGCACCCAGAAAGGAGATCACCGGATGGGCTCTGATCCAAGGCAGGGTCAAGAAAGGAGGGCTGGTGGGGGAGGAAGACTCTGGGCTCCCCAAGAAAGGCTACGTCCTGCAGGAAGCTCTGCCCCGCCGTCCTCCCTGAGGTTCTGCCTCCTCCAGTTGAGCCCACTGGGATCGGCTGCTTTGGCAGAAAAGGACCGAGGCCCATGACCTCCCTTCCGCCCCCAGGGCTCCGTGGGCTGATGATGGCTGTGATGGTGGCGGCTCTCATGTCCTCCCTCACCTCCATCTTTAACAGTGCCAGCACCATCTTCACCATGGACCTCTGGAATCACCTCCGGCCTCGGGCATCTGAGAAGGAGCTCATGATTGTGGGCAGGTAAGTCCCCACTGGGTGGGGCTGGGGCAGGGGGAAGAGAGAGCTGAGCCCACCCAGAGGCAAAGTCCAGGTTCAGCCAGCAACCTATCCAGGCTGAAGAGCATTAGGACTCCATGTGCAAGACATTCATTCATTCAGGAGATGCTGAACGAGCACCTACTGTGTACCAGGCACAGGGCACATAACCATGAAAGGGCTCAGTTCTTGCCTTCATGGAGCCAGGGAAGGAGGAGAATAAGCAAATAATTTTAACCCAGCTGGGCGAGGTGGCTCACACCTGTAATCACAGTACTTTGGGAGGCCGAGGCGGTGGATCACTTGAGGTCAGGTGTTCAAGACCAGGCTGGCCAACATGGTGAAACCTCATCTCTACTAAAAATACAAAAATTAGCTGTGGTGGCGTGTGCCTGTAATCCCAGCTACTCAGGTGGCTGAGGCAGGAGAATCGTTTGAACCCAGGAGGCAGAGGTTGCAGTGAGCCAAGATGACGCACTGCACTCCCGCCTGGGTGACAGAGTGAGACTCTGTCTCAAAAAAAAAAATTAAAATAATAAAATAAAATAAGCTGGGAGTGTTGGCATGTGTCTGTAATCCCACCTATTCGGGAGGCTGAGGCAGGAGGATCACTTGAGCCCAGGAGTTGGAGGCTGCAGTGAGCTATGCTCTCACCACTGCACCCCGGCCTTGGCAACAGAACAAGACCCTGTCTATTAAAAGAGACAGAGAGAGGGAAAGAGGAGTAAATGTTCAGATGATGCTAATTTGTGCCTCTCGCCGCCGGCACCAGGGTGTTTGTGCTGCTGCTGGTCCTGGTCTCCATCCTCTGGATCCCTGTGGTCCAGGCCAGCCAGGGCGGCCAGCTCTTCATCTATATCCAGTCCATCAGCTCCTACCTGCAGCCGCCTGTGGCGGTGGTCTTCATCATGGGATGTTTCTGGAAGAGGACCAATGAAAAGGTAGCTCTGGATGGCTCCCACTATGCCAGAACCAAGTGCTGCCCCTTGAGGACTGGGATAGGATGGGAGGGGAGGGTGTTGGAGGGAGACACAGGCTGGAATTGGGTGTTGAGAGGGAGGGTGAGTTCCATTGGTGGAAGATACAGGGAGGGTGTTTATCTGACCTTTGCAAAAAAGCAATGAGAGGGCTGCTGCGATGGCTCACACCTGTAATCCCAGCACTTTGGGAGGCCGAGGTGGGTGGATCACTTGAGGTCAGGAGTTTGAGACCAGCCTGGCCAACATGGTGAAAGCCCATCATTACTCAAAATACAAAAATTAGCCGGGTGTGGTGGTGGGCGCCTGTAATCCCAGCTACTCAGATGCTGAGGCAGGAGAATCACTGGAACCTGGGGGGCAGAGGTTGCAGTGAGCTGAGACCACGCCACTGCACTCCAGCCTGGGCGACAGAGTGAGACTGTCTCAAAAAAAAAAAAAAAAAAAAAGCAATGAGAGGTTCTCATGAAAAGTATCTTGATGCATTTTTTGTTATTGAACAGGGAAGCTAAATTAAGAGGGAGTTAGTAAACTATTAGTAATCAATTCATTATAAAAAGATAAATGGTTAAGTATTGCAGAACCTTTTCAAATTGCTGACCCGTGCTTGCAGTGACCACCACAAGAAAGACAAGTCCTGGAGATGGCTTCTTGAGGTTCCTGGAGGCCAGAGCCCTTGGCGTCTCTAAGATGATCTTGCTCTGATTTTGCAGGGTGCCTTCTGGGGCCTGATCTCGGGCCTGCTCCTGGGCTTGGTTAGGCTGGTCCTGGACTTTATTTACGTGCAGCCTCGATGCGACCAGCCAGATGAGCGCCCGGTCCTGGTGAAGAGCATTCACTACCTCTACTTCTCCATGATCCTGTCCACGGTCACCCTCATCACTGTCTCCACCGTGAGCTGGTTCACAGAGCCACCCTCCAAGGAGATGGTACATTTGGGCTGATGGCTAGATCCGTTGAGACTTTTTGTTGGAAGTGACAGAAAACTGACTCAAACTGACTTAAGCGAAGGAGACTGATTGTCCAAAAAGCTGAAAAGTCCAGGGTTGAGGTTCAGGGGCAGGATGATTTGGGACTCTGAAAAGGTCATCAGAATCCATCTGCACTTCTGCTTCAATTCTTAGGTCCCATATGGAGCCCAGTATCTTCTAGAGATACATCCTCTTTTACTGTCATTAAGTAAACATAAGGCTGGGGTGCGGTGGCTCATGCCTGTAATCCCAGCACTTCGGGAAGCTGAGATGGGAGGATCACTTGAGGCCAGGAGTTTGAGACCAGCCTGGGCAATATAGTGAGATCCCGTCTCTTAAAAAAATGAAAAAATTAGCAGGGCGTGATGGCTCATGCCTGTAATCTCAGTTACTAGAGAGGCTGAGGTGGGAGGATTGCCAGAGCCCAGGAGTTTTGATGGTGCAGTGAGCTATGACCATGCCACTGCACTTCCAGCCTTGGTGACAGAGCAAGACCCTGTCTCACAAAAAAAAAAAAAAAAAAAAAAAGGAAAAGAAAAAATTAGCAGGGCGTGATGGCTCATGCCTGTAATCCCAGCTGCTAGGGAGGCTGAGGCAGGAGGATTGCTTCAGCCCAGGAGTTTAAGGCTGCAGTGAGCTATGACCATGCCACTGCACTCCCACCTGGGTGACAGAACAAGAGCCTGTCTTTAAAAAAAAAAAAAAAAAAAAAAAGTAAAAATAAGCATTAATATTTCTGTCCCAGAATTTCTAGAGAATTTCTAGATTTCCATTGATGGAGTCAGCTCAGGACACATGCTCATCCGTGAACCAATTCAATCCCTGTGGCCAGAGAAACGGATGAGCTGAAATGACCAGTTCTGGGGTCCTGCAATACTCTAGGGTGAGGGTTAAGCTCTGGGGATTAGAATGAGGGATAATCACATCCCAGCAACAGGAGGATGGGGTTTATCGGAGAAAGACGTGGGAATGAGCAGGGGAATTGTGCGCTGATGTTGAAGAGTGCAGGAACATGATGCTTGTTGGAGGATGGGGTGGGAGGGTGGGGCTGGGAGCAGATTCAGACACAAAGGCTGAGTGTGGGGTTGGGTGGGGAGTGTGAGAAAAGGATGGACAACCCCGGCCCCACCTCCACCACAAATCTCATCATTCATCCCTGCTCCTTAGGTCAGCCACCTGACCTGGTTTACTCGTCACGACCCCGTGGTCCAGAAGGAACAAGCACCACCAGCAGCTCCCTTGTCTCTTACCCTCTCTCAGAACGGGATGCCAGAGGCCAGCAGCAGCAGCAGCGTCCAGTTCGAGATGGTTCAAGAAAACACGTCTAAAACCCACAGCTGTGAGTAGCTTCTCTCCTCAGTTACAGCAAGAAGGAGTACGTGTTAAAGGGATTGATTTTTTTTTTTTTCCTATCAAATCACAAGCCAGGAAAGTGGGCAGACTTGGAGTTTTAGCATCCTCTGGCTCCAGTGTCTGATCTGTCCCCACGCTCCGGCCATGGGAAAGGAGTTTTTAGTAACTTTCAACAAGCTTCCTACGGGCACTAACAGCAAACAAACACTTGTTGAGTGCCTACGGAGACACGGTTGGTTCATTTCATCCTTATTCTCTGCACATGGGTAGGCAGGAACACAACTTGCCTTCTCTCAGTTAGTGCTTCTAAACTGGCGGCTTGCAGACATATTTTGGCTTAGCCCACCTACAGTTTCAACAAAATGTGAGTTAACATTTAAAAATTGAGAGATTTTGGCCGGTCAGCATGGCTCAGGCCTGTAATCCCAGCACTTTGGGAGGCCGAGGTGGGTGCATCACTTGAAATCAGGAGTTCAAGACCAGCCTGGCCAACATGGTGAAATCCTGTCTCTACTAAAAATATAAAAATTAGCCGGGCATGGTAGCGCATGCCTATAGTCCCAGCTACTTGGGAGGCTGAGGCAGGAGAATCGCTTGAACCTGGGAGGTGGAGGTTGCAGTGAGCCGAGATCACGCCACTGCACTCCAGCCTGGACGACAGAGTGAGACTCTCTCAAAAAAAAAAAAAAAAAAAAGGGAGATTTCAGTCGGGCATAGTGGATGGTGGTTCACGCCTGTAATCCCAGCACTTGAACACATCTGGTGAGTGTCCCTGTCTCACCTCTCTGGGAGATACAGACCACCTCTACGGTCTTCCTTTGCTGGGTTCTTTCTAGGTGACATGACCCCAAAGCAGTCCAAAGTGGTGAAGGCCATCCTGTGGCTCTGTGGAATACAGGAGAAGGGCAAGGAAGAGCTCCCGGCCAGAGCAGAAGCCATCATAGTTTCCCTGGAAGAAAACCCCTTGGTGAAGACCCTCCTGGACGTCAACCTCATTTTCTGCGTGAGCTGCGCCATCTTTATCTGGGGCTATTTTGCTTAGTGTGGGGTGAACCCAGGGGTCCAAACTCTGTTTCTCTTCAGTGCTCCATTTTTTTAATGAAAGAAAAAATAATAAAGCTTTTGTTTACCACAAGGCTTCCAAGTGTTTATAGACCATTTTCAACATGACACTTAGCTCTTTTCTTTTTTCTTTTTTTCTTTTTTTTTTTTTTGAGACAGTGTCTCGCTCTGCCACCCAGGATGGAGTGCAGTGGCATGGTCATAGCTCACTGCAACGTCAAACTCCTGGGCTCAAGTGATCCTCCCTCCTCAGCCTCACAAGTTTCTAGGACTACAGGCACACACTACCATGCCTGGCTAATTTTTCCTTTTTTCAAAGAGATGTGGTCTATGTTGCCCAGGCTGGTCCTGAACTCCTGGCCTCAAGTGATCCCCCCACCTCAGCCTCCCAAAGTACTAGGATTACAGGCATGAGCCACGATGCCCAGCCTCTTTTCTTCTTGAAAATAATGAAGGTTAGAAGATGGAAAGAGGAGAGACATGTAAAAGCTTCCTTTTGCAAAAGACTAGTTATTCATTCTTCTTATCCATTGTGCAACATCAATACCCAAATTCAAAGGGATAAAGAAGCAAAGGGACTTACAAGACCTCCCAGGCTGACAGCAGCCACATCTCCGGGGTTGGATATTTAGCATCTGAACTTGCCCAGCTCACCTTCACAGTGCAAAGAATGGGACCTGCATTCTATCTCTTGCCTTCCACTGTGGCTGGCTTTGGGTGAAGGTCCCCGAGTTTTCTCACTGTGATACTTTCTCCTAGATATTTCTTGGAAATAGACCCCAGTTGGTACTCTGAAATCTTGTGCTGTAAGAAAATCAGGGAATTGTGTGCACTTCTCAAGTTCTGGCTTAGACTCTTGTTTTTGAGACAGGGTCTCTCTCACTCTGTCACCCAGGCTGGAATGTAGTGGCACCCTGAGATCTCACTGCAGTCTTGACTTCCTGGGCTCATGTGATCCTCCCACCTCAGCCTCCTGAGTAGCTGGGACTACAGACATGCACCACCATGCCTGGCTAATTTTTAAAATTTCTTCGCAGAGACATGGGGGGCGGGTCTCTCCTATGTTGCCTGAGCTGGTTTTAACCTCCTGGGCTCAAGCAATCCTCCTGCCTTGGCCTCCCAAAGTGCTGGGATTACAGGTGTGAGCCACGCACCCAGCCTTAGACTGTGTTTCTTTGCTTAATTCCCCATGATGATGCTTCCCTAAAAAGAAGCAGCCAGGTGGATGTGCATCTCAATGAACCTCCCCACCAAAAGCCAGTAAGGCTTTGACCTGCAGAGCAGCGGCCTCCTGTTCTGGGTAGAGCCAGCCTCCTCAGCTTCCCAGCTTTGGGCCCACTGGAGTCTGACGGAATGACCCATCAGGGCTGCGTTTGCCACGTGCAGAGCTAAGAGCAGGACAGGGCCAACGGAGTGAGCCCTGAGACCATCTCTGGAGTAGCTCAGGGCCATGAACCATCCAGGCCTGGGATAAGGTGGGGTGGACTAGAACCCCTTCCTGGCCTGACAGAGCTGGAAAGCAGAGGAGTCTCTCGAGGGACCCCAATTTTCAGACCAGAGGAAAGTAAACAGGACCCCCTGGGGCTGAGGAGCTGCCCACCCACTTAATCCTCCAGTGATGATGTCTTTCTGGTTCCTACTTGATGCCAACAGCTAGGACTGGCCTGGTGCACAGGCAAATAATGTATTGGTCCAGCCTCAGCTCTGCTCATAGGCCCAGCTCTCTACAGGAATCCAAATAGCAGTAGTAGGTTGGACAAAGGGCACCCCCAGCCCTCCTGGGAAGGGGTATGGGCGGGGAACTGGCTGCTAACATGGCTCCAGGCAGGAGCGTGGAATGGTTCTGGAGCAAGTGGGCTCAAGGAGAAGTCTTCACCGGGGAGGTTGAGCTTCTGCCTCCAAGGCCCAAAGAAGGGGAGTGGGCGGCATGGGAGGCTTCCACTACAGTCCTGAGCTCCCCGTCCAAGCCTGCCCCTCACACCAAGACCCCTGTTGCCTCTGGCTGGGGTCAACAGTGTGTTTCAGCAGGGACGCACTGAGCTGTCACTATGATAGCTCAGGCCACCCCCATCTCTGCCCGGACTCCTGACTGCCTTCTCACATCCAGTCTTCCCATTCTCCAGCCACTGGCAGGGTGAGCAACTCGGATCAAGCCAATCCTCTGCTTGGAATCCTTCAGAGACCTTCCCACTCAGGATGAACTCTGCAATCCTTTGCCTTCCTTTTTTTTTTTTTTTTTTTTTTTTTTTTTGAGACAGGCTCTCACTCTGTTGCCCAGGCTGGAACACAGGGTGCGATCATGGCTCAATGCATTCTCAAACTCCCAGGCTCAGGTGATCCTCCCACCTCAGCCTCCTGGGTAGCTGGGACTACAAGTACGCACCACCATGCCTGGCAATTTTTGTTGGTTGTTGTTGTATTTTGTGGAGAAGGCATTTTGCCATATTGCCCAGGCTGGTCTCCAACTCCTGGGCTCATGTGATCCACCTGCCTTGGCCTCCCAAAGTGCTGGGATTACAGGTGTGAGCCCCCATATCTGGCCTTTTTTTTTTTTTTTTTTTTTTTTTTTTTTTTTACAGACAGGGTCTTGCACTTTGTCACCCAGGCTGGAGTGCATTGGCATGATCATGACTTACTGGACCCTCGAACTCCTGCCTCAACCTCTTGAGTAGCTGGAACTACAGACATTTGGCCACCATACCTGGCTAATTTTAATTTTTTTATGTAGATGGGGTCTTACTATGTTGCCCTGGCTGGTCTCAAACTGCCGGCTTCAAGCAATTCACCCACCTCAACCTCTCAAAGTGCTGAGATTACAGGTGTGAGCTGCTGTGCCCAGCCAGCTGAGAGATTTTAAATGTTCTCGCCACAAAAAATAAATGATAATGGAGGTGATGGATATATTAATTAGCTAGATTTAACCATTCTGCAATGTATACATATACAAAAACATGTCGTATACCATAACTTTTATCAATTTAAAAAACCAGTGCAGTGCAAATACAATTTACAGATGTGCACAGAAACTGAATTCAGGCCAGGTGCAGTGGCTCACATCTGTAATCCCAGCACTTCAGTGGGCTGAGGTGAGTGGATCACCTGAGGTCAGGAGTTCAAGACCAGCCTGGCCAACAGATCAAAACCTCATCTCTACTAAAAATAAAAAAATTAGCCTGGCATGGTGGTGGGTGCCTGTAGTCCCAGCTACTTGGGAGGCTGAGGCAGGAGAATGGCTTGAACCTGGGAGGCAGGGGTAGCAGTAAGCCGAGATCATGTCACTGCACTCCAGCCTGGGTGACAGAGCAAGATTCCATCTTAAACAAATAGAATGACAACCAAAAACCCCAAATTCAAATACAAGTAGAAAGAGTGAAAACAGAACCCTGAGGATTTTTTTAGGTTGGGGTTCTTCCTTGTATCAAATATCCCCCTCCCCACATGTCATTTGTGATGATGTTTCGTGTGTGAAGGATAGACCCTAAGGTGACCCTCAATCATCCCTACTTCCTGGGAAGTGGATCCTTCCCCAGCCCAGCCTCCAGATGAGATCCCAGCCCTGGCTGCTGCCTTGACTGCAGCAGATGAAGATCCTGGACAGAGGACCCAGAGAAGCTGTGCCTGGACTCCTGACCCACAGGAGCTGTGAGAAAATGAACATGTGTTGTTGTAAGCTGCTAAGTATGTGATCATCTGTCATGCTGCACTGGATAACTGACATGAGGGGCATGGTGTGTGAACGCATGTGTGGATGTAAAGGAGGGGTTGGCTGGAGAGGGTGTGGGAGGAGGACAGTTGCCTGCAGAGCTGTGTGGGGTCTACACAGCCATGTACCTCCTTTGGAGGGTATCGAGTACAAGTAATTTGGTTGCCAGTAAGAGAAACAAACCCAAAGAGGAACGTTTGTGCCAAAAACAAGCACTTTATTGTGAGCATACAAAGGCAAGAAATGCAGAATGGCTTCAGGCACACAAACCGGGAGCTGGGAGGGTTTTAAAAACCAAGCCCTGCACTCTCTCCCTCTTATCTTTTGTCCCTGCCTCTCCGCACATCTGCTGACTTCTCCCTCTGCAGGCAGGTTTTCTCTACTCCACAGAATCCACGGTGGTGGCAGGGCACCCACAGCTCCGTGCCGGGAGACAGGGGTCCTGCCTGCTGGGGAAGAGACTCAGGGCCCATGCCTGTGCGAACCCATGCGGGACAGGGTGGGGATGGCCATGTGTGCAGCCTGCTGTGGGCAGGAGGGAAACTAAGGGGGTCCTTGACTTGCTCCCCTCCCTTAGCTGGCAGCTCAAGTGGTCTTGGTCACTTCTTGTCTTTTGGCTGCACCAGAGCCTGTGGCTTCCCCGCACCAGCACATCTCCTCCTCTCTAGCTCCACCGATGAGATAGGAGGAAAGTGCAAGCCCTTGACTGAGAAGCATCCCTATGAGTGAGGTGCTTGCTGCCCAGTCTGATGCAAAACCCTGAGACCGTGGGTCCCAGAGGCCAGAGGCACTGGAATATGGTGAGGAAATCGTGGGAGGAGACCTCAGGGAGAAACCAGGAGGGTTTGTCTTAAGACCTTCAAATAGGAGCACTTGTGGGACTCACTGGGCTTGGGAGACACTGAGAACTGCAGCCCCAACAGAGGAGCGGGAGTCACTCCACGGAGCTCCCAGAGAACCAGGGCCATCACAATGGTCCAGGGATGGGGTCACTCCAATGGCATCTGAATTTTTTTTTTTTTTTTGAGACAGAGTCTCGTGTCACCCAGGCTGGAGTTCAGTAGATGATCTTGGCTCATTGCAACCTCTGCCTTCCAGGTTCAAGCAATTCTCTTGCCTCAGACTCCTGAGTAGCTGGAACTACAGGCGCGTGTCACCACACAAGCCTTTTTTTTTTTTTTTTTTTTTTTTTTTTTTTTTTTAGTAGAGACAGGGTTTCACCATGTTGGCCAGGCTGGTCTCAAACTCCTGACCTCAAGTGATCCACCCACGTCAGTCTCCCAAAGTCCTGGGATTACAGGCACGAACCGCTGCGCCTGGCTAATTTTGTGTGTGTGTGTACACACACACACACACACACACACACACACACATATAATTTTTTTTTTTAGAAGAGATGGGGTTTTGCCATGTTGGGCAGGCTGGCTTCAAACTCCTGACCCCGTGATCCGCCCACCTCGACCTCCCAAAGTGCTGGGATTACAGGCATGAGCCACTGCGCCTGGCTAATTTTTTTTGTGTGTATGTGTATATATATATATATATATATACACATACACGCGCACACACACACACACACACACACACACACACACACATATATATAATTTTTTTTTAAGAAGAGATGGGTTTTGCCATGTTGGCCAGGCTGGTCTCAAACTCCTGACCCCGTGATCCACCCACCTCGACCTCCCAAAGTGCTGGGATTATGGGCATGAGCCACCACACCCAGCGCATCTGAACTCTTGGAATGACCACAGGGTGGAACTCGGCAAAACCAAGGCAGCCAGGGCTCTACTCTGAGCCTCTGCAGTCTCCACAGTGCTGGGTGCAGGACAAGCTCCTTCCAGAATGCTAGGTGAGTGCTAAACCACAGGGGGTAGTGAGAGGAACCGGTGCCTGACCAAGGAGGTTTGGTGCAGGTGGGGGAGCAGGGACACGAAGTCTGAGCGCAAGGGCCTAGAACATTCTATAAGAAACTACTGTGTAGAGAAGGGAAGGAAACAATCTGAAGGGCAGATGGCCAGTGCCCTTCTGGACAGCCAGAAATGGCCACTATGGGTTCAGATTCTCTGCCTCTCTGACGGTGGGCAGGCTGGAAATGGTGTGCCTAACGTACAGTGCCAACACAGTACAACGCCTCCAGCAGAAGGAATCCCGGGCCACAGAACGGGAAAGAGGATCCAGGTGCCTCTCCTGGCCCTGCCGGTGGGATGCTCAGCCATGTATCCCACCCTAGACAGTTCTGGGTTTTTTTTGTTTTTGTTTTTTTTGAGACAGAGTCTCACTTTGTTGCCCAGGCTGGAGTGCACTGGCTTGATCTGGGCTCACTGTAGTCTCTGTCACCCAGGTTCAAGTGATTATCCTGTCTCAGCCTCCTAAGTAGCTGGGATTACTGGCACCCACCACGATGCCAAGTTAATTTTTTGTATCTTTAGTAGACATGGGGTCTCACCATGTTGACCAGGCTGGTCTTGAACTCCTGACATCAAGTGATCTGCCCGCCTCGGCCTCCCAAAGTGTGGTCTTTACCTTTGACACATACACAGAGTCAAATGACTTTCATTGTTTTGAAGTTTGCAGCTGTCAGGGTAGGAAGATTGCTGCAAACAATAGGAGAGTAAAAACTGAATGAGGCTCTTAAAATAATGAGGTATGGTTTGCTGTATTTCAGAATCAGCAATGATGAACACATGCTATATGCTGGGCAGGATGTCAGCATGGATGTTTCTCATCCCCAGGTGCCAACAGCATCTCCTTGACAAGCGCCCAAGTCCCTGCTTCCTCTGGAGGACAAGCTCAGGCATCACGATGGGAGCATCTCCGAGGCTCCATGGAGACACCTGACCGTGGACAGCCAGGCGCCTGGAGAAGGTGCTCAACATGGAGCATCAGCCTACACAGAGGATTCTTTCTCTGCAGGGTTTGTTCTGTGGCTAAAGGAGGGTATAGAAAATTAACAATACACAGGTGGCACAGGGGAAGAGTGAGCCTTAAGCCAATGAAAATTCAAGATATGGGAGCAAATGGGCTTACAGGAGCATATTTTGAAGGTAATTAATAAGTATAGGGAGTACTTTGAGGGCATAGGAAACTGAGTAAAGATGAAAATGTGGGCTGGGCATGGTGGCTCACGCCTGTAATCCCAGCACTTTCGGAGGCTGAAGTGGGAGGATTGCGTGAGGCCAGAATTGTAAGACCAGCCTGGGCAACACAGCAAGATCCCTGTCTCTAGAAAAAAAAATATTTAAAAATTAGTTGGGTGTATTGCCATGCACCTGTAGTCTCAGCTACTTGGGAGGCTGAGTTGGGAGGATCATTTGAGCCTAGGAGTTTGGAGGCTGCAGTGAGTTATGATTGTGCCACTGCACTCCAGCCTGGGCCACAGAGTGAGATCTGTTTCAAAAAAACAACAAAAGGAAACTGTGGTTCCCCTTTTTAAATCAGGCTTAAGTCAGTTCGTAGTGGAAAGAGGCCCAGTGTCTTCTAGGCAGTGACTTAGACACTGACACACCTAGCAAACTCGATCAATAGAAGGCTCAGGGCAGCCAACTCTGGCAGCGTGTCCCACTCTGTTCCCAAGAGAAAACGGCCTTATCTGGGCCAAGGGGTCGTGCTATCGTCAGACCAGCTGTCCAGAGCCTCAGTCTCGCTTTGCTCCAATTCCCCATCGGCTCTTCCCTAGTATTTCAATCCTGGGAGAGACGGGATAATTTTCACGCCTTGGATAGGGCATGAAAGCACCAGCCATTGGAAAAAGGGCTCTCTATGGCAATTCACAACTGCTGACGAATGCACCAACCCGGTGGGGCTGAACTCCTGTGAGCTGCCCCCGGGAGTCTGAGTATCTCTAGATGGAAAGAAAGGGATGCCAGCACTGGGAGGACCAAGGGTGCAGCCTTGACCAGAACCTGCACTGAGGATGGCCAGGCTAGGAGGTCTTTGGGGCACCTGGCGGCCTTTTTCACTGTTGCGACCTTGCTCTCTGTTTCTTCAAACTCCTACAGCTACAATTAGACCCTCTCCCCCAAGATGTCCCAGCCACAATTCTATCTGGTTGAGTGGCAACACACACACACTCATGCACACACACACACACACACTCCACAATTTACCTCCAAGAATTATGAAGTTTTCATATAAACCACAGAATATATTTAATTCAAATTAAACATGAAACTAGAATAATGTTCGGTCCTTATCAAGTAGCAATTACATTGTTTAAAAAAAAAAAAAAGAACAGTACATTTCTGTCTACATTCCGACAATCCAACGAGGCGGCATGGGTCACATCCAGTTTGATGAGGTGACAGAGCCAGCAGTCACCATCCATGGGCATGGTTCTGAGGGGACTGGGGAGACACAGACCATACATGATACAAAATGATTCTGCAGCAAGTCTGAAGGAGCGCAGCCTCCCTCCTAATACATAAGAATGAACGTCCAGGTAGCAGAGAGTAGGCGACTTGCATAATGAGCGCATTTTATTAAATAGATAGTTAACGCACTGCTTCTTACTCATTCCAAGTTGCTGTAGGTGCTGCCCGCATTAACAGCAGGGACAAAAGCTTCCTATGCGCGTTTCAGCAGGAATACTCTCTCCACTCCAGGTACTTCTTTGTTTTGGATTTTTTTGGCATGATTTCCTTCCCATGTAAAGAAAGCCAACTTCTTCAAGACACAGGTCATTCAGCTTTAGTGGTGGCCTCCAGGTTCTCCTTGGGCCGTGCAGAAGGCCAGGTCCCGCACAGTGAGGCCCTCCTTTGTCCTCCACTGAAAGCTTTTCACTGTTCGGTCTGCAAAGAAAGAGGTTCGCCTGCCCCTGCTCCACTCGCCAGGGTGGAAGTGGTGGAGGGCTGGGAAAGGGCTTTCTTCACAGGGCAGTGCTCTCGGTATCATTGTCTATATCCAGCAGGATGCGGCCAGGCACGTCTTTGCTGGCTGAGTCTGAGTGCATTTCAGGAAAGATGCTGCGATGCGGTTCTGAAACCCTGGAATTGGAGTCTGGACAAAAACACGAGGAGACATGGTATCAATGAGGGGTAACCCCCGAGAGGCCACCTGAGGGTGCTCTGAGAAGAAGAGAGGCTGGGAAGTTTCAGGGTCAGCCCATGCACACAGGGTCCCTTGCGAGAGGCCTCATCAGCTCTTAGAAGCCAAGTGAAGCCTTTGTGACCCCAGAGGGCAGCTGAGTAGCACAGCCTTGCCTCTGGGCTCCGACGTTGCTTGCTATGAGCCCGGAGCAGCCCTTGGAGATGCAGCTTTTAAAGGATTTGCTTGCTTTGATGGAGGAAAGGAAGCCTCATTCTTCCCAAGACCTCTAATGCATGAGATGAACCCTCCTGATGGCCCCTGGGCTGCCCTGGGAAGAGGTCTCTCCTCCAGACTGCTGGGTTTTCCTCCTGTTACTAACACTAGGACCTCACCCTCAGCACCAGCAACATTTGGGCCTGAATTATTTGTTGTGGTTGTCCTGTGCATTGTAGGTGTCACCCAACAGATGCCAGTGACATGCAGCCTCCTCCCCCAGTGTGACAACCGAAAGTGTCTCCTGTACATCACAGATCACTGGGGAAGTTTAAACTAAAATGTCTCCAGATGCTGCCGAGTGTCCCCTGGGGAATCACAATCACTGCTGACTGACATCACTGAGGCAGACCAAGTCTCCTGCAAACACTAACATCCCCTTGTCTGTCTAATACACCTCGAATGCCATTTTCATGTCTTATTATGTTGGCTGAAATTCCTTCAGCAAGATGGCAAACATATGGTCCTCATGCTGTTGTCCCCCTCTCCTATGCTCTTCCCAGAGGCCAGTGGGTCTCAGATTCATTTATGCATGAACAAATATTTACTGAGCACCTCCCAGGTGCCAGGCACCATTCTACCTGCTGAGGACGCAGCACTGAACAAGACAGGCACAGCCTCAATGAAGCCCACGGTCAAGTGGGCAGACCAAGGGGATCCTAATTAAGACAAAAGGGCTGGCTTCTCTCGTAGATGTGGGTTCTGGCAAATTATGAGAGCCTCATTAGGTATTTTAGGGCTGGTGTAAGAGAGAAGAGAGATGTTTTGTAGTTTTGCTTTGCTGCGTTAGAGGTAGCCATGGCAGGCAGCAGTGAGGGAGTGGGAGGAGGAGGTGGTTTGTGGGGGCGTTTCACAGTTAGGCTTGAGAGCTGCTTTCCCCTACTTGCTGTGGTGCAAAATGACATCCTGTCTGTCCTTGACGGGAGCTAGTTTTGACTATATTTCTGTTCGACCTGCTCCCGTCTACGCAGGCACAGCTTGAAAACGCTGGTGCACTTTGGGGAAGCTCACTGCTTGGAGACTTGTTCCAGCTCCTACCCCTTCCACCTTCCTGTCCCTACAGTTCTGAGCTGTGAGATCTATTTACTCCCTGGGACACCCTTTTTCTCACAGTTACTCCTGGGTTGTCCCTCAAGGTTTCCTATGCACCACAACTCAGAGAAATTTCTAGATTTATGGAGGTGCCAAAGTGTCAAAGAGTTCAGGTGCTGAATGTCATTTCAGACAATTCAGGTCTTGTGATAACTATAAAACCAATGACACTGTGCAGAACTGCACCAGCCTATGGTGCAGCCAAAGGTGGTCTGTATGCACAGAATAGGGGCTGTCTTGGATTTGTCCTAAGCAGAACAGAAGTCAACGAAGGCAGGGACTGTGTCTGTCTTGTTCACAGTGTATCCTCAGTACCTAAAACAGTGACCGGCAAATAGCAGATGTTCAAGAAATTTTGTAGCTGCACACTTGGATGGTTGGATGGATGCATGAAGAGTCATCTAGAGCAACCATCTTTCCAATCCTCCATTCTTACATCCTCAGGCAAAGAAGTAGCTGTGACTTGAAGACGACGTATAAGAAAATCACTGCAAATGCAATCCTTTCCCCATTATCTTGGCCCCCAAAAACAGAAGGGGCTACCAGCCCGTGTCTCTTCTCAGCCCAGAGTTTACCAGAAACTATGGAACCGACATGACTTGGCGGGGAATGCATGATGCAAAGGCACTGTGTATACGGATGAGATTTCTACTTGTTAATATCTGTATTCACATGCAAGCTAACGCCTATCAGCCACCAAGCCCCTCCACAGCTGCTCTCTTTTTCTTATACATCACATATACATAATTTTTAGATTTGTGCCTCTCTGAATTTTTCTATTTATGATCCACACACATTATTAATTCAAGGGGAAAAAATGTGTTTTGGGGCATAAAGGAAATCCCTTACTCTGCCGCCCACCTGCCCCATCTGGTTTCCCCAGCCCCTCTCTATTCCTACATGAATCAGTCCCTGAAAGAAACAATGACTTTGTTTACACACAAAAAGTAGAAAGAATTACGGCAACCTGTACAGAACCAGTTTTCAGAAAGAGACTTCATCACAGTAGCTAACATTAAAAAAAAAAATTTTTTTTTTGAGATGGGGTCTTGCTCTTTTGCCCAGGCTGGAGTGCAGTCGTGCAATCTCAGCTCACTGCAGCCTCCACCTCCTGGGCTCAACTGATCCTCCCACCTCAGCCTCCCGAGTAGCTAGGACTACAAGCATACGCCACCATGCCTGGCTAATTTTTTTTATTTTTGGTAGAGACAAGGTTTCACCATGTTGACTGGGCTGGTCTTGAACTCCTGGCCTCAAGCAATCCTCCCACCTCGGCTCCCCAAAGTGCTGGGATTACCAGCATGAGCCACCACACCCAGCCTCAGTAGCTGACATTACTATAGAGCACTTACTTACACCAGAGACTGTACTATACACCCACACTTTATTACATCGTCTCACTGAACCCCCACTAACTAATCCTAAGGCAGCAGAAATAAGAAAGGGAGACTCAGAGGCTCTATTCCTTGCCCAAGGTGACACAGCCAGTGTGGACCAAAGAGGATCAAAGCCAGATTGGTTGCACTCTGGCTCTTCGCATTACATTTTCCCTCCTCCCCAGAGGAGTCTGTAAATCCCTGGGTGAGGGCCTTCAAAGACATTATCCAAGATCATTGTTTCAGTCTTACAAACACTCTGGTTTGTTGTAAAAAGGAGAAAATGGTTATTTCAGAAAGACACCTGTAAGAACCTGGTTTGTCTGAAACACCTCTAAATCTTTCTGGCTATGAACTCGTATATTAACTGCACTCCAAGAAGGGCTGGTTTCTGAGCATATGCTTGGAGCTAAGTTCATACAAAAGATATTGTATTTAAAAAAACAAAATAGGCTGGGCGTGGTGGGATGATGGTGTGAGCCCAGAAGTTCGAGACCAGCCCAGGCAACATGAGACTCCGTCTCTATAAGAAAAACACAAAAATTAGCCGGGTGTGGTGGTGCATGCCTCTAGTTCCACCTTCCAGCTACTTGGGAGATTCGCTTGAGCCCAGGAGGTCAAGGCTGCAGTGGACTGGAATCACACCGCTGCACTCTAGCCTGGGCAACAGAGCAAGACCCTGTCTCTCTTTTTTTTAAAAAAAAAAAAAAAAAAAAAGAGAGAAACAGAGGATGACCTCCAGTAACCAGCCTCAGCCCAAAGGCAGAACTTGATACAGTTCATCTCAGATTTGGGGCTCTGACAAATGTAACCCAGGTTCCTTCCTGCACTGAGTATCTCATCCAGGAAACAGAAGTGGGTATTTAAGAGCTAGAAGTGGAATGTTATCACTGAGGGTAAGGTTCTAGAAGATTTACTTATTACTTCAACAATTTTGAATATGTGCTTTCTCGGTTGTGAACTCACCCTTCAAGAAGTCCAAGGTGATTCTGATAGCCACTTTGACAAGTAACAGATCCAAATATGCCCTTGAAAGTAAGTGGTGCAGGCACAACTGCAGGGCGAATAAACTCCCTCCCCCTCTCCACCACCCATCCCTCTTCTCAGACCTAGAGTCTCAGGGAATGCCTTCCTTCACCAGTGAACGGTTTGAGTCTTAAACACTCTGGTTGATTGTTGTAAAAAAGAGATAAAGGTTATTTTAGAAAGACACTTGTAAGAACCTGGTTTTCTTTAAACACCTCTAAACGTCTCTGGCTATGAATTTATATATTATTTGCATTCCAAGAAGGGCTGGTCTTTGAGCATACTGCTTGGAGCTAAGTTTATATGACAAGTATTATATTTCAAAATTAAAAAAAAGCAAAAAATCAGACAAAAAAGAAACCTTTTATTGGAGGTCTCTTTTCTGTTTTTTTTTTTTTTAAATAAAATATCTACTGTATGAACTTAGTTCCAAGCAATATCCTCAAAGACCAGCCCTTGGAAGGCAGAGAATATATAAATTCACAACCAAAGAGGTTTAGGGTGCTTTTAGAAAGCAGGTTCTGGCTGGGTGTGGTAGCTCATGCCTGTAATCCCAGCACTTTGGGAGGCCGAGGCAGGCAGATCACCTGAGGTCAGGAGTTCAAGACCAGCCTGGCCAACATGGTGAAACCCCGTCTATACTAAAAATACAAAAATTAGCCGAGCACGGTAGTGAGTGCCTGTAATCCCAGCTACTCAGGAGGCTGAGGCAGGAGAATCGCTTGAACCTGGGAGGTGGAGGTCACAGTGAGCTGAGATCGCACCACTGCATTCCATTCTGAGCAACGGGGTAAGACTCAGTCTCAAAAATAAAAAAAAATAAAAAAAAAAGCAGGTTCTAACAGGTGTCTTTCTAAAATAACCTTTTTCTCCTTTTTACAATGTAATACCTGTCATATAAACTTAGCTCTAACCAGAGTGTTTAAGACCCAAACCATTATTTCCTCAGATAATGTCTTCACTTTCAGGATCCTCACCCAAGGATATACACAACTCTTTTGGGAAAGAGGGAAAATGTTAGGGTGATTAAGAATGATGGGGCCAGGTGCGGTGGCTCATGCCTGTAATCCTAGCACTTTGGGAGGCAGAAGTGAGTGGATCACTTGAAGTCATGAGTTGGAGACCAGCCTGGCCAATATGGCAAAACCCTGTCTCTACTAAAAATACAAAAATCAGCCAGGTGTTGCCACACCTGCCTATAATCCCAGCTACTTGGGAGGCTGAGGCAAGAGAACTGCTTAAACCAGGAAGGCAGGGGTTGCCGTGTGCCAAGATTGCACCACTGCACTCCAGCCTGGGTGACAGAGCAAGACTCTGTCTCAAAAAATACACAAAATAAATAAACAGAAGAATGACAGTCCAACCAATCTGGCTTTGATCCTCTTTGGTTGAAGTAGAATTGTGTAATTTTATCAGGAACTGATGATTTCTCGTCAGTTTTCTAGGGCTATTAGAGACTCTGAGTCAACTATTCAGGAGTGATTCTGTTCAAGTCTCACTGGATGTTATCTTGACACAATTCTGATTATCTACTTATTAAAAATAAACTGCAAGTAGAAACAGAAGCCACTTAAATATCCAACTAGGAGTAATAATACATCTGGTTGATGAAACATTATGTAGTCACTGAAAAACATGGTTCTAAAAATTACATTATCACATGAGAACGAGCATATGATGTAAAGTGAAATAAAAGGATCCAAATCTGTCTATGTCAAATAATTATGCTCATGTACCTCCTTGCCTTCTAGAAAAACTAAAAGAAAAAAAGGGGCGGGTGTGGTGGCTCACGCCTGTAATCCCAGCACTTTGGGAGGCCGAGACGGGCAGATCACAAGGTCAGCAGATCGAGACCATCTTGGCTAACATGGTGAAACCCTGTCTCTACTAAAAATACAAAAAATTAGCTGGGCGTGGTGGTGGGCGCCTGTAGTCCCAGCTACTCGGGAGGCTGAGGCAGAAGAATGGTGTGAACCCAGGAGGCGGAGCTTGCAGTGAGCCAAGATCGTGCCACTGCACTCCAGCCTGGGGAACAGAGTGAGACTCCGTCTGAAAAAAAAAAAAGAAAAGAAAAGAAAAGAGAAGAGAAGAGAAGAGAAGAGGAGAAAAGAAAAAAAGTAGAATATAAATGGCAGACTTTTTCAATTGTATAGCTACAGTTGATTTCTTATTATTTCCATTTCTCAAGAGTTTTAATATCCATGCTTATTTTTATTTATTTGAGACAGAGTCTCACTCTGTCACCCAGGCTGGAGTGTAGTGGCACGATCTCAGCTCACTGCGACCTCCACCTCCTGGGTTCAAGCAGTTCTCCTGCCTTGGCCTCCCAAGTAGCTGGGATTACAGGCACCCACCACGACACCCAGCTAACTTTTTGTATTTTCAGTAGAGATGGGGTTTCCCCATGTTGGCCAGGCTGGTCTTGAACTCCTGACCTCAAGTGATCCACCCGCCTCAGCCTCCCAAAGTGCTGGGATTACAGGCGTGAGCCACCGTGCCCCAGCTCATGCTTATTTTTAAAAAGGCATTACTTACATGACATAAGAAGGGTGAGAGTTTAAAAAGCAAACACTATGAAATTAGCCAGCAAAGTGTCCAGGCTTATGGCTACTTTGTGAGTGATTTGGTCTATCTGTGGTACAGTGGACTAACGCCTCACAGACAGTCTCAGGCTCACTAAATTATATGAATGTATATGTTATCTCCTTCTGCAGAGCATTGTCTTTTTAACCCATGAAAGAAGTGAGATTCAAAAAACCAAGTGGTGCATCAGAATCAAAATATGGATACCTGGGTTCCACCCCCAGTCTCCTGTGTTTGGGTCCTAGAAGGCCGGGTCCGGGCGTATGAGTTTTTAAAACCCTGATATGTGAATCTAACATAGAAATCTGATTAAAACTATTTTCTTCTAGATAAAAATGATAAATAGCAGGCCAGGCACAATGGCTCACACCTATAATCCCAGCACTTTGGGAGGCTGAGGAGGCCGGATCACCTAAGGTCAGGAGTTCGAGACCAGCCTGGCCAACATGGTGAAGCCCCGTCTCTACTAAAAATAAAAAAAATAGCCAGATGTGGTGGCAGGCGCCTATAATCCCAGGTACTCAGGAGGCTGAGGCAGGAGAATTGCTTGAACCTGGGAGGCGGAGCTTGCAGTGAGCCGAGATTGCGCGTATATTAAGAACTGTAACTGGCTAACAGAATAATCTTGGACTTTCTCTTATTTCATCTTCAACAATTTAGACAGATGTCACCACTTTACAGATCAGCCAGGTTGTGCCTAGCCTATGTTATACCAAGAGCTGAAATTCTAACTCAGTCAGGTCTGACTCCATAATGTGTGTTCTTCCTACTATACCTCAAGCTTGCCTGATATGGAAAAGAATGGAAATTAAAGAAGTAACAAGGACAGCCCTGTGACCACCTGTTCCACATCTGGGTACACACTTAGTATTCCGAATCATTGCAGCAAGCATCAACAAAGCCAGTCCTCCTTCAGTGCATGCACTATTAGTAGGGATGCAAGCAGGCAGGGTTAGGGTGGCCAGTTAGTAACAGGCATGAGTGCACAAATATGATCATCAAGTAGCAAAAATGCATTGGCCAATCAGGTGCCTTTTCCTTACCATTAAATATTCCAATCTCAGTTCTTACTGAATATGGCAGGTCATACATCTAAATTATTTAATAAAATGTTTAAATTAGAATACTCTTTGCTAAAATCTATTACTTCAAAAATAGCAAGATGTAAACTCTTTTACATGGGAATTAAAACTCTTACTGCTCTCTAGAGTCACAATTAACAGGAGACTCAAAATGATGCCAGAATGCCGGCATCCTCCAGTGCTGGTGCTGAGCTGTGAGAAGTTGGCTGCCAAACCTGCTTGGCAGCAATAATCTCCCCCCAAGAGTTTATCTTAATCCCATTAGCCTTAACCCAACTCTTTAAAACTCTAACTTAATCCAATTCTAAAGGAATAACCTGTTTTCAGGAATTTGTCCATCTAAAGTTTTCTAAGTGAAAACATTATGTCATAATAAAGGACCATCCTGTCCAAGGAAGTTATATATTTTTTCCTCCTTGAAAAACCCAATGGCTACATCCAAGAATGGTTAATAGCAGTATGATCAATACTAGCAGATTAAAAAATTCTAAATGTTGGCCTTCTGTGTACTTTCAGTGGGAGGCCAGGGGATTTTAAGATAGTACAGGTTAATTCTGTAATACAAAGATAACTCTGGTAACCTGGAATTTCTTGAGTTAGGAGAATTCATAGCATAGACCGGTTTTTAAATAGCTAGTATCTTCGGGAAACACATTTTTAATGTAAAATTTCACTTATCTAATAATTACAGGCAGTATATTACAGTGTTGTAGCAGATCAGTAAACTAAACTTGTGGAATAAATACACCCCGGGTAACAATGGTATTAAAAAATAGGCATAATTCTGGTTTGCAATCTTTCATTTAAATAAAAGGAAATATCTGATAATAACATTTTGGTGTGTCACAAGCATGAAATTGTGGAATCGCACCCGGGCCTCCTCCCTGTTTTGAAGGCTACACTCTGGTTTTCCACTTACGGTTCCTACAGAAAGTCTTACTCAGACCTAAGCTGTGAGCACTCTGGCTAAGGGGCCCACAGTAGGCCTAAGGCTCAGGCCAGCTGATTAAAGCAGCTGTACATATGATGAGGGCCTTATGCTGTCCACATGTAGACCCAGCGGCAGACTTAGATGAGCTCACAGTGCCTTTTAAAAAGCTCATATGGTTTAATAAAGCAAAACGTAAGCATGCTAGGATGCAAAGGAATTTAAAATAATTCAGTGTAGGGTATTTGGCGGAAGATTTTTTTTAATTTTTTGGTCTTGAGAATTTAAAATATCAAATTAAGAAGCTCCATGCAGTTAACTTGCACTTAAAATACAAAAATTTAAAATTAAAGCTCAAGACACAAAGGACACAATTTCCTCCCGTGCTGACTGCACCTGGGTCCTCTTTGGTTGGATGCTGGTGAGCCCATCAGTGACAGGTAAATCACACTGGGAAGAGTAGACTGCTGCTAAGAGGCTCACCAAAAAGATAGAAGATATTCCTTTTTTTTTTTTTTTTTAAAAAGAGGCAGGGTCTCACTCTGTCATGCAGGCTGGACTGCAGTGTGCAGTGACACAATCACTACCCACTGCAGTCTCGAACTCCTGAGCTCAAGCAATCCTCTTGCCTCAGCCACTCAAAGTACTGGGATTAGAGGCACGAGCCACTGTGCTTGGCCCCTAAGAAAGAAGATACTCTTCAAGAGCAGCTTGAAATCAGGCTCTTGATCTACTGACATCTACTCCTCGAATTTGAAGCACTGCAGCTCAAAGTGCTTCTGATAAAAATAAAGAAATGTCAATATGCTACAGAATGGATGGCCTATTGGCTGTCAGGGCACACGGTCAAACGGCTGCTCCTGAGCACATGGTCAAAAGCACATATGCAAAACACGGCTAAGCAGGAGCATTTGGAGCTGTGGGGCGAGCTATGGGGCAAGCTGCTCGGGGCCATTACAGACCTTAGTCCTGGAAACCTTCCCCACCTGTGAGGGCACTAGGAAGGGCATCTATTGGGAAACAAAACAAACAAACCAACATGGCTTTGTTGTTTTCAAAATAAAAGCTCTGATGGCATCAGAAAAAAAGTTATTAACCATTTATAACATGTGCAAATTATGTATTATATTCCTGAAAAAAGTTATCAAAAGCTGTTAGAATCAGTTAACCGTCACCCTTTGGGTTAATGGAAACCTTGGCACATTTTTAGCTGCAAAGTCACTCAATATGGTTGGAAAGCCCAGAGGTGTATTTCAGCTTCTTTTCCGAAAGTGCCTCCACTTAGAACAATTTAAACTAGGCTGCTGTAAGAAATTATTTGAGGCCCCTAATTACCATTTTTAAAAACACACTAGAAACCCCCATATTCATCCTTAAATTAAATAATAAATTAGAGCATTTGGGATGGAAATATTCTTGAAATGTTAAATAAAATGGTCATGTTCTAGACTATTAAAAATATGCCATTAGGTAGCCCACTAAAACCTGTACAATCACCACCACTTCCAAACAGGTTCCCACTGGGTCTACAGGAAAATCTTGATTCTTCCCTCCCAAGCCATTAGAACATGACAGTGCCCTGAGATCTCCCTTCTGGAGCATTCAATTTGGCATAAATCATGTTTTTTAAAGTTATACCTGAAATTCTGTACTTAATATGAACACTTTTACTCTTAGAAGTACTGTTTAAGCATTTTAATGAGGAATTCACTAAGAAATAAAGTTCATGCTCGTGTTGTAAAATACCTTCCACCTGGAATAAAAGCCATTATGTTGAGAAAAATGTAAACGTACATAGGTCTTAAACACACAAGCAACTATAAGTCAGGGGTCGGCAAACTTAAAGGACCAGGCAGTAAATGTTTCCAACTTTGTGGGCCACAGGATCTTTGGTCACGACTACCCAGCTCTGCTGTTTCAGCACCAATGCAGCCACAGACAATATGTTAACAAATGGGTGTAGCTGTGTTCCAATAAAACTTTAATGACAAAAACTGGCTGCAGGACAGGTTTGGTTTGGCTTGCGGGTGTAGTTTGCTGACACCTGGCATAAATCAAAGCTTAAATAAAATGTAGTAGTACAAAAGCAATGTAGAGCAGACGAGGAAATACGGGCATTGATGTCCTACTTACCTGTTACTATCTTGGAAGCTGTTGGTGCTGTGTTGGTGAGGCTGCTGTCCCCAGCTGAGTGGACACCAGGAGGTTGGGGGGGTGGGGGCACGCTGGGCCGGTTCCTTGGCTTTGGTACTGGTCTCGGTCTCGGTAAGGTTCCAGCATGTGGCTGTGCAGTTTCAGGGTTACCCCCTGCCAGGGTCTGAGGAGCTGGCAGACTGGGGTTCTGTTTTCCTAGGGGCGGAGTACTGGGGGGCGTTGGAGTCTGGGGAGGGGTGTGAGATGGCTGCTCAAGTCCATGCTCACTGGGCAATGCCATGGGGTTGGGAGGGCCCTGGCTATTGGGTTTGGTGTGCATCAGTGGCGTGGCCTGCGTAGGGGGCTGCGGCGGTGGGTGATTGGGAGCTTGGATTGGAGACAAGCTGCTGGAGTACCTCCGGGGTGCTGAGAGCTGGGAGGGGGCGGAGGGCTGGCCTGGAGGCTGGCCCGTGTGCTGGGTGGGAGGAGAGGGGCTTCGGGTGGGTGGCTTTGGTGACAGACTGGGTGGATGCTGAGATGTTCCTGAAGAACTCTGGCCCCCGGGGTGGCCAGGAGGTGGGTTGCCCGGTTTCGGGGGTGCTGGAGCGGGTTTTTTAACAGCTGCACAAAAAGAGAAAAAACACCTTTCAGTAGGAACAGTGAGGCAGCAACCAACCCTGGCCAGGAGCCCAAATTTAACATCACCAGTAATAAGGTACACCAGCATCATGTACCTCTGATGAGAGGTGGTCAGGAGGGCACCACACTGTGTCTTCCTCCCCAAAGCCCATAACCCATCAGAAGAACATCTGACAAACACAAATTGAAGGCCTTTCTTCAAAATGCCTGACCAGTACTCTCCAAAACCATCAAGGCCATAGAAAAGCACAGAAAGACGGAGAACATGTCACAGACAGCAGGAGACGAAGAAGATACGATGACTACATATAATGTGGGCTCCTGGATGAGATCCTGGGACAGAAAATGGACATGAGTGGAAAAACTAGGGAAATCTGAACAAAATGTGGAGTCTAGTTAATGGTAATGAACCGCAAGGTGCAGTGGCTCACGCCTGTGATCTCAGCACTTTGGGAGGCCAAAGCAGGCGGATCACTTGAGTGCAGGAGTTCAAGGCCAGCCTGAGCAACGTGGCAAAACCCCATCTCTACAAAAAACTACAAAAATTAGCCGGGCGTGGTGGCATGCGCCTGTAATCCCAGCTACTCATGAGGCTGAGGTGGGAGGATCCCATGAGCCTGGGAAGTCCAAGGCTGCAGTGATCACACCACTGAATTCCAGCCTGGGCAACAGAGTGAGACCATTTCAAAAAAAAAAAAAAAGTTGGGGGGGATGGGGGGACTAGCCCAATGTTGACTTCTGAGCTGGGGTAAATGTGCCATGGTCATGTAACACATTAACAACAGGGGAAACTGAGTAAGGGGCATATGGGAACTCTCAGCATTATCTTTGCAACTTTTCTATAAATTCAAAATTACTCCAAACAAACAAGTTTATTTTAAAAATTAAGTACATTATGCACATTTGAAAGGGCTTTAAAGGCCTATCGTTTTGAAAGTTCAATAAGAAGAAAACTGTTAACAGAGGCCACCCCAATGACACGGAAGTGCTGCCCTCAGCCCACTTAGCAGCCTCCTCATTAGGGCCCCATGGGAAGACGCAGAAAGAGGCAGAACAGCCAGGAGGGACCACCAAGCATGACTAGTTCACCCTGATATAACATGACCCCTGATCCCAAGCCACCTTCTCCTTGAGAGTTTGATTGGTTTGATTGGTCTTAATAACAGAATTTCTACCAATTCCGCAACCATTTGAGTTAATAGATATGTCCTGGACAAAAGCATGAATAAATCTGGAAGAGTTGCCTTAGAATTATTTCTCTAAAGAGAGCTGAATCACATCACTCTCCTCCCTACACCAGCTGAGATCAGGGATAGGAACCTGGGACTGATGAGGGCAGGAGGGAAAACAACAGATCTGGGGCTCTGGTTTTGGGCTGGGAGGGGTAGGGGGAAAGGAGAGATTTTAGCCTTTTTCAAACTCTGCTAAGATCCTACTGGTTCTCTAAGAAAGAAGGAGAAGGAAATGAAGGAAAGAAATGAACATGTATCACTCTTATCACCAGTACCAAGTAAGGCCTTTTATATAAATTATGCACATTATAATTTATATAAATTATCTCATTCAAGTTTCATAAGCTCATTGCAGGGCAAGCTCTGTTATCCCCATTTTCACAGAGAAGAAAACTGAGGCTTGAAGAGGGCCAGTGTTTGGTAATAGGTCACACAGCTAGTAAGGGGCAGAACTGAGACTCCTGCCCATGACATGTGGACTCCCTGAATGCTTTTTCCTCTTCCTCCTTCCCCTATTCCCCGGCTGCCTGTTTACAGGGCCCAGAATTCAGGATTGAAAAGGGTAAAGTCTCGGTGGCTCATGCCTGTATTCCCAGCACTCTGACTGGCTGAGGCAGGAAGATCACTCAAGACCAGCCTGGGCAACACAGTGAGACCCCGACTCTACAAAAAAATAAAGCAGCCAGGCATGGTGGCATGTGCCTGTAGTACCAGCACTTTGAGAGGCCAAAGTGGGAGGATCACTTGAGTCCAGTGGCTGGAGGATGCAGTGAGCTATTATCACGCCACTGCATTCCAGCATGGGTGAGAAAACGAGACCCTGCCTCTAAAAAACATAAGAAAGGAAAAAAAAAAAGAAAAAAGGGTAAAGTCTACTCTGCTACACTGGTCTGGAACTTTCAACCCTGGAACTCAGAAACCACCAACCAGCTTACATTAGCTGTACTCCAGACTGCCATCGGCATTTAAAAAAAAAGTCTAGTTTTCTGTTCTAAGCAATACTAATTGTAAAGTCATACTGAATAAAAGCTCGTTCCTGAAATTTAAGGGTGTGAAGAGGATGGGGAGAGGGAGCGTGGGAGCAAAGTGTCAGGGGGAGGGGGCTGGGAGAAATGGAGGCCTTGTCTGAGACCACCTCAGAGGCGCAGGGGGTGGGGAAGGAAAAAAGAATCAAACCCATCCTGCGAAGAAGCCTGGGAGCTGTGATTTCGGGAAGCATGAAAGACTCTGAATGCGGCTATAAGGAAAAGAGTCTTCTTAATCCAAAACCAGAGTCACACCTGGAATCTAGGTCCAGAAGACTAACTTCCCTCAAGGATCAGCTGAGATCCTGATAAGATGACAGGGCCCAGAGAGGCAGCCTGAAGAAGAATAAAGTGGGGGTCTGCAACCAAGCAGTGGACTCGGATTTGCCTCCCTGCCTATGATTTGTAGAAATTCCACTAACATTTGTGTAGTGCTTTGTAAAGACCATGCTTCTATAGACAGACACAGTGAATTTAATCCATTTTTTTTTCTTTTTTCGGGACAGAGTCTTGCTCTGTTGGCCAGGCTGGGGTGCAGTGGCACAATCTTGGCTCACTGCAACCTCTGCCTCCCAGGTTCAAGCAATTCTCCTGCCTCAGCCTCTTGAGTAGCTGGGACCACAGGCGTGCAAGCACCATGCCCGGCTAATTTTTGTATTTTTAGTAGAGATGGGGTTTCACCATGTTGGCCAGGCTTGAACTCCTGGCTCAAGTGATCCACCCACCCCGGCCTCCCAAAGTGCTGGGATTACTGGTGTGAGCCACTGCGCCTGGCCTCTCTTTTTTATTTTAGAGATGGGGTCTCACTCTGTTGTCCAGGCTGGAGTGCGGTGGTGCAATCATAGCTCACTGCAGGCTCGACCTCCTGGGCTCAAGTGATCCTCCTGCCTCAGCCTCCTGAGTAGCTGGGACTATAGGTGTGTGTCACCACACCCAGATAATTTTTAAAATTTTTTTTGTAGAGGTGGGCTCTCACTATGTTGACCAGATTGGTCTCCAACTCCTGGCCTCAAGCGATCTTCCTGCCTCAGCCTCCCAAAGTGCTGGGATTATAGGTGTGAGCCACCACGCCCAGCTGGAAGAAGTGATTTTTGAGGTGAGACCTGAATGGTAAGAAGAAACCATGTGAAGATATGGGACAGAATGTTCTGGAAGCCCTAAGGAGGGGATGAACTTAGTTCATTCAAGGAACCAAGAGTGGAGTGTGTTGAGAGGAGGGAGTGTAAGCTCTGGGCTCAGAGGTAGGCCCCACCAAAGCACAGAGAACCCAGGGTGAGAAGTTCGCATGGAAGCCACTGAAGAGTTTAACCAAGAGACGACATGATCTGCTTGGAGTTTTAAAGCAATTCCCCTGGCTGCTGGGTGGAGGACTGCAGGGAAGACAGGTGGGAGCAGTTCAGATTCTGTTAATCAGGACCTAGAAAGCCTTCACCCCAATTCCGAAGCAAAAGTGCCTCCCAGACCCACAAAGCTGAGAAGTACAGAGGCTGTGGTAGTCTCCAAACAGAGCGAGGGCTTGGGACACCAGGAAAACTGGGAGCATTTCTGCAGAACTGACTGTTTGTTAAGCTTTGTCACGCCTAAGGAAAAACTAAATGTCTGCTTTTCTGTTCTCTATTTTTTCCTTTTTCTTTAATGACTTTTCTCTTGAATGACTGAATTTTCTGCTTGGGATTTTACAACAGACATAGAAAAGATCTGGCCACAAACCTCACCATCTGAATCCTTGCACTAACTTAAGGAGGTCTGCACAGGCTTCCCTGAGGGCAAGGAGGACGGTGGCTGCTTACCTCGGCGCAGTGTATGCGGGCTGGGCCCTGCAGCATTGTGAGGTTGGCCCATGGAGAGCTGGTGGGAGCCAGCAGCTGCCTGGGGCTGATTTTGGCCAGATGCTATCTGACTGTTGTTTCTCCCTGGTGCTGGCACAGCTGCAGATACAGGGTCCTTCGGTTTGGGAGGACTAAGAGGAGTAAAAGTCAAGTTAGACGTCAGACAATCCCAGCTAGAAAATCTGAACATACTGCACATAAAACATAAGATTCCAAGCAGAGTTTTCACTTCGGCAGGCAGGAAAAGGATCTGAAATTCTAACTAGCTCACACTGGGCTTATAAAGCTAATGTTTACTTGGTGCCATATAAAGAGCTAATGTTTACTTGGTGCCATTTTTTTTTTAAGAGATGAGGTCTTGCTATGTTGCCCAGGTTGGTCTCAAATTTCTGGACTCAAGCAATCCTCTCCTGCCTCAGCACCCTGAGTAGCCGGGACTATAGGACTATTTATTTTATGAGATTCGTTGCATCAGACTGGACTCCAACGACTCTGCCACTCCAGTATCATCAGAGAGACCATTTCAAAGCAACCAATGCGGAGTTTTCAGTTCTACTGCGTTTGGACTTAAATTGGGCAGTACTTAATACCATGAAATGGCTTTTACATGTTGACATATACACTGTACAAAACTAAGCAAAAGCCATGGCAAAATAAGACCCTAAATGATAAAGGGCTTGATTATTATCAATAACTTGGACTGAAGAAGGAGAACTCAGAGGCTAAATGACTACTCGAAGTCCAGAGTTGGTAGCAGCAGGATAGAGATCAGAATTCAGGCTTCCTGTTTCCTGGCCCAGAACTTTTTATACCAAACTCTGTAGCTCCATTTTGTCAAGGTCACCAAAGAGTGAATAACATTAGTGTAATGTACATAAAAATACCTACAGAATACAGTATAAAAAACAAACAGCAGGCCAGGCACAGTGACTCACGCCTGTAACGCCAGCACTTTGGGAGGCTGAGGCACATGGATCACTTGAGGTCAGGAGTTCAAGACCAGCCTGGCCAACAAGGTGAAACCCCGTCTCTACTAAAAATACAAATATTAGCCAGGCGTGGTGGCGCATGCCTGTAGTCCCAGCTACTCTGGAGGCTGAGGTGGGAGAATCGCTTGAACCCAGGAGGTGGAGGTTGCCGTGAGTCAAGATCATGCCACTGCACTCCAGCCTGGCTGACAGAGCGAGATGCTGTCTCAAAAAAAAAAAAAGCAAAGTAACTGACATTCCATTTGTCCTTCTGCATTAAGACTAATTATTGTCTTAAATAATACATTTAGCCTTGATTAAACAAATGGAATGTCACAAGGAAATGAAAATATGTAAATTGGCTGGGCATGGTGGCTCATGCCTGTAATCCCAGCACTTTGGGAGGTTAGGGAGGGAGGACTGCTTGAGACCAGGATTGAAGACCAGCCTGGGCAACACAGTGAGACCTCGTCTCTACAAAAATTTAAAAAAATTAGCTGGGCATGGGGATGCACTACTATAGTCCCAGTTGGGAGGCTGAGGTGGGAAGATCGCTTGAGCCTGGGAGATTAAAAGGCTGTAGTGAGCCATGATCACACCACTGCCCTCCAGCGTGGGTGACAGAGCAAGACCCTGTCTGAAAAAAAAAAAACAACAAAAAACAGGCCGGGGCAGTAGCTCACGCCTGTAATCCCAGCACTTTGGGAGGCCAAGGCAGGTGGATCACTTGAGGTCAGGACATCGCGACCAGCCTGGCAAACATGGTGAAACCCCATCTCTACTGAAAATACAAAAATTAGCCAGGCATGGTGGTCCATGCCTGTAATCCCAGCTACTCCGGCGGCTGAGGCAGGAGAATCATTTGAACCCAGGAGGCAGAGGTTGCAGTGAGCCAACATTGCACCACTGCACTCCAGCCTGGGCAACAGAGCGAGACTTCGTCTCAAAAAATAAATTAATAAATAAAAATAAATAAAAATAAAAAACAAAACCAAGAAAAAGAAAATAAGTGAATTTGCTTAGACTTTTTTCCTTCAAACAAAAAAATTTAAACCAAAACAAGTACATGCATAGGGCACAATTATTGACAAGCTAACGTGCAGCCTATGAGGTGCACGGGAAGCCCTAAGAAGTCTGAAGTCTTAATTTTTTTTAACCCCAAAGTAAACTTTCCCAAGGTGAAGAAAATGGAATTCAGGAATGCACAAAGCATTCAGCATTCAGTTTTAATGGTGAAACAAGATTCCTATCTCACGAGCAGCTTCACACACAACAAGGCTCTCCCTTGCTCATCCCAAGGACGATGAGAAAGGAGTTCTTTCAAGGCAAATTCATCTCTCTGTGTGGGAAATAAACGTGTGGATAAACAGCCTGTCCTTGTTTTGTGCACATTTATTTTACTTCATATATGATCATTCGGTGTGTTGTGGATGGCCAATGCAGAACATATGACAACAAAAATTTTGGCACACATGTATGCAAAGCTAAGCAGCTGTCAGTTCCAAACCACAAGAGATGCCACCTGAAGTAGCCTCTGGTGGTCATCTGCCTGGATCAGTGTGGAGAACTGAATTAATGTCAATTAAATAAAAATCTCAAGTTATGGCTGGGCGCGGTGGCTCACACCTGTAATGCCAGCCTTTGGGAGGCCAAGGCAGGGGGATCACCTGAGGTCAGGAGTTTGAGACCAGCCTGACCAACATGGCGAAACCCTGTCTTTACTAAAAATACAAAAAAATTAGCCTGGCATGGTGGTGTGTGCCTGTAATCCCAGCTACTCCGGAGGCTGAGGCAAGAGAATCACTTGAACCCGGGAGACGGAGGTTGCAGTGAACCGAGATTGCACCACTGCACTCCAGCCTAGGCGACAGAGTGGGACTGTCTCAAAAAAAAAAACCTCAAGTTCAAGGTGACTTTTCTTAAAAGTTGCTATCCATTTGCAGCCCACTCCAGGTGGCTTATCCAAAGGTTAAGCAACTAAAAGAGCCTTTTAAGAAAATCTACCAGCTAGGCATGGTGGCTCATGCCTGTAATCCCAGCATTTTGGAAGGCTGAGGCAGGAAGATCACTTGAGGCCAGGAGTTCGAGATCAGCCTGGGCAACCTAGGGCATCTATGTTTACCCCATCTTTACAAAAATAAAAAAATTAGCTGGGCATGGTGACAAGCACCTGTAATCCCAGCTACTTGGGAGGCTTAGGTAGGAGGATTGCTTGGGCCTAGGAGGCGGAGGGTGCAGTGAGCTACGATTATGCCACTGCACTCCAGCCTGGGCAACAGAGCAAGACGCAGTCTCAGAAAAAAAAAAAAAAAAAAGAAAAAAGAAAAGCTACCATCTTATTTTCCACCTTGGACTCATGGATCAACTGCCCTACAAGACTGAAATCTGGGGGTGTGGAGTGGAGTCTTAGTCACCTCATGTGCCTAGCACATATCAGTGACTCAGTAAATCTGTTTCACTGAATCAATCAACGAATGGGTGAATAAATGCCAGGAATACGAAAATTTAACTAACTTGCCACACTCAAATGCTTCCTGGTTAGCACACTGGATGACAATGAACAGAAGGTACATGAATGCTGACAGTATACATCCAACAGGTGACAGAGGCTCATCACACTATGAGACATCCACTGGCTTCCGGTTTCCAGCACCAAAGCAGTGTGGCAAAGAATGCAAACCAATGTTGCTTTCTTTGGAAAACATAAAAAGAAGCGAGCCATTCATAGTCTTTTTTTCCATCTTTTGCCAACCAGAGGAGTGAAAGTAAATCTGTTCACTCCATGCTGGAGCAGTTCTTTGGGCATGGATGCCGTGCTCAAAGGCCACCACCTGCAAGAAGGCTGGGGCGTCCAGCCTCCACTGCCAGCAGAAGTCAGCCTCCTTACCTGCCGTCGCCTGGGCTCGGCCCCTGCTCCAGTATGCCCGCGGAAGAGGGGACAGTCCCACCCCCAGAGCTGCTTTCAGCCCTAGAGCTCTGGGGAGGGGGCTCTGGGCCAGCGGGCACCACGGTGCTGCCATCTGTGGGCGGAAGTGGCGGCTGGAAAGCGGGGGATATGTGCTTTCTATTTAGAGTGCCACCCCGCCGGTGGGCCTGGAAGTCCATAAGCTTCACACCAAAGCTACACAGAGAGAAGAAACAGTCAACACACCATGCGAGCAGACTACTGAGACAGAAGCCCATCGGTCCACATGTGTTAAAACCACACATGGGGATAGCCACCCAAGCTGCCCGGCATGCAGTGAAGCGGCAAGGACCAGACTAATGGCCACCCCTGAGCAACTCCACTCGGCTTCAAGCCTGAGCAAAGCCAATGAACCTGGTACTGTTCAATGTCTTTGATCAATTTGGGTGTGAGCAGCTAAAAGCAAATAGGCAGGCCTCATCTTGAATGACATCATGTTAGTGTGTTTATCCCCATACTTCCTCTGCTGTTTTTTTCCCCCTTTAGACATGTGGTCTCACTCCACCACCCAGGCTGGAGTGCTTGGCACTCCAGTGGAGCAATCATAGCTCACTACAGTGCCAAACTCCTGGGCTCAAACAATCCTCCAGCCTCAGCCTCTGGAGCAGCTTGGACTACTGGCACACATCACCATACTGGGATACTAAAAAAAAATTTTTTTTTGTAGAGATGCGGTCTCACTACATTGCCCAGGCTGATGTCAAACTCCTGGCCTCAAGTATTCCTCCTGCCTTGGTCTCTCAAAGTGCTGGGATTACAGGCATAAGTCACCACATCCGGCCTATTTCCATACTTCCTAGTTCCCATCTCAAATCTGTTTTTGGGGAATGACACAGAAGTCAAGTCCAGAAGGCCTACCAATGGCAGTGTAAGGTTATCACACCACACTGCCTCTTAACTGAGATGAGATGTAGAAACAATCCTATGTGCATATGCAGACTACATGTGAAAGGTACATAAGGCTGGAAAAGCTGGGCATGGTAGCTCACACCTGTAATCTTAGCACTTTGGGAGGACAAGGTGGGAGGATCGCTTTAGCTTGGAAATTCAAGACCAGCTTGGGAAACATCGTGAGGCCCTGTCTCTACAAAAAACTATTTTTTTAGAAAATTAGCTGCGTGAGGTGGTGCGTGCCTATAGTCCCAGCTAGTCAGGTGTGTGAGGTGGGAGGGCTGCCTGAGCCCAGGAGGTCAAGGCTGCTGTGAGCCATGATCATACCACTGCACTCTAGCCTGGGCACATAACCCTGTCTCAAAAAAACAAAAACCAAAAAGACTGGAAAAAGCCGTTGCTTTGGGGAAGGGAATGGTGGCTGGATGTGGCTGGAGAGGGTGGAAGGAAGGCTGACTTTTCACTTAAGGCGACTGATCTATGAACTTAACAACTTTTTCTTTCAGTTCAAAAAGTAAAAAGATACCTGGCTTCTTGAGCTCGTGCTTACTGGGTCAGCTGGCAGGGAGAATACACAAGGCAGGTAACTGAGAATTGTCTGTCACGTGCTAACTAGACTCATGCACTGTATTCTGTAACTTAAAATATATGAAAGCTAATTTTGTTACAGGTAGAGTCTGTCATCAGGAAATACTACTGAATGTATGAATGAGGGTTCAGAGAGGTAATACGTCTGCATAGAATAAATGTGGATTTTGGAAGGACAGAATAGGGACAGAATAATGCATTCTCCTTTGCTAGGGGTAAAAAATGCAATACAAAGAACAAGAAACAAACAGCACACCTCACTATAAGACTGAGCAATTAAAATAAGAGCTTGTCACTTCGTTTTAATGTAAAACTATTTCTAGTAGTATTATTTAATATACCAAGAAAAGCATATTACTTCCAACAGGCCTCTTAACTGTTAGCATTCCTAGTGAGTACAGTGGCATTTCATCACACACATGGGACAGGTTGGCATCCAAAGGCACAAATTACAAACAGTCTTAATCACCCTTGAAAATCCCATGAATTGCCCATAGAAAAGAGTATATAGAGACACACTGCTTCTCACTAAGTTCAACACTGCCATTTTTTTTTCTTCTAGAATTGGCAAATACTGAGGTTTTTCCCACTGAACATCAAATTCAGTGGTTGGCTTCCATTGTGGGGCCACATTATACCAGAAATATGTCTCCTTAAACGCCAAATCACTCAACTCACTGTGCCAGGTGGGTGTTCTCACACTCAATTCTGGACAAAAGTCCACACTATTGAATTTATTTTCCTTTCTGTTTCCCCCCACTCACGTACATCTGGGTCACTTTTAACATGTGTATGATGCCGTTCCACTGCAGGGCTTACCAAGCACACCACCAAGTTAAGCTGGAATACACGTGGAAGAAACGTTAACTGAGAAGCTACACACTGACTTTATGGTGAGATTAGTGCTTGGAATGACCTACAGCAGAATTCCAGAAACTATCTGGACACCATCAGTCATGGGTGGATGGCGACCACTCTCAAATCCCAAGTCCACTGAGCGATACCAGATACCACGGGTCTAACAACATATTTACTGCTGGTTTGGAAGTGAACGGTCAAATCATACCTTTCCTTCTTCACCAAGTCTCCTTCCATCACCGCCATGCTAGCAGGCCGCTTCCTCTCCAGGGTCCCCGAGTCAGAGTCGTTTCCAGTGTGGAATGAGTGATTAGAACTCGGGGTGGTGAGAGGTACAAATGCTTCTGATACATTAAATTCCACCTCTGCAAGAGGAAAAATAAACAAGTGCATGAGACACTGAGCACAGCAGGCGAGGGAGCTCTAAGACACCCCTCATTGGAACGGGAACCTCGTTCTTCAGTCCACAGCCCTCACTATTTCAAAGTGGAAGCTCCAGGCACTCACATCGCAAGAATGGTCCATCAAACCAGTGGGAAGTAATGTTAAGAGGACAAGACAGGGGAAGAAGTATGGGTCAGAATATAAGTTACACACTTTTGTGCTTTCTCTTTTGTGGAAAAAAAATAAATAAAAACAAATCTAGAATGTAGAAGAGGACGATGAGCACAGATCACTTATTTGAATCATTCAAAAAGAGACATTTAGCTGGGTGTGGTGGCTCATGCCTGCAATCTCAGCACTTTGGGAGGCCAAGGCAGGCGGATCACTTGAGGTCAGGAGTTCAAGACCAGCCTGGCCAAGAACGTGAAACCCCGTCTCTACTAAAAATACAAAAAATTAGCTGGGCATGGTGATGTATGCCTGTATTCCCAGCTACTCAGGAGGCTGAGGCAGGAGAATCGCTTGAACCTGGGAGGCAGAGGTTGCAGTGGGCCGAGATCGCGCCACTGCACTTCAGCCTGGGCGACAGAGCAAGACTCTGTCTCAAAAAAAAAAAAAAAAAGAGAGATATTTACACTTTAATATAAAATAGAAATAAAAGGCAACATCAAGTTCATACTGCCTTTAGCAGTTTTTGCAAGAATCATTTCCTCAAAGGAAACCTTGAGCAGAATGCTAGCATTCGCTCATCCATCCCATCCTCACTGGGCAACCTATATGAATGAGGCGTGATTCCTGATGGTGACAAAACAGTGGTAAAGAAAAGATGGGCTCAGTGGTGAGGGAAAGATGGGTATCATGGGGCTTGCACCCCACGGGACATGGCAGCAGGGTTGCTCTGGGGGAAGTAGGTGTGGGGGATCCGGAATTCCAACACTTGCCTGGCCAGCATCCCCAAAGGGGGCCATGGGAACCTCTGTGGATCCCAGAACTGCAACAAACCTAGTTTGAAAATCTATTGCCAGCAGGATGAAATACTAATTCCCTGACACAGCCAACTCAGGCCTTCACCAGCTGGCCCCGATCAACCTTTCCTGCTTTATCTCCTATCTATGGGCAAATCCATAATCTAGCTAGAGAAACAAGCCCTCTTCCAAGTGAAAAACTCCAGCATATTCAACATCGCCTCTTCTAAAAACCAATCCCTGGTTCCCTTTTCCCAGCACTTGAGTTTGTCAAATCTTTCTCCATCCACCTATCTTCTAATGTGCCTTGTGTTATAATTTATCTGTTCATGTGGCCATCTTCTCCAGTGGCCGGAGTTCCCCCAGGTAAGACGGCATGTTTCACCAGCAAACATATGGCACCCAGTGGGTATTCAACATACACTGACTGGCTATGTTTTAGTGAAACTAAGTGAAATACAATACAATATGATTACCATCATGTCAAAATACAAATGCAATGAACAAAGGCTGGAAAGAAACATGAAAAAGTGAAACCAATTACGTAATCATGAAGAAGGATTACAGATGTATTCTCTTAAGAAGACTTTTTGTACGATTATCACATTGCTTTGGCGGTCAATGAAACTGAAGTGAGAATTACCTTCAGGGAAGAACCAGTCGGCATGCTGAATGATGGGTTCAATCACTGCAACCACATGGACGGATGTGGCTGCTGCCATTTCAGCAAGTGTTCTGCAAAGCAAGTTCACAAAATTAAAATACTTCCTGTAGGCAGCATCTAATTTCTTCTGGTTGTGTCAGGGCAATTCAATTATTTTTAAAGGATAAAATATTTAAAAGATGCAAAAATCAAAATCACTGGCCGGGTGTGGTGGCTCACACCTGTAACCCCAGCACTTTGGGAGGCTGAGGCGGGCGGATCACAAGGTCAAGAGATCGAGACAATCCTGGCCAACATGGTGAAACCCCGTCTGTACTAAAAATACAAAAATTAGCCAGGCGTGGTGGTGCGTTCGCATAGTCCCAGCTACTCGGGAGGCTGAGGCAGGAGAATCGCTTGAACCCGGAAGATGGAGGTTGCAGTGAGCCAAGATCAGGCCACTGCACTCCAGCCTAGTGACAGAGCGAAACTCTGTCTCAAAAAAAAAAAAAAAAAATCAAATTCACATGGTCCTGGTCTATGAATGTGGCCGTGATCACCCAGGAAAAAATGACTCTGGCTTGGCTGCTCCTTAGTGTGCACTGTGATAACAACCACAGTGTCTGCTACACACAGACCCTGGGGGCAGCAAAACCAGTCAGTCAACAATGCTGTGTCAAATGCTGGTTTTAAACTGGTCTGTAAAGAGGGTTGCACTTTCCCACTGGAATAGCATCACACATGGGTGGTAGCTATGTTCTAAGACTAAAGATTACTAAAAAGCAATTTTGCCTACGATATCACCAAGAACATGCATTGTTACAGTGTGCCTTTTATTTTTTATTTTTTTATTTTTTATTTTTTGAGACAGAATCTCGCTCTATCGCCCAGGCTGGAGTGCAGTGGCGCTATCTCAGCTCACTGCAAGCTCCGCCTCCTGGGTTCACACCATTCTCCTGCCTCAGCCTCCCGAGTAGCTGGGACTACAGGCACCTGCCACCGCGCCCAGCTAATTTTTTGTATTTTTAGTAGAGACAGGGTTTCACGGTGTTAGCCAGGATGGTCTCGATCTCCTGACCTTGTGATCTGCCCGTCTCGGCCTCCCAAAGTGCTGGGATTACAGGCGTGAGCCACCGCGCCTGGCAAATGTGCCTTTTATTATGTTGAAACCTGAGCCTCCCATTCACACGTAAGGTCATCATATATGTGGACTAGTCTCAAGATGAGTGTTCAGATGTTAATAGTGTCTGACGCCAAGGCTCAAAAAGAAGAAAATAAGTAGGCCAGACGCAGTGGCTCACACCTGTAATCCCAGCACTTTGGGAGGCTGAGGCAGTTAGACCAGGAGTTCAAGACCAGCCTGGACAACATAGTGAAATCCCATCTCTACAAAAATACAAAAATTGGCCAGGTGTGGTGGCATGCATCTGTATTCCCAGCTACCGGAGAGGCTGGGGTTGGAGGATAGCCTGAGCCCAGGAGGTTGCGGCTGCAGTGAGCCATGATCACACCACTGCACTCCAGCCTGGAGAACAAAGCGAGAACTTGTCTCAAAAAAAAAAAGAAAGGAAGAAAGAAGAAGAAGAAGAAGAAAAAAGTAAGAGTTATTATCACTGCTATCAAGCTCCTGTTTCAGCTGAGAGTCAGAACACCACAAAAGCAAACCACCTGCAAAAGGCCTGACACTTTCTGGCCACCTACCAGGCTTCAGGTTCTTCACCTCGCTTAATTTTTACAACAACCCGTTATGAGGCCTACATGAGGACACTGGGTTCCCAAGCTCAATCCCAGGTCTGACTGCCTCAAACCTCTCCTCTCCTATCACTCTGACCTCTCTTCCCATCAGAGTATTTTCACCCACTTTCCGACCAAGTAAAATTTCTTGCTCCTTTCAAATTCCAGCTTAAAATTGAAGCTCTGCCTGTAAATGATCCTTCCCAGCCTTCCTCCCATGTGGAATCTGATCAGTCTGTGTGCCTTAAAACTCTGCTGGATTAGGGAGGAACTGTCCTCTCCATCCTTTCCCATTTTTCTTTTAGGAGAGTACTGGAAAGCTAATAAGGGTTAATAAGGACACAGGCTCTGTATCCAGAACCTGGGCACACCAGTTCCCTGCTGTGTGACCTTAAGCAAATTACTTTTTCTTTCTAAGAGTCAGCGTCCTCATCTGCAAAAACAAGGACAACAGTATAAATGTCAATGATTCAACCTCTATTTGCTATATATTTCTAATCAATTTCTCCTTTATGTCCTCTATTCAAAAGGTTACTTCTGATTACTAAATGAGATCATCACAATGCCATCCACAGAGTGACAATTTCCCAGAAGCTTTCCAGCGGATCCCCCGACCCCTCCTCTATTCAATCTACATTTTGCAATGCCAATAAAGTTATCTAAGTGCAACTTAAGACATTATTCTGCTTAGGAACCTTAATGAATGACTCCCCACCACCCAGAAAATAAGTCCCAGACACCTCAGTACAATGTGTGAGGCCCTTGAAGGCTCTGGCCTTCCCAGTCACAGCCTCATGTTCTCTGTCTTCAAGTTTCACGAAGCCACGTGACATGCCCATAAACGATGGAAACCAGGCCCTTTCAACAGTGTCTTGGCCCATCCAGGTCCTGGCTGTACGAAACTGTTAACTCATCAAGGTACAGCTCCAGTGCCATTCCCTAACCAGAGCTTTCCCTGACTTCTCAGCCTGAATTATGTTTCTTTACCTCTGCTGCCGTCATACTTGATAAAGGGGGCAGAATACGCTATCCCAAAATATGCTCCTTAGGCATAGGATTATTTTGAGTTAAAGACACTTGAAAACCATCACATGCAAGAAGAGGGCTCCGACCTTCCTTTTTCATCCTGAAAGCAGGAGATAAACTCCCATGTGAAGGATGCCCTCCTTATACCAGGAGGAAAGAAACATTCCTAACACCAGGGACGGGGAGGCAAGGCTGAGGGAAACCTCCATAAACAAACCTTGCTGAACGAATCCTTATCTTCCTAGTCACTTCTCCACAACTAACTGCCCTAGCCCATGCTCCTTTGTCTGGTCACGTTTTCACAATTTACTTTTTGTCCAACTTCATATATAAGCATTCAGTTCCACCTGCTTCTTTGGATCTTCCTTTTCCTATGGGAACTCCAATGTCAGACATGACACTGATGCTTCAAATTCATCATAATATACGTGAAATCCCATTCCCAGTAGTCCCAAGTTACTCTCCAAAGTGATGTGTTTTTTTATTAATGTGCTAAGTAGGCATGAATTAAATGGCTTCTCTGCTGGGCATTAAAATGTAAAAATCTGTATGCTTTCTCCTGTTAACCTGTCTTATGTCCATTTAGTTCTCAGGCCCAGCCAGACACCCTAAGAGGGTGGAAGTGCTACCCCTCCTACAATATCATATATACACACACATAAATATGTGTATTTTTCTTATCACTGTACTGTAGCCACTGAGCTATCTGACTGCCTAAGAGCAGGGGCATTTTGAGAACTGGGACAATGTCTCACACATCTTTGTGTCACCACCAGCTGGGACAGCACCCAGCTCACAGCTGTGTTCCAAGAATATAGGCTGAATGAGAAAACCAACTTCAGAATACCTTGAATTGATCTTAAACTAGAATGTGTAACCTGAGTTACATTTCTATGCATCCCATCAGGTGGGAAAGAAGAAATTCAAATGATACAGAGAAAGATGACTTACCCTTCATTTCTGGCCCATAACAAGTTAGGGCCTAACACAATCGCAATGTTGCTGGGAGTCATTTTATTCACATCGCTGGTCTGAGCAAGCTTTGCAAGGAACTTGATCAAATATCTAGGGGTCAAAAGAGAAGGGGAGGGTTTCTCCTCTGAAATAGCTGCTGGAATGTTCTCTTCCTGCCTGGGTGCACAATCCCAGTTTGCTCAGGTGCTAACTGCAGAGGGTTCCTAAATCAGAATCTGGCTCAGGTGAAGCATTTTATACATTTCTTGTGTTCTTTGCTTCAGATAATAGACTAATTAGGGCTTGGAAGAAGAAAATAGGTTAAGTCTAAATCTCAGTGATTTGAACCCCTATTGGCTGTATATTTCTAATCAATTTCTCCTTTATGTCCTATCTATTCTACCCCTATTATAAGTTATAATGTGTTAATAGTGAGCTCAATATTTTTAAATACAAAAACAGACACAGTTATATTGCTTACAGGAAACTGTATTTGAAAACACTTTATGGTGGAATTATAAAAATATCCAATTTATCATATATACCTACCTTATGTATAAGTACAGTCATATAAAGGCAAAAACGTAAGAACAACCTATCAATAGGGAGCTGCTTAAATAAATCACAGTATATCCATACAGTGGAGGACTATGCTACCATCATTACAAAATGTACTGAGAAGGAAAAATCTCCAAGATGTATTACGCAAATACCTTAAGCTGTCAAGCAAAAAAGGTAAGGGGGAGAATGACGTATACAATATACACTACCATTTGGTTTTTTAAAAAGGGGGTGTGAGAGGAAAAACACACAGGCAAGTATGTACACACGAATGTATCTGCTTACGTCTACATTAACTCTTGCTGAGAGGATATATAAGAAACTGTAAACACTGGATGCATCCCAGGAGAGGAACTGGGTGGCTGGGGTATGGGAACAGGAGAGAGATTTTTCATCGTATACCATTTGAATTTTGAACCATGGGAATGTGCTCCCTATTCAAAAATCAATTAGTAACAATTACAGAGTAAAATAAACAAAATAAAGAGCCAAACTCTCAACATACTAAGAAGTACTGAGCTCTCACCATATACACTGAATAGAGGAAGAGTATCTGTAATTCCAAGGTGGGTGAGTTAAATTAATCAAAGGGAATATTTAAAAGGCAGTATGTAGCTTAGCTTAGTAGGAGAGCCCAAGGCGGAATTTAAGGACAAGTAACATTCCAGGCATATCACCTGTAAACTATTCTGACTGGTCACTTAATGTCACTCAAAACCAAACAAGGAAAATTTTCTAGGGGCACTTTCTAGAAAATTTTCTTTGTTTGGTTTTGAGTGACTTTACCACCTGAGGCCACTTTTTCCTTTTCTCTATACTTGTTCAAAGTTACATATTAAGTCAAAAGGAAAACAGAAGTTACATTATGGAAGTTTTGTCCCATGGTAAATTTTCTTAAAACCACAGTTATTCCACAAAGCAATATATAATCTCCATTCTTTGAAATTTTATTTAGTAAGATGATTTATACTTTAAATTAAGTAGCATATATAAAAGACATTACAGAATGTACAATTATTGATTAATTTTGCCTTTTAACATACTGGATGATTTGGACTCCAAACCCAACATACAGTCACTCAAACTTTTCACAAGAAATTTATTGCTAATAGCTGTAGTGGGAAAATGATAAGCCAACTTACGTATTAATGTCAGGCATGATACTGATGCTTCAAATTCATCATAATATACATGAAATCCCATTCCCAGTAGCCCCAAGTTACTCTCCAAAGTGATGTGGTTTTTTTTGTTGTTGTTGTTGTTTTTTAATGTGCCAAGTATGCCTGAATTAAATGACTTCTCTGCTGGGCATTAAACTTATCTTCACTCCAGAGTCATTGTAGCTCAATCATACATACCTAAAGTTAACAAAATTTTGTGGTGGCAACTTCTGACATGTTCTCCACAAGTCTTGAAGTTTTTTGTCTTGATCCTGCACACTGAGAACAAAAACTTTTAAGTACAACAACTTATTAAGACACCAATTATCTTATTAATATGCTATGTTAAAAATGAGGCCTCCATTTTGACAGAGAAAGCACAGTTGGAAAACAGCCCATGCTATGGAAATAAACAGATTTAGAGTCAAATACCAATTAACTGTTTAACTCTGCGCAGTTGGTTAACCTTCAATCTCTGGATGTGCAAAACAGGGTAAGTGTTGATTCTGCTGAACGATTTTGAGGCGTCTGTGACAAAACCACCTCCACCAATGCTTGGCACAGAAGAGACAAGACACTACTGAAAATTCTGTCTAGAAAAAGTGTGTACTGACGTATGGCTTTACAGAACCCAAATTCTCCTACCCTCAAGCAGCCCAGCCACAGATCAGGGGGCTGAGCTCCCAGGCACCCAGACCTCTGGGTCTTTCCTCGCTTGCAATACTGCAAACTGGCTGCACATCAAGCAGCCCATTTCTGTTGTGAAGCAACTGTAAGAGCTCTTGCACTCCACAGGCGCAACGTACAAACTTGCAGAGACATAAAAAAGGGGCAGTGAGGAGCCTGTAGAGCACGGCCAACTCTGCCCACTAGGGACCAAGAGTGTTAAAGGGGCCTCTATAACACCACTTTGAACGTGAAATATCCTCCAGAACAGAACCATTCTGGAGAACATGGATAGGGATTAAACATAATTACACTTTAGAGGCCAGTCGATGTGTTACTGGGATGGAAGCCCACCCATATTGACAATTCTCAACTATAGAATCAATATACCAACAGATAGACGCCTTCTTTTACAAGTTTATTTCCTTGTAATAAACAAGGAAATCTTTTATTGGGTAGGAGGCTAGCCAATAAAAGAAATCCCACAACTCTCTTCTACCTAACACTGATGTTGGATTCTACTGAATTCTGTCCCATAAACATTAATACTGACAGCAGGCTGGGCCCCAGGCAGGGTTCCAAGGATACGTGATGACTAAGAACTTGTCTCTGAACTTAAAAACCTCACCATCTACCAGGGACAAAGTCTCATTCCACAATTACAGAGAAAAGCTCAAATGCGGCTGAGCGCGGTGGTTTATGCCAGTAATCCCAGCAGTTTGGGAGGCCGAGGCAGGCAGATTGCCTGAGGTCAGGAGTTTGAGACCAGTCTGGCCAACATGGTGAAACCTTGTCTCTACTAAAAATACAAAAAAATTAGCCAGGCATGGTGGTGTGCGCCTGTAATCCCAGCTACTCAGGAGGCTGAGGCAGGGGAATTGCTTGAACCAGGGAGGTGGAGGTTGCAGTGACCCTAGACTGTGCCACTGCACTCCAGCCTGGGCGACAGAGTGGGACTCCAACTCAAAAAAAAAAAAAAAAAAAAAAGAAAAAAGCTCAAATGCAAAACCTGGTTAAAGACACAAGCGATGGACTCACATCCACTGAAGTGTAACTGATCAGAAATAAGTGGCTCTTATTTGATCATGGCCTGCCTGCAGGGAACAGGGGCAGTGTCCGTAGACGGGGAAGAGGACAGAACAGAGGTGAGATTTGTTCCTCTTCCCTTAGTGGTGAGGAGTAGGCACTCTGGAGAGGAGGGGAGTCAGCGCCATGAGAAAAAAGACGAGGAGGTGGGCTGGCCAGCCAAGCAGAAGCCTCTAGGCTTTTTAAACAAAGCTGTCCTGCTTAAAATCATCTGTTCCTAGACAGACTGAAGCTGAGGGTGGAGGGAAAGGGACGAAGTAGAGGAATATAGCATTTGGGTCTGTCTGGTTTGAATTCTAGCTCTGCCAATTACTTGCTACTCTCCTGGCCCTGTTCCCTCCCAAGCCTCAGTTTCCTCTCTGTAAAATGTGGATCACAACATCATCTGCCTTTTATAACGTTAATTAAAGATTACAGGAGGTAATAGCTACAAAGATGAGCACAGTACTTAGCACAAGAAAATGCTCAGTAAATATTAATGTCATCATTATACAGCTGACAACACAAGGTCCACTTATATGCAAATTTTTCAATAAACATATAGGAAAATTCCTGGAGATCTCGGACAATCTGAAAAAACTCACAGATGAACTGCCACCCCTGAAACAGGAAGACCAACCCCTTCACTTTCTCTGCTTCTTCAACCTACTCGACATGAAGACAAGGATGAAGACCTTTAAGATGATCCACTTCCCCTTAATGAATAGTAAACAGATTGTCTCCTCCTTACAATTTTCTTAATAGTACTTTTTCTCTAGCTTATCTATTGTAAGAATACAGTATATAATACATACAACATACAAAATATGTGTTAATTGACTAGGTTATCAGTAAGGCTTCCAGTCAACAGTATGCTATTAGTTGTTTTGAGGGAGTTAAAAGTATACTTGAATTTGCAATTATGTAGGGTATCAATGCCCCTAATCCCCATGCTGTTTAAAGGCCAACTGTATTATCGCACAGGTGAGACTGCACACAGCTCAAAAGGCACACTGCCACGGGTCAGTATGACCCCTATCCCCAGTTACAGGGCTTTCTTCAACATAAAGGGGGCTGGAAATTTGCAAATCCATTAATGTGGGTACCACTCTATGTCTTCATCCACCTAAATAACACAAATTTAAACCAATGCCTACGTGGTGACTTTCCTACACTAATAATTATAATACTTGATATTTTTATTCTAAACATAAATAAGAGCTGAGACATGTATTATTTAACAAATACGCTATTTTAATCTTATGATCCCTGAGAATAAAATGATTTGCAAATAGGGCACAATATCACTTCATTCCCTTTAACATTTACAACTCTGTGTTCTTTAAACTTACCTTGCAACTTGTGTCCATTCTTCATACAGATTAAAAGTCATCAAAGGTTCAGGCAATTCCCGTAAATAGGATTTTAAAGCACCTGAAATCATTAACACTCTCTTTGAGTATGAAAAAGGGGTAAGGCTAGGAATCTTGGGACATATTATTTTGCAAATTGAAATGATCTCAATAACGATCTTCCAAGGTGTACATAACAAATCATAAGTTGGCAAGAGTTGTTAGAGACTAAAATGTTCATAAAACAAATTCAATCTCTGAAAAAAAAAAGTTTTAAGAGATCAATTACAAATAAAATTAGTTTTAAAGTCATCCCCTTAACAGACATAATTTCTCCAGGTAGAAAGGAATTTGGTGGGGGGAGACTGTGAAAGATGGGAAGAAAATACAAATATGTCTCCAAATATTTGCATTATAAGCTACTCTCTCTTTTAATCATCAAAATAGAAAAACAGAAAAGGAGTAAAGAAGACACAGTGTACATTACATTGTATATACACTAAGGAATTGTAGCAAGAGCCACTTCGGTTTTGTCACTTAAACCTGTAACTGAAATTGGATTTTAACTGACCATCTGTCTGAGACAGAACCTGCCCACCGCCTTGAGGGTGACTTGATTTGCAGACACTCTTTGGCGCTCACCTGCTACAGCATGGGGGTCTGAATAGAACTCATCCAGGTGAGAAGTAGAACAGTCCAAAGCAGCTTTCAGCTTCTTTAACTTGGAGGCCCCAGCCCCAATTCGGAAAAGGCCCTAAAGATAATGAAAAGCCATCAGCATCAAGTGCAGGTTGGGACACTCAGACTAAGTGGCAGTGTGTTCTGATGGGTATTTCCTGACTTCCGCTCACCTCCTGTCTATGAAAGCAGTGTTACTGCCTGCCCTGCAGGGCTGTCAGGAGGAATGATGAGGGCTGAGCACGCACCCAAGCACAGGGACAGGCAGGAAGAAAATTAATCTGGGCAGAGTTTCTTGACCTCAGCACTATGGACATTTTAGGCTGGATGATTTTTTGTTGGAGGTTGTCCTGTGCCCTGTAGGATGTTTAGCAGAATCCATGGTGATATGGTTTGGTTCTGTGTCCCCACCCAAATCTCATGTGGAAGTATGATCTCCAGTGTTGAAGGCAGGGCCTGGTGGGAGGTGACTGGATCATGGGGGTGGATTTCCCTTTTGCTGTTCTTGTGATAGTGAGTGAGATCTCACATGATCTGGTTGTTTGAAAGTGTGTAGCAACTCCCCCTTTGTGCGCATGCTCGCTCTTTCCCTCCTGTTCCACCACGTGAACACTGCCTGCTTCCCCTTCCGCCATGACTGTAAGTTTCCTGAGGCCTCTCCAGCCACGATTCCTGTACAGCCTGTGGAACTGTGAGTCAGGTAAAGCTCTTTTCGTCATAAATTACCCAGGCTCAGGTAGTTCTTTACAGCAGTGTGAGAATGGACGAATACACATGGCCTCTACTACTAGATGACAGTAACACCTCCTCTTCTCAGTTGTGATGATCCAAAATACCTCCAGACCTTGACAAATGTCTCCTGGGGAGCAAATCTGGCCCCAGACAAGAAGCACCAATGTAGGCTGTTAGAAGGGGAGTGGCTGGAAGCAAACACAAGGAGGGCTTCCGGGATGTTCTTTGATCTGAGCGCCGACTCCATGGGTGGGTTTAGTCATGCAAGCACATCAAGCTGTACACCTATGATATGTATGCTTTTCTGTATGTACGTTCTATTTCAATACAAAGCTTTAAAAAGGAAAAAAAAAAAGCCTTGCATTTTGATTCTAGCTCTGACCTGGAGTAAACTCCCTGCATGCTGACTTCCTTATTTATACAAGAAGAGTAATAAAAACTCCCTTATTTGGTTCATGGGGGGTTTGGGGTAAGAATCCTGTAAAATTAAGTATGTAAATGACCTCCAACCAAAAAAACTGCATAATACTATGCAAATGTAAACTAAAGCTCCTTAGCCCATTAGTGCGTCACGAAATCTATTGTCACAAATCACAACCAGAGTTTTAAATGAAACAATCAAACAGGACACAAAGAGGTCAGGGTGTACCACAATCAGGAAAGGTAAACATTGTTTTGTAAAACCTTTGTTTCATTCATAGACAGATAGGTATCATAGGGAACAGGGTTGCAATTTAAAATATGGATCATGGTGACAAAAGCTTGAAAGCCACTGTTCTACACAAAACGGACAATGGCTGTATAACTAAGCAGGGGTGGACAGGGGGCTGGCGGGGAGCATGGTGCTCTGGGTACAACAAGGGGCATGGAGACTTGGTGCACAGGATCACGAAGCTCCCCTCACCTCCTCCTTCATGCCTGTCTCCAGAAGCAGCATGACACAGGCTTCAATGGGCAGCGCAATCTCGCGCCCGCTCCTCTTCAGGTGTTCTTCTAGGGGAGTCCCAAAGGCTGGTTTTTCCGCCCACTTATCTAGAGCAGCAAATTGTTCAGTTAGACACCCAACAAACTCACGGCATTACCAAGCTATTTTCTCCCCAACTACCCAATGGGCTTTTCTAGCCGACTGGTAGGTGAGGCTGTGCAAGAGGGGATACATCTGTTCTATTTGCTTTTGTTATTTGCCATCTACTGGAGCAGCAAACTATGGACCAGGCTGGGGCGGTTACTTGTGGAACAGAAGCCTGAGCGTACCTAGATGGCACCAACTCAGGCTGCCCAGAAGCTGCAGTGGCACGCTGCACCTGCACCACACTTCATCAACACACGCCAGCGGGTTTAGTGGGCTGCCTTGAACCAAAAGGAAGATTTGCCAGAGCATACCGTTTCGTTGAAAAGAAATTTATTCTAGCCATGCAAAGCCTTCTAGCTAGAGGACAAGAAATAGATTCTTTGCTATGCAAAAATGGAAATGATCTCTGAAAATTTCAAACACAAGTTAAGTATCTGTCATACAAGACTGGAGATGGCCAACGTGAACTCTCCACGTTGCAGTTACTCTCCATCAGATGCGACATCTCCGCGGCATGCAGTGCTTCAGAACACCGCATCCCCAAACAGCTCCGAAAAATTCTGAGTGGAAAGAAATGCAGCATCTGCAGCCCTAAAGCAGCTGAAGGCTATGCTGATGGCAGGAAAGCCATATTTTAGATTATCTTCAGGTTATGAGGCAGCTTAGCACAAATACAATGAAGCAGTAAAATAGAAAGAAGAATTTAGAGAACGGACATATGAATTAGAATAAGAAGTATCTGGTTGAATTTGGCCTGCCTGTGCAAGCTGCAGAGATCTAGTGCTATCTGAGCAGCTCGCAGAAGCAAAGGAGGGCAAACCAGTTGTGAAAACTGCTCCAGGGAGAAACACTTAAATCTTTCCAACAACAGGAAGGGTTCATGTCCTTCTCTGCACCTTTACTGGCCATTGGTCCCTTAGCAGCTCTGCTGTTAGAAAGCTGGGTTGGAAGAAGGCAGTATGTACTCTGGTGTGTCCTCTTACACTCTCTCCCATGTCACAGCAGGGGTAGATTTGCACATGGGGAAGGAAGAAAAATAAAATCCCACAAATCCATAGAACCGAGAGCTTGTGGAAAGGTAAAAATGGATGGAAAGAGCAAGAGGTAAAGACTGAAGAAAGGGGTGAGGGAAAGGAAGGTGGGGGACAAAAATGAGGTGCAGGCCACCAGCCACTCTCAGAATTGTGGGGAGCCCTCCTCGTCTCTGGCCCGGCCCCAGCTGGGGAATTTCCAATAGAAAACGCATCTGGGGGTCTGGACCTTCCCAGAGGTCAAATCTTACCTGAAATACTTTGTCCCTTTTATCTAAAGCAATAAGTTACAACACAGGCTGAAAATGGCCACGTGAGCCTTCCACTAGGGGATGCCCTGGAATCACCCAGGGGGGTTCTGCAAATGACACCCGCCATTGCCTTCACCACAAGCCCAACCCTGTAATGCTAAGGGGCGGGCATGCTTCAAACCTCTGCTGGAACTTTCTAGTAAACACTGGACAGAGTGTACCCCACCCCCAAGCCTGGTATAATGTTGACAGAGGGTGCAAGTGAGAACCACTGACCTAGAAGCAAGTCATAAGGCAAATTCCACCTCAGGCACTGGCCTCTCAAACAACAGACCTACTATGTGTCAGGTACTGCAGGAGGCATGTAAAGTTAACAGAGACTCCCTACCCTCAGGAAGAGGGCAATTGAATTGTGAAGGGAATATAAGACACACATGTAAACACAGAACAGTCAATAACAAGACAAGACATATTTGCTAAGTCATGGCAGATCGATGGTATAGACAAGGGTTGCAAATGCAATTGTCCAGAGGAGTCGGATAGGTAGCACAGGGGCACAAATCCTGCTGGGAGTGCACGATCTGCCGACAGGCGATAACCACTCCTCTGCACCAAACCAACACTGCCACGTGGGAAAGCAAAGCCAGTGTTGCCAGATGTTCTCAACTTTCAGGAGAAGCCAGAAATCAGAATTGTTACATCAAACCATCTGGTTTTCACATGATGACAACCAACTTTTAACAATTTTTAATGAGATATGGCTGTTTGCGACTTCTGGTGTAGACCATAAATGCTGGCACAATTCAAGAGGCAAAGTGTTTGCCATTGGCTTCAGCTGTCGGAGAAGGCTTCTCAAAGGAAATGAGGTTGGAGGGGGTCTCATGAGACGGACAGAGATTAAACAGGCTGAAAAACGGACAAACACATCTTTGTGAGGGGCAATCAGCTGAGAAAAGATCAGGAATTGTGAGTCTGGGAATTTACATCTTATCCCAAGTTCACGCCAAGGCCGTGAGAGCATGGAGCAGAGTGGGCCAGGGGAAGAGAGGATGACAGAGCCTAGGGCGAAATGGACAGAACCCAGGCACTGGATGGAAGAGAGGAAGGAGAAAAGGGTTCCAAGGTTAAGACCTGAATCACTTGGAGAAAGGTGATATAAGGGAGACAAGAAGGGAGAAAAGGGACAGTTGGAGTGGGAAGAGGACTGGTTTGCTTTTTGAGTTTAAGGTGAGTGCTGTTCATCAAAGGGAACCGATGCTTAGGAGGCTGCAAGGATTAAAATGCAGGTAAGAGGCAAAGCTGTCCAAGTAAGGGGATTTCTAGGGAAAAGGGGGCGAGGAAGTGAGGGTGGGAGAGAACAGAGGTGCAAGGACTGGACCTCAGAAAAGGCTGACTTCTGGGGTGGAGACAGAAATGAGCAATATATAATCCTTCTTGAAGAAAAATTTTTAAAAAGAAATGGAGCAATGCAGAGTCCTTACAATGAAAGAAGACAGTCGAGTGGCGTGAGGAGACAAAAATGAATAAGGAAGGGACGGCCCATGCCGGGTCAAATGCCAGGATCTGACGGGTGGTTGCTGGTCCTTTGAAAACTGCAGTATGTTTTGCTCTTTTTTCCTAAACAGCAGAGGGATTGGGGGTAGACACAAGAGTGCAAAGGATTCAGGAGTAGGAAGGTGGTAAGAAAATGCAGGTGGCAGGCAGGAAGGGGTCATCTGAAGTACCCACCAGAAAAAATGAAGGAGAACCAGATTAAACAGGACGCTGTGTTCAGGTCAGGAAGGTACCAGATTACCACCAACTGACCATGAATGTGACACCAGAGTCCACGGAGGTGAGGGGGCTGTGGGGGCAGGTCACACTTTTTTTATATAGTAAGGACAAGATAAGTCTTTCTGAAAACAGAGAAGACAGCAAGGAAAGAAAAGACAGAACTAAGATGAAAGGCAGGTACAAGGACAGGCAGAGGTGGGAGGGGTTGAATTGCAACTCGGTAAAGGGTGACCTCAGCAAGAAGGACAAATCGCACTTCCTCCACGGGCTGTTCCATCCTAACCTCTTTCCTGTCCCATCCCCGCTCTCCATGGCTTCCTGATGTATTTCTCTAGGGAAAATACCCTTGGGAAAAAAACAGAATGAGAGTTCTAGTCTAGCCTGGGCAACAGAGTGAGACTTTGTCTCTTTAAAACAAACAAACAAACAAAATGCGAAAAAAAATCCAATCTCTCGTTTTTCCTCTTGTTAATCAACTCTTTCAAATCAGACTCTCAGCCATTCAAAGGCTAAAATGATGATTTGTCTACTATTTTGTCCTATGCGGGGCCCAGCCCACAGCAGATATCTCATAAATATATTTTCTTGGTCCTCTGAACTTGCCCAGCAAGAGTCTGTCCCTAGAAAGGTGGGAACATTTTCCAGAGACCTCGTTCCTTTGCACTGTGACTCAACACCATCCTCCATGAACTAATAATCTTGATTATTTGGGAAGGCAAGGGCAATGGCTGAGAAAATCAGAAACACTGCCCCTGAGAATGCTGAAGATCTGACTATATGGTCAGGCAAGACATAAAATTTTATAATTCCATAATCCCAAAATTTTCAGGCACAAAGCCAGAACCTGTGAGGATCTCCTGGAACTTAGGGGGAGAAGAAGTCGCATTCTTGAAGGTGCTGGTATGTATGCACATCCACAAAGCATCCCCCCCACAACACACACAGACACATGCTCGGTCTCAAAATCACAAAGTCATCCCACTCAGCACCTGGCCTGATCCCCTTTCAGCTCAAGACCAGTGGTTCTGCAGAGGAGCATAAGCTCCAAATGTCAGGTCTACACCACAGGTGAAATAGATCCAAAGACGGCCGAGCAATTTCTGACTCAACAGCTGTGCTCATCTCTGCTGGTAAATGCTCTAATGGTAAATCAGAGAGACACAGCATCGAAAGCTTTAGGGAGAGAAAAAAAAAAAAGCAGCTTTAGATGCCCAACTTAAAATTCAACATAAGGGGAAAGTTCAGTCTGCACCTAACTTGCAGATACAATCTGCAGTGTGCTTGAATATGATAGGAGAAATATTAATGGTGATAAGAACAAAAGCTTAGTATAAAGACAAAGGAGGAGTCTGAACGAAGCGACCACGGTCTTAGGATTCAATCACACTTATTATTAAGTGTGACGTGCATGATGTGGCATCAAGTACTGGCTTCTCTTTTGGAAAGTCCAAAATATTTTCCCTAGAATGGATGCTCTTGGAGTCACATGGCCAGAATTAAGTCCTGTGGAACAAATAACTGATGTGGAAAAGGATCATTCAATGCTGGACTTTTTCAAGCCTACAGAAGATGGGAAAACACACAGGTACTCCCCAAAGAGGCCAGCTTTCTCTTCAACTGAAGGTTTCAGAAGAACTACAAATGTTCCATTAGTGTGTTAATTTGGGTTTGGAAGAAATTAGAGAATGCAGCAAGGAAGATGAAATTATGCTGGGAAACAGTACCCTCCTAGGCAGAGAAGCTTTATCCCAAGGACGTGCATGCAGAGGAGTCAGGGTGAAGAAGAACCCAGGCAGAGGTGGCAGAGGCAAGAAGGAAGCATCAGCCGCACGCGGGTTACATTACCTTGATGGGCTCGCATTTCGGGGAGGGTCTTTTCTAAGACTGCTAATGCTTTTCTATGGTAATCTGCTTGGGCTTCTAATAACTGAGAACAGACCCACATTCAAAAACAAAAGTAACGTTAGCATCGGATGGACACACACACAATGGCTGAGCAAAACTAAAAATGAAATCTTTTGCAAAAAAGCTAAAATGACTCCATTTTAACAATGCTTTAACATTTTCTCAAGGGAAGGTGCTTACCGTAACAAAGAATTTGCCATACTCCCCTTCTTTGGCCATAAAGTTGTACATGTCTGCTGCAAGTTGATCCTGGGTAAATGGAAGATAAGAGGTTATTGAAGAAAAAAGAAGTGAAACAAAATGGCATCTGAGAACAATCTCTGTGAGCTCTTAGATGAAAAAGTGATGGAAAGCACCACAGATTAAATGTCCATCAACTGCCTGGTACAACCATACAGAAAGAATAAGGAGGCTTCTTACATGACTGACAAAGAAAGATCTCCAAGATATATTTTAACACATCTGTTTAAGAAGCAAAGTACAGAGCATTACTTATGGTGTATTAACATCTGGGTTAAAAAAGGGGTGGAATGGCCGGGCACGATGGCTCATGCCTGTAATCCCAGCACTTTGGGAGGCTGAGATGGGCAGATTACCTGAGGTCAGGAGTTTGAGACCAGCCTGGCCAACATGGTGAAACCCCGTCTCTACTAAAAATACAAAAATTAGCCAGGCGTGGGGGCGGGCAGCTGTAATCCTAGCTACTCGGGAGGCTGAGGCAGGAGAATTGCTTGAGCCTGGGAGGTGGTGGTTGCAGTGAGCTGAGATCGTGTGCCACTGCACTCCAGCCTGGCCGATAGAGTGAGACTCTGTCTAAAAAAAGGCTGGGTGTGGTGGCTCACTTTGGCAGGCCAAGGTGGGCGGATCACAACGTCAGGAGATTGAGACCATCCTGACTAACACAGTGAAACCCTGTCGCTACTAAAAATACAAAAAATTAGCCAGGTATGGTGGCGGGCACCTGTAGTCCCAGCTACTTGGGAGGCTGAGGCAGGAGAATGGTGTGAACCCGGGAGGCAGAGCTTGCAGTGAGCCAAGATTGTGCCACTGCACTCCAGCCTGGCAACAGTGCAAGACTCCGTCTCCAAAGAAAAAAAAAAAGGCAGGGGGTGGGTGGAAGGGTATGTCATATTTTTATTTTGTTTTTATTTATTTTTTTGAGATAGAGTCTCACTCTGTCACCCAAGCTGAAGTGCAGTGGCACAATCTTGGCTCACTGAAACCTCCACCTCCCGGGTTCAAGGAATTCTCCTGTCTCAGCCACCCTAGTAGCTGGGATTACAGGCGTGTGCCACCACACTTTTTGTATTTTTGGTAGAGACAAGGTTTTGCCACGTTGGCCAGGCTGGTCTCAAACTCCTGGCCTCAAGTGATCCACCCACCCCAGCCTCCCAAAGTGCTAGGATTACAGGCGTGAGCCACCACACTCAGCAATGTCATATTGTTATTGTCACATATGTATAAAAATATGTCTTGACAAAAAAACAAGAAATTAGTACAGTTATTACCTATTGGGAGCAATGGAAATTAGGCAGGAGGAGGATAATGGTAGAAGAAAGACTTCACGGTACACTGTTTTACACTTTTTCATATCTGACCTAATGTAAATGAATTACATATATAAAAATTAAATAATTTTGTGAACAGTGACAGGCTGAGTGTGGTGGCTCACACCTACAATCCCAGCACTTTGGGAGGCTGAGGTGGGAGGATTGCTTGGAGCCAGGAATTTGAGAACAGCCTGGACAACAGAGCAAGATCTAGTCTCTAAGTAAAAAAAAAAAAAAATTTTTTTTTTTTTTTTTTTTTTTTTTGAGATGGAGTCTTGCTTGCTCTGTAGCCCAGGCTGGAGTCTGGTGGCGCAATCTTGGCCCACCGCAACCTCCATCTCCGGGGTTCAAGCGATTCTCCTGCCTCAGCCTCCTGAGTAGCTGGGACTACAGGTGCATACCACCATACTCAGCTAATATTTTTCTGTTTTTTAGTAGAGATGGAGTTTCATCATGTTGGTCAGCCTGGTTTTGAACTCCTGACCTCAAGTGATCCTCCCATCTCAGCCTCACAAAGTGCTAGGATTACAGATGTGAGCCACTGCACCTGGCCAAAAAGAAATTTTAAGTGACAGATTAGGCAATTAGGTACGTATTTCCAATCTTCAAATATAAATATACATAGGAATTTTATATATATATATATATATGAAAACTTATATGCCGGAAAATATATATGTAGAGAGAGTTTGTTTTTTTTTTAATGTAATGACTTCTGTTTTTGGCATCAAGGTACACAAATTAATGTGAAGGGCCTCCCATTTATGACAAAAACTTGGAAATGCTAGTTAGAAGTAATGAACATCCTTTTATAATAACTGGGAAAGCAATAAAGTAAATTCCTTGATTCCCCTCAACCCCACCATACACACACACACACAAAGAGAGAAAGAAGAAAAAGAAGCAGAAAGAAAGAAAAAGTCGGAATGCTAAGCATCAATGGAAGCTGGAGATGACCTGGGGCAGATTTGTGCCAGTCTTGGTGACCAAGGTGTCTGAAGCCTTGGGGACTAGTAAGGAGAAACAAGTACACATATATCATGCATAAAGATAAGATTCCTGAAGAACTGTACTCTCAACGAAACAACAGATTAGAACAAATGCACTTAGCATCACATGGAAATCATGGGGAAGTATGTCTGTTTTGGAATGGGCTTTAGGTCTGAGAAACATTGGCCAAGAGATTTCACAAAACATAGGCCTGCTTTCAGGAGGGTTTAAAGTTTAAATTTACTGACATGTGGTCCCAGAAACCCCAAACTGATTTAAGTTTAATTAAAAATGGACCTGGACTGGTAATACTCTCTGGGAAGTCTCATTCCCAATCCCTGATAGTCCCACAGATAAAGCCCCTCTTAAAATGAGTTCAAATAATTACAAAACACATGAGGAAATAATCCACCACAAGCAGACACCTACCACTCTCACAGAGAATTTCAGAAAACAGAATTAACAGAGATTATTAAATAAGTATGTTTAAAATGACTTAAAAGAAAGAAACACTAGAAAAGAATAATGTAGTATCAAAAAGATTTGAATAACTAGAACTTCAGAAATGGAAAATATAGTCAATGAAATTAAAAACTCAGTGTTATTTGAGTAGCAGATCAAACATAGCTAAAGAGAGAATCAGTGAAACAGAACATAGATCTGAGGAAATTACCCACAAGGTATGCATAGAGAGAGAAGGAGGCAGAAAATATTTTCTTAAGTTTTTACCACTTGAAATACTGACAAGTGTGGAAGTTGAGAGAACAGACATCAGCCCATGATGACTTCCTAAACCTCTACCCAAATTTGTGTGCAATAAGTAGGCAATAGCCAGGATCTAGGTTAGACCAGATATTAAGAAGACTGCTGGGTAAATGACACTGACAAAGCTACAACTCTTCAGACCACAAATAAGCCAATGTGACATTATTTTAGTAGAAGCATTTATCTGAATATCATCTTTTAAACATAAAAACTTTTTAAAACAAAGGCATAACTTTGTGAGTTTAGTTTTAATTTCTACCCACTATATTATTTTTATATTTTTCTTATATTTCTACCCACTATATTATTTTAAACAAGTCATTTAATTGCAGTTAACTGATCAAGGTTTGCTATTTTGAAAAGCAAAGTATGTCATGACCTAAATGAACTAAAATATAACAGTCTTAATATTAGCAGGAAATAAAAAAACAATTTTTTTAAAACAATGAAAAATAAGAGCAGGAAAAGTCTAAGTCAATCCAGACTTAAGACTCTAGATTGTCAAGACTCCCCGAAGACCTATTCCTTTACCATTTCAAATAATTTCACCTCAAATAACATTCAGAATGAACATCTATCTACACAGGTGGATGCAGAGAGAATGAGATCACTTGACCATCTAATTAATCTGTAATTTATGAGATAAAAAGCTCTATTTCTCCCAAATTACAAACCAATTGTTCAAGCAACATTTTAAAAGTAATCCTTATCTTCTCCAAGGACATATGAGCCATTTACTGTATATTAAATTTTACATTATAGCATTCATTCCAGAAAACCTATACTATTTCACTGATCTATTTTAATGCTTCTTATACAGTTTTACTTCTTTTTTCTTACTTTTGTATTTCTTATGCATTTTTAATCGCTGTAATTTTATTATATGTTTTGCTATGGTTTTCTTTCCTTTTTTCTGACTTCATCTTTAAATAAGCTTAGACATCTTGTCAAGTTTTTAAAAATATCCTATTTGAAATTTAAAATGTTTTATTCTGATCATAAAATAATATAGTCTTAGAGAAGAAGAAAATAAAACCTACCTTTAAAATCATTCAAAATATTCTGATAGAAATTATTTAAAACATTAAGTAACTTACATTTGAACTTTCATCCCTCATTTGCAAAAACCGAAAAGATACATTTATCAAGGAATTCTCATACCTTGCACTGTTCTACTTTATTTCCAGCTTCATCCATCTCTTCCTTTAGAGTATCTATTTTTGATGGAAGCCCCTGAAAGTTGGTTCCTGAGGATTTGTGAGCTTGGTTCCACCTGCAAAACAAAGGGGTCACCAGCATCTGAGAACCAGCTGTGTATACTCAACAGCTGGAGGCAGGACCTGGTGGAGATAGATCCTTCCCCACAATTGATTCTACCTGGAAGGGGTATCATTGCCCAGGATGCCAAATTCTCTTGAGCTTATTCTCTAAGAATGGAAGCAGGCAAAAGGAGACTTTAGCTTCTCACCATGACAGGACTCTCATAGTGCTAGGAGTAGTGGTCTGCTTTGAGCATAACCAACCACATCTTGTCTCACACAAACTCTACTACTGGAGAGAAATCCATGGAACCCCTTTCTTGTGGTGGCCAACCATGGAATCCCTGCCACCGGAGGAGAGCAAGGTGCTCTCCTTGCTCTCTTGCTTTGAGCTGAAATGTTCCCTGTGCCACTGGGAATCAGCTCCTGCTTTTGAGAACTCCTTGTGGCTCTTTCCACTACCATACTACCATCTGTGACCTGGGATTACTTTCAGAAAGTAAAAGCCAGAACTTCAATAGTGTAGCTATGAGGCTGGGTGCGGTGGCTCACGCCTGTAATCCCAACACTTTGGGAGGCTAAGGTGGGAGGATCACTTGAGCTAGCAGTTTGAGACCAGCCTGGACAACACAACAAGACTCCATGTCTACAAACAACAATAACAATAATAATGTAGGTATCAATCAATAGCTATGAAAGCACTAAAAAGAAAAAAAAAGAAACTATAGTAATAATAGGGGAAAAGTGGGAAATAATCATAGAAAACAATTTGTTTTGATTTTCAAATGTGCTTTGACCTTCTGTTTGAAAATGGGTATGTCTGGTGTTGTGGAAAACTCTATCACTTTAAATGTAAACATAGATGTTATAAAATGCAGCAAGAAAACCCACGTTGGCCGGGTGCGTTGGCTCACGCCTGTAATCCCAGCACTTTGGGAAGCCGAGGTGGGCGGATCATGAGGTCAGGATATCGAGACCATCTTGGCTAACACGGTGAAACCCCATCTCTACTAAAAATACAAAACATTAGCTGGGCGTGGTGGCAGGCGCCTGTAGTCCCAGCAACTTGGGAGGCTGAGGCAGGAGAATGGCGTGAACCTGGGAGGCAGAGCTTGCAGTGAGCCCAGACCAAGATCGCAACGCCGCACTCCAGCCTGGGGACAGAGTGAGACCCTGTCTCAAACAAACAAACAAAAAAACCCAAAAAACATGTTAGCTACTTACTAAACTTTCTAGACTGCTGCAGTGCCCCAAAATGCTATGTTCTGCCCACTTTGTGTTCCTGACGTGACACACTCCTCCACCAAAAGGCTTCAGCAAGTCAGCCAAAGCTAAACTGGAGATGCTATATTGTGAAAGGAGCATAGATTTCAGAGTCTGACATGTTCAAGTTTGGAGCTCAGCTTTATCTTAACTAGTTATGTGACCTAGTTAGTGACTTAGCCTCTATGCATCTCAGTTGCCTCATCTACAAAACTATCACAAACACTGTCTGCCTTGTGGAACTGTCATAAGGAGGAAAAGCGAGAAAAATATGTGTGCATGTGCACAGCATATGATGTCTGGCATATAATGGATTCCTACTTATTACCATTTTTTTCTCCAGGGAAAAGCAAGAAGAATGAGAAAAAGTGGAAATATTCAATTGTTTCAGCTTCTCCAACACCTATTGTGATTAAGTGAACAAGACCATGAATGCAAGATCAAGAATCAGTATTAAAATCACCTATGAGATACATGCACTCAAGATGCAAAACTCCTGTCAGATAAACATCTATAATAATGCTCAACCAACTCTAGTGAGGGAGCATTTGCTGCCTTGTTTAATTAATCATTAGAATATTTTTCCTTCTCTTGAGCAAAGATGTATCGCAGGGTGGCCTGCACTCTCAGCTACACAGGATTCCAATCACACGTACAGGCCAGGTGTGATGACTCACACCTGTAATCCCAACACTGTGGGAGGTCAAGAAGAGACATTTACTTGCGGCCAGGAGTTTGAGACCAGCCTGGGCAACATACCGAGACCAGGTCTCTACTAAAAATAAAAAGCTGGGGCTGGTTGCAGTGGCTCACGCCTGTAATCCTAGCACTTTGGGAGGCTAAGGCAGGGAAATCACCTGAGATCAGGAGTTTGAGACCAGCCTGGCCAATGTGGTGAAACCCCATCTCTACTAAAAATACAAAAATTAGCCAGGTGTGGTGGCACATGCTTGTAATCCCAACTATTAAGGAGGCTGAGACAGGAGTATCGCTTGAACCCAGCACCTTGGTTGCAGTGAGCCAAGATTGTGCCACTGTACTCCAGCCTGGTTGACAGAGAGAGACTCCATCTTAAAAAAAAAAAAAATAGTAGCTGGGTGTGGTGGTGTGCAGCTACTCGAGAGGCTGAGGCAGGAGGATCCCTTGAGCCCAGGAGTTTGAGGTTGCAGTGAGCTATGATCACACCGCTGCACTCCAGCCCAGGTGACAGGGAACATCACATGTACACATGACCAGGAGACTGTGGACTTTGCTGTCAGAATCCTAACACTGCAATGTATGCTCCTGAAGGCACAAAGCAAGTCATATAGATAACAAATGCAGGTCCCTCCCTTATCTGTAAAACAAGTCTCCTCTCAAAAGTAGGGAATGTTACACTAACCTCTACCCTGTTCCCTCCAAGTCACATGGAAAGGCCTATGCATTTAGAGTCTAGCACAAAGTCTGGTGCACACTGAGCACCTAATTGATATCAGTTGAAAACACAGATGAACAAATGAACAGGGATTGCTGGGAGAATCAAATGGGCTGACATAAAATGAAAGTAGCTCGATCTCTGGCATGTGGCAAGAGGTAAGTTACTTGATAATTGCACTAGCAGAGTCTTCACCATGTGTGAATTCCTAAATATACCTTTTCTCATCTCAACATTTCTTAAATCAGGACTCATCTTCACAACTGATTTGTACACATTGTAAATAAAGTTTTATTGGAACACAGCCATGCTCATTCATGTATGCATTGCCTACAGCTGCCTTTATGCTACAACAGCAGAGTTAAGCAGTTACAACAGGGAGCAACTGGGTTGCAGCACCAGAAAGATTTACTATCCAGCCCTTTACAGAAGAGGTTTGTCAACCCTTGTGATAAAGCAGGAAACAGGACTGAGGCTGGTGGTGCCTGTTTCCCTATTCCCAACTGTCACATGCCTGAGAAGAAAGCCATGTAAGTCACTGATAGAAACTCCACTGAGGGCCAGGTACCACGGCTCATGGCTGTAATCCCAGCGCTTTGGGAGGCCAAGGTGGGAGGATCACTTGAGGCCAGAAGTTCAAGACCAGCCTGGGCAACACAGCTAGACACCATCTCCAAGCTGTGGCATGTGCCTGTAGTCCCAGCTACCTGGGATGCCGAGGCAGAAGGATCACTTGAGCCTGGGAGTCTGAGGCTGCAGTAAGCTATGATCGCACCAGCCTGGTACAGCAGAGCAAGACCTTGACTCAAAAAAAAAAAAAAAAAAAGAAAAGGAAAGAAAAAAAAGCCAAAAAACTCCATCAAGGACAAAGCAGAGGCAGCAGTCCTGCTCTGAATCCTGACAGACTCCTTCGCTGGCATCAGTCCCCACATCAGCAGCGCTGATTTGGCTACATAGGTTTACATGAGTTCCTGCCATGTGAGTGCCTCCTTCCTTGGTACTGAAGGTATTACAAGTACACAGGGTTTGTGACATGGCAGGACCCTCATGAGCTGTTAGGGCCACAGATGTGTTTATTCCTACACTCTGAGTTGTGCTCTCAAAACTGCCACCATCCCCTCTTCCGTTAAATATACTCACTTCATTTTCCTTAGATTATTTCCTTTCACTGCTGGCTCACTAAGAACAGGATGTTCTAACAACATCCCCACTGCCACGCTTGGGAGAACAAGGCCTATAGGAGGTGCTGGCAGGCTGGCACCCAGTCTGGGGGTCAAATGCACGAATTGGTGAGCACTTCCATTGTGTCCACTGTCAGTGGTCTTCTCCCCCGTGGTGGGAATGGGACACAATGCTGCATTGCTGGCTCAAGCTGTTACCTGGCTCTGACTGAATCCCAGTCTAACACCAATCTTGCAAGCTGCTTCCTCTGCTTCTGGATGTTGGGAATCTCCACCTAAAAATAAGAACATACCAAATGGGATGCACTTCAGGGCTTTTAGGTTAACCATTTTAAAGTATTTACAAACGTTTTTTCTCTAAGGCAAAGGATTTTGTACCTTCAATTGACTCCCCTTATTTCCAAAAAGAAGTGTATGTTAAAGCCAGCAACTACTGTTAAAATTTTAACACTCACTGTCCAGCCCACACCACTCTCGGCTCTTCCGTGCTGCACGGTGAAGCACCCACCTCAGCTATGCCGTACAGAGGGTCCACGATCTCCTTCTCAACAAAGACTTCGTGCTGGGAGAGCTCGAGAGCCAGCTGATTCTCAGCATCTCCACACGTCTCCAGCATCTTCCTTTAAAAACAAGACCCCCAACAACGAGCACGTGCTCATTAAATCAGGCACTGGATTATCGTGTGGATCAGTGCTGCTTGCCATACAACAGGAACGCATTAGGGTGCTACCTAACGAGCCTTGAAAATATTATAAATGTAGGGTACTGCCTAAAACATGAGTCCACAGATTTGTGCTTTAAAATAAAAATGACTGTCTCAGGGATGCACTTTGTGTGTGTGGGTGGCAGACAGATGTGTGAACAGTGAAATAACAAATTACTCAAGAATTAAATTCTCAAGTCAGGTGAAAGCCAAGTGTTCACAAAATACTCTGAAGATCTTTTAAATTAGACATTAAGTTCATTCCATGTTATCTTATGTCTGCGAGTCCAGCCTTGGCCAGGCTCCCTTTCTGCTATGCAGATGAGCTAGCTGGCTAACACTTAAGGGCCCTGTTACATAAATATCATGTTTCCTTTTAGTTTGCTTGCGAACATGCAGCTGATATCATACAAAGTACACGTGCAGTGATATAACTCCACAGTCTCTATCCCTCCCTCCTCCCTCTCTCCTTTCCTTCCCCTCCACCCCTGCAAGCTCTCTATGGGGTTTTTTTGACACCAGAAATGCACGTTGCCTGGTGTGAGGTGGCCATGGTGTCATAGTCAGGAACATGCTCTCTGGTGCCAAGCTGCCCAAGTCTGAATACAGGCTTTGCTCTTCTCCCACTGTGGGGTCTCAGGCAATTTCCCTGCCCTCTCTGTCAGTATCCTCGTCTGTAAAATGGGAGTGATGTTGTGTGTTAACATGGTTCTAAGTGCTGATATGACCTACCTCCTAGGTTGTTTTAAGGATTAAATGAGCTATTACTTGGAAAACACTTATAACCATGCTAGCACGCAGTATCACTCTGGTGTGATGAGGATGGCCATAGCATGTGGAAGCACAAACAGGAAAAACTTCCAGGCTGGAGGGAAGGAGGATGCTGGCAGGTGGGCACAGGCCACCCTCCTCCCAGGGCCCCCAAACATGGAAGCAGACAGGAGAAAGGAATGGTGACGAATGGGAGGAAACTGTTCTAGGACAGCGAGATAACTGTAGACGCTGAGAAATGGACTGAAAAGTCTGAAGGCCTCGTCCTGCTGGGAAGCAGGGCCCATGTCACAGCCAGAGAGAGCAGACAGGGCTAGAGAACACCAGCCTTGCTGCAGGAGCAGACAGAAGGGTATACCTTCCCTCCTACAATAAAAACTGCTTTGTTCTTACTTATATAAATTATTTAAAGAATACATGACAATTGTAAAAAAAAAAAAAAAATCCAAGTAATTCAGAAAATACACTCTTTTTAGATAACTACCATGGACGTTTTGGTGACCGCCTGTAAACGATGTGACTAAGAACTGAAAGGGTCTGGTCAGAGTTTCTAAATCTGAGCCAACACCTGGAACACAGAAGGGACCACATTCTTTCTGTCCAAGATTAGGGGAATAGGCATTGACCCTATCAGTTGCTTTTTTGTTAATGGCCCTTTCTGCCATCCAACTCCAGCCTGACACCTACTAAAAGGAAGATTCTCCAGCAACCTGGCGGCCTTGACCCCACTTTCTCCCAAGGAGTCTCAGCCGGTCTCCTAGCGGATGAGCCATGCCATCAACGCTCACAGTTCCTCTCACAGGTCCTACATACACCACCTGGCCCAGCCACTTCCACCAATCTACATGGCACTTGGCACTCTGAAGGCAGCAACTCTTACCCCAGGAGAGAGTCTTCCAGCTGAGTCGATGCTTCTTGCATATTTTGAGCAAGAGCTGTCAGAGGCAGTTTTTTCTGGAAGATAGAAGACAGTGTGTGTTTTTCTCATTATTTGATACCCATTCTCAATGATCTTTTTCAGATCATCATTCATTAATTTCTCCCTCCAGGCAAATTACACAGGTAGGAGACAGCCTGTCTGGGTTCAGGTTCTGGTCTCACAGATATTAGTTGTATGATGATCTCTGTTTCAGTTTGGGGCTATCTGTTGACTAAAGAAAACATATCAAGTACCTAACACATTGTAAGTATTCAGTAAATGTTAGCTGCTATTATTATTATTGCTGTTGTTGTTGTTCTGCTTATTATTATTTTTGTTTGTTTTTTTGGGACAGGGTCTGAGTCTGTCACCCAGGCTGCAATGCAGTGGCATGATCTTGACTCACTGCAGTCTCCACCTTCCAGGTTCAAGCAACTCTCCTGCCTTAGCCACTGAAGTAGGTGGGATTACAGGCCTGCATCACCACGTCCAGCTAATTTTTGTATTTTTGGTAGAGATGGGGTATGTTGACCAGGCTAATCTCAAACTCCTGAGTTCAAGTGATCTGCATGCCTCAGCCTCCCAAAGTGTTGGGATTACAGGCATGAACCATCACGCCCAGCCTGTTCATATTATTATTAATGAATCAAAGCACACTATGTTCAAGGCACTGGGGACATGACAGAGACATAGACCTTGCTCTCTAAATGGTTATCCTGACAGGTAAATGCAATGAAGTGCTCAATTTCAAAAGCTTTTGCTAGAACACTCATTCTTAAATTGGCTTTTTTTTTTTTTTTTTGAGGCAGAGTCTTGCTCTATCACCTAGGCTAGAGTGTAGTGGGGCAATCTCGGCTCACTGCAACCGCCGCCTGCCAGGTTCAAGTGATTCTCGTGCCTCAGCCTCCCCTGCTGTGATTATGGGCATGCACCACTTACACCCAGCTAATTTCTGTACTTTTAGCAGAAACAGGGTTTTGCCATGTTGGCCAGGCTTGTCTCAAACTCTTGACCTCAAGTGATCTGCCCTCCTCAGCCTCCCAAAGTTCTGGGATTGCAGGCATGAGCCACCGCACCCAGTCTAAACTGGCTCTTAATTTGGCTATCATTCTAAAATGTAGCTTTATTTAAATACCTAAAAACTTCTAGCTAAAGAGCCAGTTTTTGTAATATTTTTAAATACAAAGCCACTCATTTTCCTATCAGAGATTTGTTTTCCAGCTGGCAATGACCACAGAATCACCTGATCTAATGTTATAATCATACAGTCAAGGAACCCAAAGCCGAAGGAGGTCAAGTGGCCTGGCCAGGCATCCCAGGGAGACGCAGGAAAGTCAGACCTGAGTGCTGATGGCCCGGGCCTCTGTTCAGTGTCTTCCCTACGGGCCAATGGCTTATCTCAGGAGAGGCCTGGCAATTACAAGTGGGCTGGTTATAACGTCATAATCTGCTAACAAAAAAATGCTTTCAATTCTGCAGCATCCCATGTAATTTCACCTGCCCAGCAGAAAGGGCATTCATGTTAAAAACACAGGGTCCACCCCTGACATGTCACTTGCCTCTTCTGCCTCCAAAGGGCTCCATCTGATACAATCACATATGCACTGGCTTGTACTGGACAGAATATCTCTGCAAGGCTATACAACAAACTACTAAGAGCAGGGGCTCTGGAGGAGGGAACTGGGTGCCTGGGGAAATGGGCTAGGAGGCACTTCACTGTAAGTTCTTTTGTATATTCTGAATTTTGACCGTGTAAATGTAGAACCTATTCAAAACAGTAAGCTGAAATTTAAAAATAAACAGAGGCATTTACTCATTTCCCCTCTCCCCAAATTATTGATTTTTAAATTTTTTGTAGAGACAAGGTCTCACTATGTTGCCCAGGCTGGTCTCAAACTCCTAGTCTCAAGCAATCCTCCCACCTCGGCTTCCTACAAAATTATTTTCAAATAAATAAATAATGGGCTCCATCTGCACTACAAGGAGACTATTCCCAGCTGCCCCATTTCTGGACAAGGAAGACATGAGAATAATAGGGGATAATTCCTACCTTTTGGTTATGCTGCCTTTCTAAAGGAGGTTAAATACCTATTAAAGATCAATGCAATAATCAAGACAAATATATTGTGCAACTCTGGAACTCTAGGAGTCTATGGAAAAAAAATAATAGAAAACTCTATTTTGACAAGCATCACTCAAGATGGCAGCTGTAAATAGTTTTGTGGTTTCCCTAACCTGACCCCAAAGCCACAACAATCTTGTTTCCTATGTACATAAATAAGGAAACTCTGCTTAACATATGGGCTCATTAATCAAGTATCAACACTGAACTCCTCCACAGGGAGGGCTTCGTGCTTCCTAGAGGTGAACAGCTTTCTATCATCAGGGATAATTTTTTTTTTTTTTTAAGACAGGGTCTGGCTCTGTTGCCCAGGCTGGAGGTCAGTGACGCGATCTCAGCTCACTGCAACCCACTTCCGGGGTTTTGCCATGTTGCACAGGCTGGTATCGACTCCTGAGCTCAAGCAATCCACCCACCTTGGCCTCCCAAAGTGCTGAGATTACAGGAGTGCAGCACCATGCCTGGCCAGGGATGAATTTTAAATGCTCTAAAGACTTAATTTGTAAAATGCATGCCAATCGCACAAAAAGAAATAATTCTCTAATCTAATAATCTATCTTATCTGACCCACGACAGTTCTGCCATGTCAATGGTGGCTGGGCTGCAAAGGTCACCTGCCTCATGTCTCTCTCTTCCCTTCTATTCTTGCCTCTTCCCATGCAGGAAGCATGTTATGAGGCCTTTGGGAGGTTCCTCCTGTGTTTTCTAGAGCCCTGGAGACTGCTGCAATTTTCTCCATATTAGTCTTCTCTCACCATTGTTGTGGTAACTCCTCTTCCCAAGTGCAAAGTGTAGGCATCCTCAAAGCCCTGTCTTTGGCACTTTCGTTTGACGTTGGAAAAGGAAAGCTAAAGCATTAGGTTTCAGAAATGAGGGCCAAGCACTTTGCCCCAGCTGCCTGGAATATTCCCACCACCTGCCACTAATTTCCCTCCTTTATAGGGCAGACACCACCTCCTCCAGGAAGCCTCACCTAACTACCTCCCTCTTCCTCTGGTACCCATTCTGGGCCCCCCATAAAACCCTGTGCATGTTTTATTGAGCATCTTGTTTTATAATGATCCATTTGTATGTATCTCCCCCATGAGACCATGAAAACTTACATTTCATTCATTTTATATCTCCAGCACTTGTACACAGTAGGTGTTTGATAAATATTTGTTTCTATTGAATATATGTCTTGGACTGCGTCTCAAGGAAGACAACAGGAACTAGATAGAACTGTGAGGGACAGTGACATATTTGGGGACTGGTGAGTGTTATGTGGCTGGCACAGGGTGTGAACGGGAAGCAGCAGGAGACAATGAAGCTGATAAGGAGAAATGGAATCAGCTGAGAAAGGGCTTAAGTCATCTAAAGAGTGTGGACTTTATCCCAGGCAATGGGAACCAGCCAGTGTCCCTCAGAAGAAGCACTTCTAACATTAAGATACTTCCTGTGTGGAACTATTTCACCAGGCACTACAAAACATTTAGCATCTTGGCCAGGCACGGAGGCTCACGCCTATAACCCCAGCACTTCGGGAGGCCGAGGAGGGAGGATCACTTGAGGTCAGGAGTTGGAAACCAGCCTGGTCAACATGGTGAAATCCTGTCTCTACTAAAAATACAAAAATTAGCCAGGCTTGGTGGCGTGCACCTGTAGTCCCAGCTACTCGGGAGGCTGAGGTGGGAGAATCGTTTGAACCGGGTGGTGGAGGATGCAGTGAGCCGGGATCAACCACTGCGCTCCAGCCTGGGCGACACAGCAAGATTCCATCTCAAAAAACAAACAAACAAACAAAAAATGCTTAGCATCTCGGTTCACCCTCCAAATGCCAGTGGTGCCTGCCAGTCCCTGTGATGACCGAACTGTCTCTACACATTTCCATATGCCCCCAGGGGTGTAATTCTGGTCCCTGTTAAGAACCACTGAGCCAAGATTTTTTTTTTTAGGCAGGAGGATAATAGGGTTGATTTGTGTTTCAGGAAATTGACTCTGGTGATCAGGTTGAAGACAGACTGGAAAGGAAATTACAGACAGGAAATGTAGCTCAGGAGGTGACTACAACAGTCCAGGTGAGAGGGAGTCAGGTCTTGCATTAAGGCCAAGGTGGTAGAGATGCAATGGAGATGAGCAATTTAAAATATTCACAGAGAGAAATCAAAGGACTTTCTAATTAGGCAGTTATGGGGTTTGGAGGATAAAATAAAAGCGAGGCCCAGCACAGTAGCTCATGCCTGTAATCCCAACACTTTGAGAGGCCAAGGCGGGAGAACTGCTTGAGCCCAGGAGTTCAAGACCAGCCTGGGCAACAGATGAGACCTCATCTCTACTACGAAAAAAACAAACAAACAATTAGCCAGGCTTGGTGGCGCAAGCCTGTAGTCCCAGCTACTTAAAGGTTGAGGTCGAAGGATGGCTTGAGCCCAGGAGGTTAATGTTGCAATGGGCCGGGATCGTGCCACTACACTCCAGCACGGACAACAGAGTGAGACCCTGTCTTGAAAATAAAAAATAACAAGGAATATAAGAAAGCCCCCCAGTTTCCAGCCTGCATAAAAGGGTGGATGGAATTCAGAGAGTCAACACAGAAGGAAGAACTGATCATGCATGCTAGAATAGACATCTAAGAGAGGAAGTTTTTTGCTTGGTTGAAAATGGCTTAGAAGTCACTGGCATAAACACATCAGTTAGAAGCCATAAGAACAGAGGAGGTGGCCCAGAGAATATGACTTGGAGAATAAGAGAAGCAGAGAACTTAATGAAACAATGTGAAAAGGGTAAGCAGAGCAGAAGAAGGCAACAGAAGGACAAGGAGCTCCAGGAAGCAGAACCAGTAGGCTGGGTCTGGTTCCGAGGGACAGAGCTTTGAGGCAAGTGTGGAAGCATAGGTGTATGCAAACTTCCATTCCTATGACAGACATGATTGCAGAATCCTCACTGTTGTGCAAGAGTGGAAAAACCCTGCTGCCAGGGTGCCCCATAAAAGTCTGTAGGAAACATAAAAGGGTAACACAGATCATCTGCATACTATTAATAGTTCTCACTTTTGAGACACCTGGTGACAATACACCAAATCATAGCTTCCCTGTGTGTCACCGAAACTGTCACTTCAATGTTGCATGGGGTCTAAGGTTTACCGCATGCTCATAAGCTGGGGACTTGTAAAAGCAAGGATGGAACTCCCTCATGAACAAAGGCTGCTGTGCTCCACTGGCTCTACCTAGGAACTGAACGCTCTGAACAAGTGGACCTTGGAAAAGACACCGGATGGCTCTCCTAGAGTCCATCCCTCTTCCTCTCTATACTAGTATCCTGATTTTTCTCAGGGATCTACCCTGGCCTTGATAAAGTCTATGAGCTAGGAGTAGGACCACAGCCCATGCTCTAGGTCTGGGCCAAACTAACTTAAACCAATCGGCACATCCCATCTCCTCACCCCACCTCACCCCCTATCCATGGTAACTAGGGTGGAACAGAAACAGTCAAAAACGGGGAATGTAACTCCACACAAATCAATGCAATGGAACGCGCTTTCAATCTGCCAAGAGCTTGGAAAAAGCAGCTTTCTCACTCCATCAAGAAAAACTACTGGGGCCAAGTATGGTGGCTCATGCCTGTAATTCCAGCACTTTGGAAGGCCCAGGTGGGAGGACTGCTTGAGGCCAGGAGTTCTACATCAGCCTAGGTAACAAAGCAAGATCCCCATCTCTACAAAAAAATTTAAAAAATTAGCCAGGCATGGTGGTGTGTACTGTGGTCTCAGCTGCTTGGGAGACTGAAGCAGGAGGATCTCTTGAGCCCAGGAGTTTGAGGCTGCAGTGAGCTGTGACTGTACTACCACACTACAGCCTGGGTCATGGAGTGAGACCCTGTCAGGAAAGAAAAGAAAAGAAAGAGAAGAGAAGGGAAAGGAAAGGGGAAAGGGGAAAGGGAAGGGAAGCAAAAAGAAAAGAAAAAAGAAAAAGAGGCGAGAGGGGAGGGGAGGGGAACTACTGGGAGAGAGGCTCTCTACTCCCACTGGCCACACTCAAGGAACAAGCAGCCCATAGAAGCTGCCAATAGCCAACTTGCCATCATGAGGATGCCTGTCTAGGGACAAAGCAGACACTGAGGGCACAGGAGAGAGAAGGAAAGAAACTGGGTTTTTCATTACATTACTAAAATGTTAGATAAACCCTGACCTCAAGTCCATCCCAACCTCTGGACTTTTCAGTTAGCAAACCAATACATTACTTCTACTTCAATGTCAATTTAAGACAGGCTTTCCGCTTTCTGCCAGCAAAAGATGCATAACCGACACAGCCATTCTCTTATCAATGACACATGATCGTGGAGCTTTTAAAAGCACCTGGAGAAGATTCCGTGTAAGGAGGGCTTCCAGCCCAGCGATGTCTTAAACACAAAAGAATGCTATGGTCACGCAGGTGTCATGAGCGTGCTTGGTGATAGAAGTCACCAAAGGCTGATCCACTGATGCCACTTAGGACAACCAACCAATCCAGGGGTTGAAAAGCCTCAGAGAGACGCAGGAACTGTGGGTCTGAGTCACATCTGATACTCACGTGTCTCCTCTCGGCATCGGTGCCATGCTGGCCCTGGAAACATGCCACCAAGCGCTTATGGGAATGGTGGCATATTGACCGCACCGTGTCCAGGCGTCTCTCAATCTGACAAGGCAGAGACAAAAGAGAACAAATTCATCCTCTTTCTTTTGTGGTGTCTGCATGCTGGTAGGAAAAGCATGGCTGAATCTACATGCAGGGAAAAGGGATGATCTTGGCTACACCTTGCTATCACACTGAGTGGCGCCAGTCAGTTTACACACTACAGCACCAGAAAAGCACCAGGTTGGACCAGGCAGAAATGAAAATGAATGATCCGGGCCCAGACCCACTGCCAACTGGAAAAAACCAGAGATGCCAAAGAGCTCTCTCCAGTTCATGGCAACTGAGCCTTCCACACAATGTACATCAGACAGAAGCAGCAAAATAAACGTTCCACAATTTAACTGCAAGATCTGTGTTTTCAAAATTATTCCTTATTGGGTTTGGGGTGTGTGTGTGTGTGTTTTAAATAAACCTCTAAAGCAGAATGGACAGTCAGCAATAAGAAACACTGACTTAGGGGACCCACGCATCATAAGCAGCTTCCCAAAATACTATTGCTAGAATATGGCTGTTTATGGCAAAGAGAGCCGCTTTTTACAGGAAGGAATGCCAAAAATGTGTATTCTGATGACTCATGAAGAATGAGAGCAGGCCCTTTGGGATGCTTTCTATTTTAAAGATAAATCAACAAATTCAAAACAGAATACATTTGACCCCAAACCATTTTACGCATCGAGATGGTCTGTGCCTCTTTCTCAAAAGGGCAGCGTTTCTTCAGATCCAAGCCCATAGCCCCAGGACTCAGGGCTGGCAGGCAATGGGAGATTTAGGAGCAGATTCCACATTACCTTCCCCAAATCTTGCAATGACCAGATTTTCAAACATTAGAAAACTAATCCACATTCATTTGCCACCAGAGAAAAGCAAAAAATGAACAAATTCCATGATTTAATTTTGATTCCAATTTCCACTAGAATGTAAACTCCACAAGGACAGAAGCCTGGATCTGTTTTGTTCACTGATTTCTCCCAGTGCCTGGGACGTTATCTTTCACAGAAACAGAAGGTGCTCATTTAATATTCGTTGAGAGGGCCCATGTCTACTGAGTTCCTGTGCAAGGTATTCAAGAATCAACAGCAAATAAATGCTGGTTCTGCCCCGCTGGGATGCACAGCCCCCTGGGGAAATGCCACACAACTGCTCTAACAGAGACTGAAAAAAAGGCAGAAGAACACAGGGCAAATCAAGGGATGTTTCACGTCAGAAACAGACAGTCTCTGTGGCTTGCAGTGGCAGTAATAATAATAGATCACTAATATCTAGCACTTACCACGTGCCAGGCTCCGTTCCCAGTGCTGTTCCTGCTTAACTCATTAAACCCTCCTAACAACCTGTGAGGTGGATAAGGCCTTTCCCTCAGTTTAGAGAAGTGGAAACTGAGGCGCAGGGAAGTTCAGTAAATCCCTGAGGCCACAAAGCTAACCAGCGCAGACGTGAGATTCGAACCCAGGTAGCTGGGTTTCAGATCCCCTTTTCATCATCATGCAACAAAACTGTTTTCTTTCCTGCTCAAAATCACACTAATTAATTTTATTCTGTTTCTGGTTAAAAAAAAAAAAAAAAAAAGCCCACAGGCCTCAATTCTCACATAGGAATTTTTTTCCATCCTTTAAACAGATCATTTAAAGGAGACTATATTTTGTTACCTGTAATAGATCTTCACTAAGGACTTCTGTTTTCTCAGCTCTGTGGGAAAAATTAAAAATTCAGAGTTAGAAATCCAAAAATGAAAGGCAACTCCTAAAATTTAATAATTATTAGCCTGGAGTTTAAAGCAAAACAGGCAGAAATAAATTTAGAAGGGTTGGCAGGGGCAGTTTACCAATTTTTACATCAGAGAGCAATTTAAGCAAAACCAAAGAAAAATAACTAAGCAAAACTTTGTGGGGAATAGCAGCCCAAAACAAGAACAAATGATCCTGAGTAGTGGTTCTCAAATTTGAGCAGGCACAGAATCACCAAGGGCAGCAGGTGCTGATATAAAATGCCATTTCCCAGGTCCCTCTGGATATTCTATTCTAATTCAATAGACCCTGCATTTTTAACAGCCACTCCTTGCTCAGAATTCCATTGCAGGAGGTCTAGAGACATGGCTTTGAGAAAACACTGTTCTACAGAAGCTTAAACTTCAGTTCACAACCAGAAACGTTATGCAAAGATGCAAGCCTAGACCACCACACACAATAACAATTAGTTCCTCCTTCAAATTTCCTCTCCATCCTTACTTTGAAAAGAAACTAAGTGTTTCCACAACTTTCTCTGCTATGCTTTGAACTACTACTAATTTCATCAACCCTTCCATTAAACCAACACGGTGGCCAGCAATCAGAAGGGGGCATTCCGAGCTGGCGGAGTCTCAACTGTCAGACCATAATAATTTTTATTTTATTATTATTATTATTATTATTTGAGACAGAGTCTCATTCTGTTGCCCAGACTGGACTGCAGTGGTGTGATCTCAGCTCACTGCAACCTCCACCTCCCGGATTCAAGCGATTCTCGTGCCTTAGCCTCCCGAGTAGCTGGAATTATAGGCACGTGCCACTTCGCCCAGCTAATTTTTGTATTTTTAGAAGAGACAGGGTTTTGCCATGTTGGCCAGGCTGGTCCCGAACTCCTGACCTCAAGTAATCCGCCCACCTTGGCCTCCCAAAGTGCTGGGATTACATGCGTGAGCCACCGCGCCTGGCGTGAAGGAAATTTTTAAAAGAGAAAGAAAAAGTATGTTTCAGCTCTGAACAGTGAAGGGAGTCAGGGGAAGGCTGTCAATGAACCGGAAATTCAGAACAGGGATTGTATGATCTTGGCCGGGAACCAATGCAAGAGCAGGAAAAGCTCTTGGGCCAGAAAGTAAATGAGACCCCTAGAATGACCTCGAAATGCTGCTAAGCTCAGAGTAGTGCCAACTGTGGGCAAGGGAAAGAAGCGCACAGCTCCTCCAGTCTACACTTAAGGCAATGGCACGTTAGCCAGAACAGGGCATTGCCATGGGGGATTCTAACACTTGTCATCATGGCACTGTCCCAGTCAACCTGGAGATGCCTACAGGGTGGCTCACTCACCAGTTTCTGCAGGAAACTGGAATGCTGACCTGACTCAAATACTTCCCAGGGCCAGAGGATCAGGGCCTAGAGACAAAGCCAAGGCCCCAGCTTCCAGAGGCAGCCAATTTTCAACTCTATGAAAAGGTTCCACCAGCAACAGGCCAACATATGCTACCCTAGACCTTGCTTGGCAAGCAAGGTGCCAGGCATTGCTGAAGAGCCAAACACAGGTAGTCATACCAGTTAGGGAAGGGAAGCAGGGCCCCAGCTGACCATGAGGTCAAAGAACCAGACTCAAAAAGAAACCTGACAGTCAGCCTAGCAAGAACACACCTGGCATGAGATCGTCATAGTTTCACCATTAGACGCCCCCATTCCTCTCGCCAATGCCTCATCCCTCCTTTAGCAAAATGCCACCAGGGAATGGGTAACTTTTGCCTTTCTTCCCTAGCCAAAACCCCCAAATCTGGACAGGGCCCTGTATACCTCTCACAGAATCCACCTCAACTCTAAAATGACTTCCTTCTGTAAGTACGAGTATACACAGAGAAGTCTCAAGGCCTATTAAAATTTTCACAAGTTCAAAAAAAGAGATTCAACCTGAGAATCAGAACAAATATGTCCTTTTTCAGAGCAAATTATTTTTTAAAAAATAACAGAAGAAGAGAAGAACTTGCTCTACAATCCCAATGTGGGCTATAAGCAGATGTGGGAAAGTTAGTAATAGCTCAGAGGTATGCTAGAGCCAACTCAGACCAACCAACCATGTGCATCTTCTCCCAACTCCTTGCTCAGTAACCTCACACTGGTACTTGAAATCAAAAACATAAACAACTGCAAACAATTCAAATAGGAGCTTGGCAGTTGTTAAACAGTTATGAGCACAGTGCTGCAACAGCCACAAAGAAAATAAAGCAAACATAAAAACGAGGCAAGTATTAACTTCAGGAAAAACAAAAAGTCCACTGGAAACATAAAGATAGTCATAGTAACTAGTATGCTCAGCTGCAAATAATTGATTGGACATAATATAAATATCAAATAGTAATACAATGAAAAATTATAACTGTATTGAAAGGATGGGGGGAGCAGAAGCAGAGGGAAAGGGCCCTAAACCCTCATTTATCAGAACAGAAAGTCAACAGACAGTAACTAATTTGATAACCCAAACGATAGTTTACACATATTACTTATAATTATGAATATGAATAAATGTCACAATAAACTGTTAATATTTCAAAGTAGTTGCTTCTGGAGTTGGGAAATCTCAGAGAGTAGGGAGTGAACCCACCGTATTTTGTGGTAAGTCTTTTACTATATTATTTGACTTTTTAAACTACATGAATCACAGTTTTGAGGTTTTTTAAAAATAGCATGTTACTTACACTTTTAAGTAGCATGCTTGATTGATATGGCCAGGGGTGAAGTGTGCCTAACTTAAAGAATTGGTCCAATGTCAAGCTCTACAAATGCACAACAGAAAACATACCTCAGAGTATCTAAAATGTAAAGAAAATCAGTGTATTTCCAGCCATTTTTTTCAAATTAACTGGACCCTCTGCTTTAGAGGTACTTTACATGAAAAGGTCTGGAGGCTGAAAACTATATTGAATATATTATATGAAAATGTTAATGTACTGTTTAAAAAGAAATTTCCCCTTTGTTTCCTGTGTTTGTGGAGGCTATATATATATTACATTAATAAAATCAATTTTAGATTTGCAGGCTTAGATTTTTTTTTTTTAAATCAATTTTAGAGGTTGGGGGTGGTGGCTCACGCCTATAATCCCAGCACTTTGGGAAGCCAAGGTGGGTGGATCACTTGAGGTCAGAAGTTCAAGACCAGCCTGGTCAACATGGCAAAACCTCATCTCTACTAAAAATACAAAAATTAGCCAGATGTGGTGCCACACACCTGTAGTCCCAGCTACCTGGGAGGTTGAGGCACGAGAATTGCTTGAACCTGGGAGGCGGAGGTTGCAGTGAGCCAAGATCGTGCCACTGCACTCCAGACTAGGCAACAGAGCAAGACTCTGTCTCAAAAAAACAAAAAAAAAATGTGTAGAAAAAAATCCAAACCCAACTAGAGATTAAAAGTGATCTATAATTGGGAAGAATTACTTTTAAGTGACAAATCATGACTATGGAGTATAATACACAAACTGGAATGGCTCCCTCACACAAAGATTCTTTGCTGGCCTGTGGACTCTCCATCTTAATTTTCAGGCCTTGGTACTGTCTCCATCTATTCCAATAATGTGGTCCAAATGACCTGATCTCCCTCATCACTGTGACTGGTCCAAGCCTTGGTGCTTCCTATCGTGAACTGTTTTGCAGTGTTCACCTTTACCAGAGATATGGAAAGTCCAGCAATTATTCCACTATCGGCCAAGGTGCCCATTCAATAGGCCATTCAATAGGCCATGTACGTAGGCCACAGAAATGTGCTGGTTTTTTCTGAGAAGTGTTATCTTTGGTTGAGTTTTTGTAATTTATTAAAGCAAGGCAGGGGGCAAGAGACTGAATTCGTCAAGACATCTATAGACAAAAAAAAAACAGTAGACAAAGTGATCCAATCATAAAAAATAATACTTGATAAATCATATATATATATATATATATATATATATATATTTTTTTTTTTTTTTTTTTTTTTTTTGAGACAGGGTCTCGTTCTGTCACCCAGGCTGGAGTGCAGTGCCACAATCTCAGATCACTGCAATCTCTGCTTCTTGGGCTCTAGTGATACTCCCACCTCAGCCTACCAGGTAGCTGAGACTACAGGCATACACCACCACGCTCAGCTAATTTTTCTATTTTTAGTAGAGACAGGGTTTCACCATGTTGGCCAGGCTGGTCTCAAATTCCTGAGCTCAAGCGATCTGGCTGCCTTGGTCTCCCAGAGTGCTGGGATTATAGGCATGAGCCACCGTACGCGGCCAGATTTTTTTTTTTTTAAGACAAGGTTTTGCTCTACCTCCCATGCTGAGTGCAGTGGCCTGATCACAGCTCACAGCAGCCTTGAACTCCTAGGTTCAAGCTATCCTCCCACCTCAGCCTTCCAAGTAGCTGGGACGAGAGATGCGCACCATCATGCCCAGGTAATTTTTAAAATTTTTTTTATAGAGATGGATTCTCACTACATTGCCCAGGCTGGTCTCAAACTCCTGAGCTCAAGCCATCCTCCCGCCTCCAACTCCCAAAGTGCTAGGCGTGAGCCACTGCGCCCAGCCTAGATTGTTTTGAATCAGACATTTTGCTCCATGTTCCTAAACTTTTTGTATATGGGTTTTTTCTGCTTTGTCAGAGCCTTCTTTGTGTCCAACGTTCTGGGCTTGAAAACACACTTGAATGTTTCCTGTCTGCAACTGGAAAAACAATACGAATCAGGAAGGAACTTCCCACTCGCCATTTTACTCTGGGGTTTGTTTTTTCCTATGAAGCTATTCTGCAATTTTACTAGTCACTCAAGCAAGGCTGATACCAGGCAGGATCTTTAATTTACTTTTTGGTAAAGCACAGATTTTCTCCTCGTAATTCTCAAAGCAGCAGTGCTGCCCAGGCCTTCATAGTGCCACTTTCCCTTGACCTGGTGTGGCAATGTCCAACCCTGCAGTGTGGCTAATAGGATGTTTCACTGAGCTCACTTGCCAGGCAAGGAGAAAACAGAAATGTTTTCAATCTGGAGTAGTTCACTGTACCAAAAAGACAGAAGATGCTCAGACCAGGTGAGAGTCAAAGGAAAATTTCCAATTGGTCTGATATTTTCCATCTCTAATCATGGATTTCTGGTAGTTTCCTTCATAAAACATGTACTATGGGAGCCAGGGACTCCCAAACCATGGACACGAATGCTCAAGTCCCCGCGATCAATGCAGGCTGTGGTCTTCCAAACAATGAGCACTACCGTCCTCCTCCCTGCTAGACAGCAGGTTCCATGAGGGCAGAGAGAGAGCTCTAAAGTCATCACTCCTCCCCAGCGGCAAGCTCAGCACCTTCCTGCCACTTAAATACATACTGAGGCCGGGCGCAGTGGCTCACGCCTGTAATCCCAGCAGTTTGGGAAGCCAAGGCAGGCGGATCACGAGGTCAGGAGATCGAGACCACGGTGAAACCCCGTCTCTACTAAAAATACAAAAAAAAAATTAGCCAGGCAGTGGCAGGCACCTGTAGTCCCAGCTACTCGGGAGGCTGAGGCAGGAGAATGGTGTGATCCCGGGAGGCGGAGTTTGCAGTGAGCTGAGATTGAAATTGCGCCACTGCACTCCAGCCTGGGCGACAGAGCAAGACTCCGTCTCAAAAAAAAAAAAGAAATACACACTGAATGAATGAATGGATGTCTATCACATCTTTGGGAAAAAGGACATTCACAATGTCAAACAAAATCCAATAAAACTAGGTTGAAAAGCAGCCATAGGTGTATAGAACTGCCTTCCACAGTAAAATCCATAATGACTAAAATTGAAATGTGATATTACCTTTCAAGGTTAATCTTTTTATAAAATGGGAAAAAAAACCACAGTTGAAAATAAAAAAAAAATGTCTGTAGGGGGAGGCAAAATCCAGTTTTAAAAATTTTATGTTAAAAGAGGAGTGAAAGCCATTCCTCCAATCCCATATCCCAAAGGGTACTGTTACGAATTTGTTATATATCCTTCCCAATTTGTTTTCTAAATTTAAACTAGTGCTTCTCAACTGGAGGCAACTGTGTCCCCAGAGGACATTTGGCAATGTCTGGGGACATTTGTGGTTGTCATGATGGGAGATGCTACTGGTCTCTGTAGGCTAGAGGCCAGGATGCTACTGACTATCCTAAATGCAACCCCACACACACACACACACACTAAATAATATAAAGAATTATGAACAAGGAATGATCCAGCCCTGGATTTGTTTCCTATTGCTGCTGTAACAAATCACCACAAACTCAGTGGCTTGAACAACACAAGTATATTATATCACACTTCTTGAGTTCAGCACTTCCAACCAGGTCTCCCTGGACTACGATCAAGGTGGCAGCAGGGCTGAATGCCTTCCTGGACATGCAAGGGGAGCATCTGCTTCCTCGCCCTTTCCAGCTTCTTGAGTCTACCGCATTCCTTGGCCTCCTCCTGCACTGTCAAAGCCAGTATGGTTCACTCTGGGCCTCTCTGCCACAGTCACCTCTTCCTCTGACTCTGCGACCTCCCTCTTCCACTGCTAAGGACCTCTGTGATTACACTGGGCCCACCTGGCTAGTCCAGGCTAATCTCCCTTTCCACTGATTAGAAATTTTAATCCCATCTCCAAACTTAGTCCCCCTCTGCCATGTAATCTAAGACATTCAGAGATTCTGGAGATGGGGATCTGGACATGTTTCGGGAGGGCAGAGCATTATTCTGCCTACTTCAGGTCCAAATGTCAACAGTGCCAAGGCTGAGAAGTGCTGATTTCAAAGGACACACATACACACACATACGTACACACACATACATGCACACCCATACACACACACACAGATGCACACAGGTAGATAGAGACACGAGGGGCATTTTTACACGTCAGAATACAGATGTACAACTCCACCACCTCCCTTTTTATGCCTGTACATTAACCTATTCTGTGGATATACCATGTTCTACTTAACTGCACGAAAGCAAGGCAGCACCACCAAACCCTCCAGCCTCATATTCAATCTAATTGAACTGTGGACTGAAGACAGTTGAAGACCGTCAAACCTCCACATCACAAACGGTTCCTCCAAGGCTGTAGGGATCTACTTGAGCCTTCATAATAGCCAACAGTAGCAGCCATATTTGCTGGGTGCTTTCTATGCCCCAGACACTGGGCTGGCACTTACATCTACTCTAATTCTCACATCAACCCTATTGGGTAGGAACCACTATTTCCCCCATTTTACCTATAAGGAAAGTGAGGTCTTGAAAGGTAACTTGCCTAGGACCCCAGCACTAATAAGTGGGATTGTGGGATTCAAACCCAGAGGGCCTGACTAGCAAGGCCTACACTTAGTTTATCTAAACCAGGGGTCAGCAAACTATACCCGCAGGCTCAATCTAGCTCACCGCCCATTTTTTATGTTCAGAAAGCTCAGAAGAATGGTTATTTTAAAATGATTGGAAAAAAACAAAATAATAATATTTGGTAACACATGAAAATTTTATGAAATTCACATTTCAGTGTATTACAGAAGTTTCACTGGAACACAGCCAGGCTCATGCATTTGTGTGCTATCTATGGCTGCTTTTGAGCTTCAACAGCAGAACTGAGTTGTTGCGAAAGACATCACCGTATGACCTGCAGAGCTCAAAATATTTGTTATCCAGCCATTTACAGAAAATGCTGGCCAACCCCAGGTCTCTATTAGTAACTCTTGCAGGATGTGGTGCAAACCTTGATAGCTAACTTTTTAGAATCACTTTGAGGATGGGTGAGGCTGGGCTGGAGGTGTATTTTCTCTTCCTCGACATTCTGCCTCATAGGCAAGCAGCAGCTGCCAAAATGAACAGGGGTGGCTGCCTCTGATAATTCAGTCCAAATGCGGAGGCACAGCCCAGTGCTGGTGACACTGGTGACAGGAAGAAATCAGAAGTTATGTCCCTCCTGCACCTACGCACCTCCATCCACTCACCTCCTCAAAAACACTGAAGTATTTTAATCACTGTTTGCTTTCTGGTCTCTACTGATAAACATATTTCGGGACAAGACCTAAATAAACACAGTTCTCTACCCAAGAGTTCAGCAACAATAAACATTTCAGGCTTGCAGACCATACTGTCTCTATGTAATGACTCAGCTTGCCACTGCAGCACAAAAGCTGCCACAGACATTGTATAAATGAACGGACCTGGCTGTGCCCCAATAAACCTTTATTTATGGACACTGAAATGTGAATTTTGCCTAATTATCGTACGTCATGAACTACTGTTCCTCTTTTAATGTTTTCAAGTATTTAAAAATGCCAAAACCATTCTGAGCCTGCAGCAGCCGCATTTAGCCCACAGACCAGAGTTTGCTGACCCCTGATCTATGTACAAGTGAAGTCCATTTTCCCATGAAACTTCAATCCTTTTTAATCACTTCCCAAATCCAAATTCTTCTTACTCAGAAGGGGGATTTCTACGTTTTCCCAACTTGCATTTCAGAGGTTGAGAGACGCTGGCTTTTCAAGACTTTTGCCAAATTGCTCCTTTTCAATCCTTTCAGCCATTCTGGGGCCTTGAGAGCAGGGGCTCATCTTTCTACCACCAAGAGCACCCCCAACCCAAGGATGGCAAATATGTGGCCGAGGCGCCAACACTAGCATCAAACATCAATGGCTCCCACTGCCTCTGGGCTCACAGGGCTGTTGGTTTTTGGTTTACAATTTCACATGAGAGATCACTGTTCTGCTGGCTTTTACACTTGCACACTGACTGATACGTCAATTAAAATGAAAAAATGAAGCATGGAGAGAATTTTTAATGAGCTCATTTTCAATGCTAGTTACCAGGAAATATCTGACGCATTTTTGAGAAATAAGACAGACTGTGACTAATCTACCAAGGATCTGAATATTGTATGTAGGGTAACAACATAAACATTACTGCATGCAACATGATTTGTATTCACAGTGAAATTACAGAGCCCACCCAGGGCTAGGCAGTGGATTTCATTCTGCTGGGAATCTGATTTTGTGCAACACTGTCACCTCCCGTTACAAGTGTTTACAAAATCCACCTGAGCCTCTGAGCCCAGTTTGGATGCAATAGTTTGATTTCATAGTGAGCTGGAGGACTACTGAATGAGTTTTTACTGTTTTATCTCATTAGATTAGCTGTCGTCTTAGATTTCTGGGAAGGAATCTAAAATCTACTTAATTGGATTTTTAAAATAAACGACTCTCTGAAACTTTAAAAATGAAGCAATTTGTTATACCTGCCACAAAGCAGTTTAAAAGCCGTAAGAGAGTTTACAGAACTCTAAAGGGATGTTATTGGGAAAAAATTGTTCCCATGCCTAACACTGAAAAGAAAAAGGATACTTAACGGGGGGAAATGATTCAACAGAAAATATTTTGGCAATGACGTGGGAAAAATAGATCTAATAGTTCTATACTCTGCATTATTTCCCCAAATGATGGTATTTTGCCCATGTATTTACAGCTTCTCTAGGACAGGGTTATAACATTTAATTTTTACTTTAAATGACAATAAAAGCCTTCTCAATCTTAACTTAATCTTGATAATATTATTTGAATTCCAGTGACTAAGATGAACAGTTACATTTTACCCTAAATTGAATTGAGGTTTATCGTTTTCCTGCACATGTAAGCTTACCCACGCAGCGTTTTGTTCGGTCAGTTGGCTTTTTCCCCTCTGGCACATGAAATGGAATCTATTTGCTATCCCTGCTCTAACCACGTGGCCTGTCTCAAAGCTCCACCACCGATTCTTGCTTATAGCAAAATCTGAAAGAAATCTCCCTTCTGCCACCAACCACCTCAACGGCCTCTCAGGCATTCCAAGTGCCTTATTCCCCAGCCTGCTCCAGTCACTCATGGTACCTGCTTGGACCTGGAGGCAGCTGAGTTTGAGATTTTAAAACTCATTTAAGCAGGCAAAAATATGTGAGAAATATTTTGCAAAATATTGCAATGCAGACAGTACATCCACATAGAGCTACTGCCTAAGGGAAAGGAGCTCAGGAGGAGTCCAGTTTACTGCTCTGGTGAGGCAGCCAGAGGCTAGGAGGAGCTGAAAAGCCACACAAAAAGTCTAAAGCAAAAGTGCCCAAGGCCAGGCCACACAATGTCAGGGGCTCCCTCCACACCTGGGCTCTGACTCAGTGCTGTGACTGATGGCTGCTGGGGAGGTGCACAGCGTCTGAAGACAGGTTGTGCAGGCTCCCTTCCAAACTAGGTCAGCACATTTGGACTTTGACAAGCTCATCCCCATAAAAACAGGTTGTAAATGTTAAGTTCTCAGTCCAACTTACAAGGACTCATTTAGCTCACAGATTATCTAAGAGACAGCCCTGGCAGGGGCCTATTGAGTTTTCTGAGCCACTCAGAAAAATAGTAAAAATAAAAACTAGTGGAAAAAGATCTAGGAGGTAACAGTGGTTCTTAACCAGAGCTACACATGACAGTCCTGGAGGCTCTGAAAATAATACAGGTGATGCCACTTATATGAAATGGCCAGAAAACGGGAATCTATAGAGGCAGAAAGTAGATGAGTGGTTGGCTTTGGGGGTGGGGGGAATGGGGATTAACTGTAAAGAAGTATGAAGGCTCTCATTTGGGGTGACAAAAATGTTCTACAATTGGGTTGTGGTGATGGTTACACAACTCTGTAAATTTACTACAAATCATTGAGTTCTACACTTAAAATGAGACATTTTTTGAAATATGTCAGACACAGAAAGATATATACCACATGTTCTCATTCATATGTGGGAGCCAAAAAAAATAACGTCATAAAAGTAGAGAGTAGAATTGTGGTTATTAGAGGCTGGGAAGCATAGGGTGGAGGAGAGATAGGGAGAGGTTAATGGATAGGGATAAATAATTATAGCTAGATGGGAGGAATAAGTTCTAGTATTCTATAGCACTGTAGGGTGAATATGACTAACAATAACTTAGTGTGTATTTTCAAAAATCTAGAAGAGGATTTTGAATGTTCACAATACAGGCACAAACGTTCAAGGTGATGGATACGATAATTATGCTGATTTGATCATTACACATTGTAAACATATCAGAATATCACTCTATATCCCATAAATATGTACAAACATTGCAGCCAACTAAAGATAAAAGGGGAAAATGGGTAAATTTTATGATCTATAAAATATATCTCATAGGTTGGGCACAGTGGCTCATGCCTGTAATCCCGGCACTCTGGGAGGCCAAAGTGGGAGAATCACCTGAGTCCAGGAGTTCAAGACCAGCCTGGGCAAGACAGGGACACCTCCATCTATACAAAAAATAAAAAACTTAGCCAGGCATGGTGGTGCACACCTGTAGTCCCAGCTACTCAGAAGGTTGAAGTGGGAGGATTGTTTGAGCCCAGGAGGTCAAGACTTCAGTGAGCCACGATCGTGCCACTGCACTCCAGTCTGGGCATCAAAGCAAGATCTTGTCTCAAAAAAAAAAAAAATTAAAACAATTAGCTGGGCATGGTGGTGAGCACTTGTAGTCCAGCTACTTAGGAAGCTTAGGTAGGAGGGTCATTTGAGCCTGGGAAGTGGAGACTGCAGTGAGCCAAGATCACACCACTGCACTCCAGCCTGGGCAACAGAGTGAGACCATGTCCCCCACAAAAACACAAATACACACACACCCCTCATAAGGTTGTCAAAAATAATAATACTGATGCCTGGACCCCAACCTAAAACAAATGAATTAGAACCTCTGGAGGTGGGGCTTGGCTTTTTTTTTTTTTTTTTAGCTCCCCAGGCAATTCCCAAGCAAAGAGAACACTGAGAACTGCTGCAAGGAGAAGGTTCAGGTAGCAACAGCTGGCAGGTGGCAGAACGAGCAGCAGGACAGACTAGAAGGGTAGCAGCCATAATGCACTGCAGCACCATAGTCTCCAGGGTCCCTGTGTCCTAGGCCATAAACACATTTCAGAAGGAGCTGATGTGCATGATTCACAACTGGCTTTACGCTGCGGCCTTCACAGACAGAGTAAACTCAGTTGTAAAAAACAGAGTGATACCCAATTCTAAGTTTCACTCTCAGCAAAGGATAAGAATGTAGGATACAGTCAGAACTAAGAGTTAGGGCTCTGGAGTCAAACATACCAGACTTTGAAACCCAAGGCTAGACGTTCACATGTGCACCTTACTAAGAAACATTTCCTCCACTGTGAAATAGGAATAATTATAACCATAAAATTATAATAATGATACCACCACCATAGTGGTTGTTTAGGAACACCATCTCATGTACTTCATTTAACGTGTTTCGTGGCACCTAGTGAGGGTTCATGGAGTGTTAGCTGTTCTGAGAATTACAACAAATAATAACAACCTTCAGATAAATCCCAAGTCTTATCTAAGAATGACCTTTCCAAATTTATCAAGCTGTTCTAGCTTCTCTCTGGAAGAAGTCACAGTCGAGCCTGGACCACACAAAAACAAAAAGCTAGTCAGAGTTAGAGCAGGAGTAGCGCAGGACGTTCAATTAAAACAAAGGGTTGGTTGTGACAACACCGTGTGGGATGGCACCAAAGAGAATCACAGGCAAACAATAAACAGAAACTCAGGGACAGAGTACGTGGAGAGTTAGTAAACCCTGCATCAGAAGCTAACATCTTAAGCTGCTGGGCTTCCCACCACTGCTAAGGAAGCTATAGAAACACCTGCACCAGCAGATCTCAGCTGAGCATGCATTCACAGAGAAGCAAAAGCAAGTCTCCAAGTATAAACCATCCATCCGAGGATGGACTTACTTCAAGAGCCTCAGATTTTAGATATTTGTTCATTCAGACGGTATTTACGGAGTTCCCACTAAATGTCAGGAACTGAGAAAGAAAAAAGGAGACAGAAATGATACAGTCCCCACCCTTGAGGAGCTCATGAGAAAAAAAGGTCTCATCCTTAATGAAAACACTTTGGGGGCACAGATAGAAGAGTGATTAACTGTGTGGCCAGGAAAGCAGGGAAACAGTCCAAGTGGACCTCAGATAAGTCAGGCATGGGGAGAAAAGGTTTGGGGAGGAGTGTGTACATAGTAGGGTACAGAACAGGAGGTGGAGATGTGGCTGCAGAGAAAGGCTTTGCCTGCCATGGAACTCGGGGGCAACAGGGAGCCACTGATGGTTTTTCAGTAATGGAATGGCAACAGGTTTGAGTTTCAGAATGAAAAGTAGAATAGCAGGATGGAAGTAGGAACTCCTGGAGCCCTCTGTGGATATCTAGACGAGAGACAAGAACACAGACCCAGAGCCCAAATAGTCATCCTGGCCAATGACACATAGCTATTTTTTCTTTTTCTTTTTCTTTTTTTTGGAGACAGAGTCTTGCTCTGTCACCAGGCTGGAGTGCAGTGGCACAATCTTGACTCACTGCAACCTCCACCTCCCAGGTTCAAGAGATTCTTGTGCCTCAGCCTCCCGAGTAGCTGGGACTACAGGCGCACGCCACCATGACCGGCTAATTTTTGTATTTTTAGTAGAGATGGGGTTTCACCATGTTGGCCAGGATGGTCTCGATCTCCTGACCTCATGATCCGCCCACCTCGGCCTCCCAAAGTGTTGGGATTACAGGCGTGAGCCACCGTGCCTGGCCCAACACATAGCTATTTTAACAGAAAGAGTACAGTAGAATCTGACTATAAACTACCAACTTGAAAAAAGTACAAGAAAAATTCATAAATACAGTACTCCTGTTCAAGAAAGTAATCAAACATAGAAACTGGAATTGGTGGATCATAACATGTAATCAAAAAAGTTTCTGTTACCGTTTATTTATTTTTTAGAGATGGGGTCTGTCACCCAGACTGTGGAAAGCAATGGTGCGATCGTAACTTATTTTAGCCTCCAACTCCTGGGCTCAGCAATCCTCCTGTCTCAGCCTCCCAAGTAGCTGAGACTACAGGCATACACCACCACACTCATCTAATTTTTGTATTTTTTTGTACAGACAGGTTCTCGCTATGTTGTCCACACTGGTTTCAAACTCCTCGCCGCAAGTGATCCTCCTGCCTCAGTTAAAATCCTTTTTTTGGAGACAAGGTCTAAAATCTTAACGTGCTGGCATTGTAGGCATGAGCCACTGTGCCCAGCCAAAAGAGTTTCTTAACACCAAATTTCCAATACTAAAATTTAAAAAAAAATTAATAGTAATATTTTGCATTTATACATTATTTTCTGTTATGAAAGCACTTTTACCTATATTATTTCATTATAATAGGTTGGTGCAAAAGTAATTGTGGCTTTTCCCATTAAAAGTAATGGGCAGCCGGGCATGGTGGCTCACGCCTGTAATCCCAGCACTTTGGGAGGCCGAGGTGGGCGGATCACCTAAGGTCAGGTGTTCAAAACCAGCCTGACCAACATGGTGAAACCCCATTTCTACTAAAATACAAAAAAAAATTAGCTGGGCATGGTGGTAGGCACCTGTAATCTCAGCTACTCAGGAGGCTGAGGGAGGAGAATCACTTGAACCCAGGAGGCGAAGGTTGCAGTGAGCTGAGATTGCACCACTGCACTCCAGCATGGGCAATAGAGTGAGACTCTGTCTCAAAAAAAAAAAAAAAAAGTAACGGGCAAAAACATGTACCCATACAGGGCAATTTTTATTATCCCTGTTTCGTGGGTGTGCAGGCAGACACCCATTAAGTGAATTACACAATGTGAACCAGTCTTTGAACCTTCAGAAAGAGTACCTTCGAGGCCATGGACCAAAGTTAAATTTCTCTTAAATTTGCAAGCTATGTTCTGACCCTAACTCCGCCACAAACTAACCATAGCATCTAAAAATACATCCCTTAACCTTTCTGCCCCTTACTTTATTTATATTTGCATCAACATTCTCACAGGACTTTTAAGAGACTAGAACAAAATAGCAAAGGAGGGAACATTTTGAAACCTTCCAAACTGGGCTTTGCAAACGTAGGACTGTAACTCCAAAAATGACAAATGTTGCACGGTTTAAACAGGCATCTAGTGCTGAAAATCTGAATAATGGTGGCTCCTCTGGAATTCTACAATAAACACACGTCACAGATGTGGCCCAGGAAGTTCCATGCTTAGCGTGGTGCACAAAATGAAGAAAAAATAGTCACCTGGAAAGTCAGGGCGAGGCAGTTTTTGAGGGATGATGGTAGATTCTGGGTGGGGAACACCCTAAATCTCCACTTGCCCTTTTCTAAGGTCAAAGAAAGGAGTGCCTGATGGATGAAAGGACACTGTAAATACCTTAAAACAGAAATCTGATTGCTTTTTAATGAGGTGTTTTGTCAAAAAAGCTATTCAGGATAAGTAAGCCTTAACTGAGTGGAGCTACACAGCCCATCAACAAATTCAACCACAGGCTGGTGTCATGCATACTTTGCACTAACTTTTCATTTGGTTAGTCACTGAACAAATATTTTCGGGTTCCCTTCCATGAGCCATCATGAGTAAGATAGGGCCCCTGCTCTGCCAGAGCTCAAGGACTATCAAGGAAAATAAGCCATTATACTCCAGTGCAAGGACGGTTCCAACAGGGAAGTGCAGGGTCCCTGGGAGTTGTCACTATCACCACAGCCCACATTTATTGAGCTCATATCACATGCTCAGCACTGTTCCAGGTGCTTTGCAAGAACTGAACTCTACGGGATAAGTATTATTACCCCCGTGTTACAGAGGAAGAAACTGATGCACCCAGGGAACTTAAGCGATTGCCCAGGGTTTCCCACCTAGGCTCTGAATCTCGGCAATATTACTTCAGGGACCCTGTTCTTAACCACCTAATACACACTTTACTTGTATTAACCCACCTAATCCTCAAGACAACCATGAGACTGATACCACTATTATAACCTGTATTAGTCTGTTCTCACATTGCTAATAAAGACATACCCACGTCTCTGTAATTTACAAAGGAAAGAGATTTAATTGACTCAGTTCCGCAGGGCTGGGGAGGCCTCAGGAAACTTACAATCATGGTGGAAGGGGAAGCAAACACGTCCTTCTTCAAATGGCATCAGCAAGGAGAAATGCCGAGCAAAAGGGGGAAAAGTCACTTATAAAACCATGAGATCTCATGAGAACTCACTCAGTATTACTAGAACAGCATAAGGGTAATGGCCCGATAATTAAATTACCTCCCATGGGATCCCTTCCACGACACGTGGGGATTATGGGAACTACAATTCAAGATGAGATTTGAGTGGGGACACAGCCAAACCATGTCATACCCATTTTAGAGATTTAGAAACCTAGGCACAGAGAAGCACATTAAATTGTTGCGGGTTACAGACATGACAGGAGGGGCCTGAATGCAGACCTGGGATATCAGAAAGATATCCTGAAACTGGTGATGGCTTCTGAGACCTACTGGATGAGTTGGAAACCCAGAGGCTGGATAGTACAAGAGCACCCAGGTCAGGGAGAAGAGAGGGAAGAGAGAGCAGGGAGGAGCAGAGGCAGGTGACATGGCTGGGGGAGAACCCCACCCCATTTAAGCTCAGGTACACGGGATCTGCTGAAGATTGTGAGCAAACTTATTTGCTGAATACATAAGTGACTAAATGAAAGTTTTCAGTATCTGGGCCTTGTACTGAGTAGGAGCCAGCGGCAATCCACCACCAGGGTGGGCAGGAGAGCCAAGGGCCAGCCCAATTCTAGGCCATCAGGTGTGCGAACCAAACTGAAGGACTGCGGAAAACACGGAAAGGAACTCTGCCGGACTCTGGGCCTTCAAATGAGTACCAGGCAGCAAATGTAAAAAAAAAAATCTTCAGAAAGGCTGTTACATGCATTTAAACAAAGGAAAACCAGGCTTGGACAATGAACCAACAAATAAAACTGCACTCACTTTACTTCTCTATAGACCAACTTTTTCTTCTCTTTTTTTTAAGAGACCAAGGGCTTTGCTATGTGGTCCAGGTTCACTTCAAACTCTTGGGCTCAAGCAATCCTCCCGCCTCAACCTCTCCAGTATCTGGGACTACAGGTGCAAGCCACCTACTTCTTCATAAGTACACCAGGGATTTCAGCACAATGGTTTTTAACTTCTAAGACTTAAAAAAAATTCCCAACATTTCAGTGAATTTTATTTTTTTGGGGGGGGAGGGAAATAAATATGTCTTCAGTCAACCATCTTAACTAAAATGTCTCCCATAACGTCTTAAATCCCTCTCTGCACTGAAGAATCTTCCTATCATCAATAATTTCAGGAACCTACCAGTGGAGTAACAGTTAAATTTGTTGTGCCATAACATGTTATTATGATAGTTGTATTCCTAAGAATTTACCAATGCTCATATTATAAAATCAACTGATCAAATGGCAGGAGCGAGAGTCTTCTGGGGATGGAGCATTCATAAAAAAATTTCTTCAGCGTTACCAGGCAAATCTAGCATTTCATCATATCTGGACATTGCTCCAACAGGATATTGGTCTTTTGTTATCATCAGAAGCACTCTTAGTAATGAGAACATCTTATGCATGCACATCTCCTTTGCCACCCACAACTCGGAAAGCAGAACAGAAAAACACCCACTAAAGCATGTTCAGAAGGTGCCCTCCCTCTACCCCAAGCAAGGTGCTAGCTCCTTGTAGGTGGGTGAAGTGGCTAAGAGCAAATATGCAGGGAGTCAAAGCCCCGTTCACCACCTAAGAGCGGGGTAATCTCTGTGTCTCCATTTCCTTTCCCGTAAAAATGGAGATATTAAGAATATCTAATTTACAGATTGGAAAGATTGAAAGAGATAATATAAGCAAAGTGCTGATTCCTAGAAAGCTCAAAAAATTCCTGGCATGGTGGCTCACACCTGTAATCCCAGTACTTTGGAAGGCCGAGGCAGGAGGATTGCTTGAGGCCAGGAGTTGGAGACAAGCCTGGGCAACATAGGGACAACCAAAAAAAAAAAAATGGTTTTTGTTCTGTCTAGAATATGGAGAAATCATGTCACACAAGTTACTCAATCTCCCTGTGCTTCTGGTTCCCACCTATAAAAGGGATAACACTATACTGACTTCACAGGGTCTGGTGGGTATTAAACAAGTCAATACACAACTTGGACTAGCGCAAGGTGCCCAGTACACATCCAGATGCATATTCTCTGTCATTAGCACTTGGACTGGTGCAAGGCGCCCAGTACACACCCAGACACATATTCTCTGTCATTAGCACATGGACTGGTGCAAGGTGCCCAGTACACACCCAGATGCACATTCTCTATCATTATCACCTGGACTGGTGCAAGGCGCCCAGTACACACCCAGACTCATATTCTCTATCATTAGCACTTGGACTGGTGCAAGGCGCCCAGTACACACCCGGACACATATTCTGTCATTAGCACTTGGACTGGTGCAAGGCACCCAGTACACACCCAGATATATATTCTCTGTCATTAGCACTTGGACTAGTGCAAGGCACCCAGTATACACCCAGATGCGCATTCTCTATCATTATCACAATTATTTCTTTGGCAGATCCCTCTGGCTGCAGTGTGGAATATGTGAGGGAAAGATATGCTGCCGGGTAGGGAAGCCATGGAGGAGAATCTGAAGAGTCCCCAAAACACGAGATCCAAGTGAGATGGAGGACAGCCCACACTAAATAGTGGGTAGGTAGAGCAGGGCACAGAGAGCCACTGCAAAGGAGAAAGGAACAGGACTCGGTGACTTGGGGGTGGACAGGAAGTGAGGGGGAGGAGCTGAGGATGACCACCAGGTTTCTGCCTTGAGGGACTGGCTGGACAATGTGTGTTTTTCCTCACCAAAAGAGAAACACTGGGAGGATATGAAGGTACAATGAGGTCAGCTCTGGAAATGCTGGGTGAAGGGACCTGTTGAACATTCAGGTGGAGATATCCAGTTCCCTTTTTTCTAGATGGTTCTGAAGCACAGAAAAGACATCTGGTCCAGAAACGAAGAGCCTGCTGTGAGGACCAGCAGCAAACACGGATCTGGGGGAGTTCATGCAGAAGCAGACCCTGCAGAGAAGACGGAGGCTGAGGATGGAGGCCCTGGGACACAGCGGAAGGAGAACCAGGGCAGGGGACAGGATAGGAGTCCCCAGGGAGGGCAGGGAAGAAGCCAGGAGCGAGGTGCGGGTGAAGCATGGATGAGGGACTGGCTGATGATGCAAACTGGGCCCCGGGCACAGGGACGTCAGGGACAGGAAAGTGGGAGGAGAGGGTCCTGGGAAGCCAAGACGCAGAGCGTGGATGACAGAGGAAGACGCAAAGCCCCAGAAGGAAGGGGAGGGCTGAGAAAAGCCTGACCATGAGGAGCAGCCAAGAAGAAACAGGCAGCAGATGGAGGGAGGTGAAAGGTGCATGGCACAGAGGGGAGGCTGGCAAGGCAGCGCCCAGGACAGCGGCACAGGTGGCGGGGCCTTGGACAGAGGGTGGGGTCCAGGCAGGTGGGTGGTGACGGCAACCATGACCACGGGTCAACCTGGGCCTCAGACACTGGGGAAAGGTGGCCATGTCCAGTTTTCTTAGGAAATTAGGAGGCAGGTCATCCAAGGAGAGAGGGTGGGTGTCTGGGGTAGGGTGAAGTAGGTTTCAGAAAAGTGAAAGTCTGGCAAAAGCACTCAGGAAAACGGGACAGAAAACTAAGCCAAGCGCTGGACGGCAGCATTCATTCAGCCCAGCTGAGCTTGGAGGCCATGAAATGCTGGCAGCCCCACACTGCACGACTGCAGGGTCTTTCTGGGCCACGCCCCGAATCCCAGGTATGGAAGTGAAGGACCCAAAAAGAGGAATGAATCAGGCTATTATTCCGCAGAACAGGTGAAAGAAAAAGGCCAGGTAGACAGAGCCTTGGAAGTCAGTCACCCACATGCCTGACCCCATCAGAGAAGAAAGGGGACCAAGCCAGGGCGGGAGGGACTGTGTGGGAAAGAGGAGGCTGAAAGGAGGAGAGACCGCGGGCAGAGGTGGACAAGGGACCAAGGTGAAGACCTTTGAGGTGCTTCTTGAACCACAGTGGCGAATGTCTTTCTGGACAAGAGTGCCAGTGCCCACCGCCATCACAGGACACAGCCCCATCCACACTCCCGGGACAGCAACATCTCATTGTCCCAAACTCTGCCAATTTCATCAGTGAAAAGTGGAGCCTGGAAGCTTTGCATTTCTTCAATGACTTCGAATTTTTTAAAGTGGTCTCACAGATTTCCTGGTCATCGGTATTTCATCTGAGAAGTTTCTGTCTGTGATATCTGCTCATTAGAGCGGAGTTCTTAAAATTACTAGAGAGCTTTATACATTCAGTATATTCACCTCTGTAGTGGTTGCTCTCAGTTTTTTCCAATTAGTCATCGTTTTAAATTTAACTTTGATATAATAAAACAGACAGAAGTGTAGTTATTATGTGGTTAAATCTACAGGTGTTTTATTTATTTATTTATTTATTTATTTATTTTTTAGAGATGGGGTTTCACTCTGTCACCCAGGCTGGACTGCAGGGGCACAATCATGACTCACTGCAGCTCCGGCTCCTGGGCTCTAAGGATTCTTCTATCTCAGCCTCCTGAAATAGCTGGGACTACAGGGGTGTGCCACCTCACCCAGCTAATTTTTCCAAAATTCCTTTTACAGACACGGGCCTCACTATGTTAATCAGGCTGGGCTCAAACTCCTGGCCTCAAATGACCCTCCTGCCTCGCCTCCCTAACAACTGGGATACAGGTGGGAGTCGCATGTCCCACCTACAGGCTATCTTTTATTGTTCTTTCTCCACATTTTTATGCCAAAGCATGCAGTACTTTCCACAATAAGCTATATTTTCTTGTATTTATTTTGTGGTTTTATTTTTTACATGAAAGCTTTAACCCATTTGGAATGTATTTTGGCATAGAGCAGTGAAGTGAAGGCTAACCTGGCTATTTTCCCCAGTGCTGACCTGCTGTGTCACACTGTATGTCCTCACTGTCTCATGACGCCTCCCTAGCACACACCACCTTCTTAAACACAGCAGAGCTTGCTCCTGGTGGTATCAGGAGCCGTTTCTCACGTATAGGAACACAGCAGAGTGGCTGATTGGACCAAGGTCACAGACACAGCGAGTAAACAGTACAGACAGGATCTCAAGCCCTCAGACTCAAGTCCAATACACTTTTTACTACAATGCAACTGCCCCAAAGCAGTTTTACGTTGATTAAGCCCTTATCTAAAAGTTTTGAAAACTGAATTAACTAATCGCCAAGAAAGCCAATTCTTGAGGGAAAGTAATTTGATGATCATCAAATCCCATGACAGAACACATTTCTGCTTTGTGGGGGAAAGGCTCCCATCTAGAAAAAGCATGTATTTTGGACACAGGCAGAACAACACACACAGACGCACGAGGTGCACATCTGCAAATAACATTTCTCTAGAGAGCAGCTCCCAGCATGGGAACTGTAACTAAGCATTGCTTGGACAACTGGCAGGCTTTCTTGAGCTGCCGACCATGTGGACGGCTTTTCTTGAATCTTGGGGTTTTTGTCCATGCGCTTGAGGATGTCTGTGAAGTCCATAAGATTATAGGCAAATCTGTGTGTGGATGATTTTTTCTGGCAACGGGGGGGTTATTAAAACCTCTACCTAAATCTACAGGCAGCAAGGTTTCCATTCCTAAAGACTGCCCTGAGATTCAGAGGCTACAATTCAGTCTACTGCCTTGTGACCTGCTAACCACCTCTTCTTTAGAAGTGACATTAGCATACTGCCACATACGCTCCATTAAAACTCCTCTTACCATTTCTCAACTTTCTCCTCCAATTTGTTCCTAAATCTAAAGTGCATTGCAATTGTTTTCTCCATATAGTTGGACTACTACAAATTCAGCATTCTGCATTTAAGATCACCTGCCAACCTCATGACACAAAACAGACACAGAATAAAGCTCAAATAGCAGACACACTAAAAGTTGTGTGGTTCGAAAATGAGGAGAACGTTGCTTGCAAACTTCCATTGGGAACAATTCATATTACAACACTTGTATTTTAGCAGGATTTAAATAGTCCTTATCATGTTCCTGAAATGTCCAATAAAGGTAGAATCATATGCCCTTTACACAATATTCCTATAAACATTTATACAGCTACACACTATTTTGGAGTCTAACCAATTAAATAAGGGATGAAAAAGAAATCATTGAACTAAATAGCAAAAGCAGAAATAGAAGCACAACACTGATAATATTATGTACCTAAAATAACAAAAATGATCAGTTGCATAGTTTAGTAAATAGGCACTATTCTCAATTTAAAAAACAAAAAAAAATACCTGGGAAGCATATAAAAGATTGTACACACAAAGTCATGTGCAATGCTCATCTTGTAGATATCAATTCTCAAAGTTTAGTTCACAGATTTATTAGGCCATAAAAACCTGGGTTTTATTTATTTTTGAACCTTTAGAGCCTAGCCCACAACAGGGACCCAATAAACATCATTTGAATAAATGAGTCCCAACTCAATCAAAATCCTAAATAATTTTTTCTAGAAACTAGAGAAGATGAGATGCCAAAACTCGCCTTTATACAAAAGTAAGAGAGATACTGAAAAAAGAATATTTATTATTATTTTTTAATGAGACAGGGTCTCTTGCTGGAGTGCAGTGGCAGGACCACAGCTCACTGCAGCCTTGAACTCCTGGCCTCAAGCGATCCTCCGGCCTCAGCTTTCCAAAGTGCTGGGATTACAGGCGTGAGCCACAAACCCAGCCTGAAAAAGAGTATTTGTAAGAGACCAGCTCTACCCAATTTAAAACATATTACAGATCAACAGTTATTAAACCATACTGATGCAGGCTAGGTGCAGTGGCTCATGCCTGCAATCCCAGCACTTTGGGAGACCAAGGTAGGAGGATCACCTGAGGTCAGGAGTTCAAGACCAATCTGACCAAAGCGAAACCCTGTCTCTACTAAAAATACAAAAATTAGCCGGGCATGGTGGTGGGCACCTATAATCCCAGCTACTGGGGAGGCTGAGGCAGGAGAATTGCTTAAACCTGGGAGACAGAGGTTGCAGTGAACCAAGATCGCACCACTGCACTCCAGCCTGGGTGACAGAGCGAGACTCCATCTAAAAAAAAAAAAAATGTTGATGCAAACATATACACACACCCAAAGCCATAAATCAATGGAATAGAATAGAAAGCCCAATAAAAGGTCAAAGAAAATATCACAATTATATGTTTCTAAAAAGGAATCATTGTAAAACAATGAAAAAGTGAAGAATTACTGTTCCCTATGTAAATAACATCTACATCAACCCTAACCTGAAGCTCCTCACCTCTTCCCTTGCTCTTTTCTTCAGCCCAAACATGGTGTTCAATGTTCTTCCCAGTCACCGCCCAAGGCTGCTGTCTTAGCCCTGCCGTCATCACCTCTCTGAGCCTACTGCAGTAGCTTCCTATCTGGGTTCCCTTTCCCTTCCTCCCTGGTCCTGACTCCATCGGCTGCCAGCTGACTTCCCACAGCACCAACTTTCTCAACCTTTTGCCGAAAAGAGTTCCCCAAGTTCTACCACAGTAGCCCTCAAACCATCATTCCCCCCTAAAACTGGAACAGAAGCTTTTCTAACGATGGACTTCCACAGATGACGACAGAAGCCAATCAACATCGCCTGGCTCTCAAAAGTTGGTGCTCCAGGCCATGGATGGCCTGTATTTTAGTCCTGCTATGTTGGGGTTGTTTGAGGATTATTATGAACCCCAGCAAGTACAAAAATGCAAAAGCAATGGGAGTATTAAACTGGTTCTGGCTGGGCGCGATGGCTCACGCCTGTAATCCCAGCACTCTGGGAGGCCAAGGCAGGTGGATCACCTGAGGTCAGGAGTTTGAGACCAGCCTGACCAATATGGTAAAACTCCCTCTCTACTAAAAATACAAAAATTAGCCAGGTGTGGTGGTGGGCAACTGTAATCCCAGCTACTCGGGAGGCTGAAGCAGGAGAATCGCTTGAACCCAGGAGACGGAGGTTGCAGTGAGCCGAGATTATGCCACTGCACTCCAGCCTGGGGAACAGAGCGAGACTCCGTCTCAAAAAAAAAAAAAAAAAAAAAAGAGGCTCTAACAGGAGATATACAAGTAAAATGGAAATTAGAGAAAATAATAAGTTACATTGTGAGAAATGATACTTGATATTCAATGTATAACAAAATTGTCTATTTGGGGCAAAGGTCTCCATCAGCTTATACAGGGCAAATAAAACAAGAGTATGCTAGCTTTAAAGCTTTTTTTTTTTTTTTTTTTTTTGAGACAGGGTCTCACTCTGTTGCCCAGGCTGGATTGCAGTGGCAGGATCTCAGCTCATTGCAACCTCTGCTTCCCAGGTTCAAGCGATTCTCGTGCCTCAGCCTCCCAAGTAGCTGGGATTACAGGTGTGCACCACAATGCCTGGCTAATTTTGGCATTTTTAGTAGAAACAGGATTTCGCCGTGTTGGCCTGGCATCAAATCTGCCTGCCTCAGCCTCCCAAAGTGCTGGGAGTATAGCCATGAGCCACCATGCCTGGCCTTAAAGCTTTTTAAAACTTGGAAGAACCAGCTGGGTGCGGTGGCTCACACCTGTAATCCCAGCACTTTGGGAGGCCGAGGAGGGCTGATTGCTTGAGGCCAGGAGTTCCAGATCAGCCTGGCCAACATGGTGAAACCCTGTCTCTACTAAAAATACAAAAATTAGCCGGGAGTGGTAGTGCACACCTGTAATCCCAGCTACTCAGGAGGCTGAGGCAGGAGAATCGCTTGAACCTTGGAGCAGAGGTTGCAGTGAGCTGAGACTGTGCTATTGCACTCCACCCTGGGTGACAGAGCAAGAATCCATCTCAAAAAAAAAAAAAGCTTTGAAGAACCAACTTACACCTTCTATTGGATGGAAATGCAACCAGGGGCTGTGAATTTAAATACTACAAATACTTAACAAATGGATCAGAAAATAGCAATCACTACCCAAGTGATTTGAAAATAGAAGAGCTGGAGAGAGTTGCTCCCCTGCTAAGAATCACATAATGGTTGCCTTTTTCCCAATTTACAAACAAAAAAAAAATATTAAGTTAAAGGATAAACTCTTCAAGTGTTAGGTTTCCCCTAGGACTATCTCTACCCTTGGAATTCTCTATCACCTGCCAGTTATTAAGATCACTCAAGGCCAGGCACAGTGGCTCACGTCTGTAATCCCACAACTTTGGGAGGCCAAGATGGGAGAGTTGTTTGAGGCCAGGAGTTGGAGACCAGCCTGGGCAACATAGCAAGACTCTGCCTCCATGAAAAAATTTGTTTAAAAATGATTGCTCACGTTACATGCCCAGCGGAGTCCTCACTGAACCCCCAGGCACATCTCAGAGACTCCCCTGCTTTGTGCCTGTGCCCACACTCCCTCCATCCAAGCACTCACTGTATCTGGTGAAGTAGAAACACTTCGGTGTATTTCCCCAAAGTACCGCTGGCCATGGTTTCAAATGGTCACTCCAGCCCAGGCATGTGAAAGTATCCAATGACCACGTGATATCCAAGCTGCTTGATTTATACATATTCACACTGACAGGTAACAGCTGATGGGTGCTTTTAATAATTTCTGTACATTTATTTAAGATTTATATTCATTTGAGCACCTGTTTACTTGGTCTGTGATTTCTAATTTAAACTCTTTAAGAAGTATAAATTTGGCCAAACCATGTGGAAGAACACTGAGTAACTACAGAAGAAATGCTAATGAAACATTAAAGGAGAGATCAAATTGACTACTAAACCAAAAGGTATCTCTGATAAGGAAGACGTCCAAAAAGAAGAGCTGTGGGAAAGGAGAGGAAGAGAGAAACATCTTGGGATAATCAAAAGGAAGTAGCCAATGCAAATAATCAATAAGCTGTAATTAACACAGAGGAAACACAGTCTCACAAGATGCATGGCTGAAATGAACTGAATATTGTTTGTTTTTGAGATGGAGTCTCACTCTGTTGCCCAGGCTGGAGTGCAGTGGTGCGATCTTGGCTCACTGCAACCTCGGCCTCCTGGGTCCAAGCCATTCTCCTGCCTCAGCCTCCTGAGTACCTGGGATTACAGGCGCCTGCCTGCCATGCCCAGCTAATTTTCGTATTTTTAGTAGAGATGGGGTTTTACCATATTGGTCAGGCTGGTCTCAAACTCGTGACCTCAGGAGATCCACCCGCCTTGGCCTCCCAAAGTGCTGGGATTACAGGCGTGAGCCACCATACCCAGCCTGAATATTGTTTTTATATCAAACATGCCTATTATTTTATTTGCTATAAATAATAGGCTCTACCTATTTAAAAGACAGTTTCTTATAGAAATCTTAGATTTTTTATAGAATCAGCTTTATCTTCTGAAACTTGTATTAAATCTGTACCTAGTCATGAATGTGCAAGGTTTCATCACTGTATCTGTTGAGGAACATATCTATGAACAAGAATGCTAACTTGTTTATATTAAAGTACATAAATACATCAAAGAATGGCATTAAGATTTCATTAACAGCACCTAAGATCTGCTAGAATAGATAAAACTGGTTACATTCAGATTATCTGTTTGTAGCTCTGTCTCCACATTCAAGTCCCCAGGGATCAATTATATTTTTAACCCCAGCCCCTATCATTTGACAGGTTCTCAAGAGACATTTGTTGAACTAAATTGGTAACTGAGCAATGAAACTGATAACTAAACGTTAATTCCATGACAAACAAATGACACATACAGAGAAAACTCATATAAAGAAATACAAATGTAAGAACACATTCATTTTGAACTTAGTGGAAAAAATTTAAATAGATAACAAATTTTTTAAGGACAATATCTAATGCAACTAAGGTGATGGTGAAATGTGATATTCATCATGTCATGCATAATGACACACATTATTGCGCAACATCACTTTCTGCACTACAAACTAAATGACGGCATTATCATCTTAGGAGACAACCTGGCAATACTGTCATGATATAAACATTAATTTCCTATAAATCTAGTGATTCTAACCTCTAGAGAATTCATCATGAAAAAGTAATTTAGAGGTGAGCAGCTATAATCATTAAAATGGTGACCGACCATGTCAAACAGAAGGTTGGGGAATTGTAGATACAATCCAGCTCAAGCCAGCTCAAGGCAGCAAAGCCAACTGGAAGACAAATTTGACTCCAAGTGAAAAATAATGAGCACCTAATTAAGGTAACAGGAAGGATGGCCTCTGGGAAGCAAAGATGAAGTCAACAGATAATCAAGGTCAGTTCCAGACCAGCCTGGCCAACATGGTGAAACTCTGTCTCTACTAAAAATTAAAAAAAAAAAAAAATTAGCCGGACATGGTGGTGTGCGCCTGTAGTCCCAGCTACTCAGGAGGCTGAGACAGGAGAATCGCTTGAACCCGGGAGACAGAGGTTGCAGTGAGCCGAGATCATGCCACTGCACTCCAGACTGAGTGACAGAGAGGGACTCCGTCTCAAAAAAAAAAAAAAAAAGAAAAAGATAATCAAAGAGGCAGAATTTCCAGTCTCCTCACCTGACTGAGATGATGGAGGAAAAAGAATGGGACTGACAGGTGACTAGGGAGGGTGTGAGGGCATTTAATGCCCTAGGGCAGGGGTCACATGCTTCTTATGAAGTGCCAGAGGATAAATACCATAGGCGTTGCAGGCCATATGGGTCACTGTTGCAACTATTCAACCCTGCCACTGTAGTGAGTGGCTGTGTTCCAGTAAACTTTTTCACAAAGCAAGCGGTGGGCTGGATTTACCCTGCAGGCCAAAGTCTCGTGACTCACAGACTAGAAGATAGAGGGAAATGAAGCCAATTTGAGGAAGAAGTTCATGGGTTCAATTTTATCAGGCCATGTCAGCAGAGATTTTTCAAGAGAGAGATGATAGCATCATTCTAGGGATAAAGAGACCCCAGGGCTGGAGGCATAAAACTGTCACCATGAGGTGATAGTTATGGGGCTGAGATCACCCAGGGGAACGGTCTGAGAAGAAAGGAGATCGAGGACATTTCTCTGTCGCAATATAACAGTGAATACCCAATGTTACTTCAGATCACTATGGCCCTGGAAAGGAATGAACATTACAATCTAACCTCTTTTAACTCCTACTTTTTAAAAAGAGGGCTCCTATTTTTGAAGTGGGGCTTTCAGTCCCTTTTCCAAGATAAATAAGTTTAAAGTTTCAAATTTACAGATGAAAATTTCCTAATGGCTAGAAAATAAGGCAATGCTAAAATAAAGTGCTTATCAACTTCTTTAGATTTTTATTATGAAATATTTTATGTGCAAAGAACATATAGTGTGTATGTAAAGCATAATGAATAACAATAAAGCAAATGCACCCATCCATATCTCAAGAAAGTAGTTCATTACGAATGCCACTGACAAATTACTTATTTAGAGACAGGGTCTCACTCCATCACCCAGGCTGGAGCACGGTGGCAGGATCACAGTTCACTGCAGCCTCGACCTCCCAGGCTCAAGCGATCCTCCCACCTGAGCCTCCCAAGTAGCTGGGGACTACATGCACATGCTACCATGCCTGGCTAAACTTTTTGCGTGTGTAGAGACAGGATCTTGCTATGTTGCTCAGGCTGGTCTCAAACTCCTGGTCTCAAGTGATCCTCCCACCTCAGCCTCCCAAAATGCTGAGATTACAAGCATGGGCCACTGCACCCGGCTCACTGACAACTTTTCATACCACAAGCATTAGTCTCTAAACTACAAATGAAAGCAGGCAGCCCACAGCCAGATAATGCTTTCAGATGTTTTCTTTGGCCAACAGTGGGTTTTTTTCTTTTTAGTTGCCAACATTTAAATATCAAGAAACTTCACATGAAAATCAGCATTCTGGAGTATCATCAAAAATGGAAGATGTAGCTTCACTACTCCCACGTTCACCATGGCAACAAGTGGCTAGAACTGAAGAGCAGCTCTCCCCTTTGAATGAACATGTATTCACCAGTTCACTGCAGTCCCCACATTCCCTACTGTCCTATACCCGCCTCCCATTTCACTTATTTATTTTACCCAACCTGGCACTTCGGTTTGTGACCCCTGCTTATGTGATTGTGGTTTCCAACCTTTGGGAATATGGGAAATATTATTTACAGTAAAAAAATTTAACAGACTCTCAATAGGTATATAACTAAAAGTAAGACAAGTCCACAATCCCTATCACCATTTTGTAATCCAAAAAGTTCTAAAAAACAAATCTTTTTTTGTAACTTATTTGGCAATAAAAGTTGACCTGAACTGATATTAAACTATGCATAATCTTCATGCATATCCATTCAGTGGGAATATATGTATATATATTTTGCTATACTAATGTTTGATTATGGGATTTTGTCCCAGACCCCACTGGAAGTATTACATAACAACAATATATGCATATTATTACTTTTAGAAAAATCTGAAAAATTCTGAATTCTAAAACTTATCTGGCCCAATGATTCCAGATAAGGGACTGTGGGCCTATTACACTTTTAATCCCTACCTTTAAGAAAATACAAACACAGCGAACAGATGAGAGTTTAACATTTTTACATGGATTTGTACTTCACTAGTTACTACAGCATCTACCTACACTTGAGAAACTGAAATAGAATGATAAAGGTGAAACATCCTGTGGTCTGACAAAAATGCACGGTGCACGTACTGACTGCAGCGCCCTAGGCCATAATCAAACTTGGAAGGTTTTGCCTCGTCCACTCTGCTACAAAGGCAATTCCATAATAGCGTAACATGCCGCTTACACATATAAAAATGATGCTAAATGAACATATCCTTTTATGGTTCAAATTTACAGATGAAAATTTTCTACTGGTTCATCATTTTTATGGTTTTAGAGTTCATTTCTTCCCCCCAGTAAAGAATGGATTTTCACTCAACTATAAATACTTCTGGATTTCTTAACATGTAAACTACATAATAAGGCCATAAAAGATGAGATTGAGAAGCTGCTGCAACGACAAGAGGACCTCTTTCCACCCTGCTCTATGGAGAGGTTGATGGAATCCACTCAGATTGAAGCAAAGCACACATTACCTATCCCTTCTCAGAAATACTGTTCAGAGTTCCCCTAGAAAAGGCAGAGTGGGCAGGCGTGGTGGCTCACGCCTGTAACCCCAGCACTTTGGGAGGCCAAGGTGGGTGGATCACCTGAGGTCAGGGGTTCAAGACCAGCCTGGCCAACATGGCAAAACTCCATCTCTACTAAAAAATACAAAAATTAGCCAGGCTTGGTGGCTCATGCCTGTAAGCCCAGCTACTCGGGAGGCTGAGGAAGGAGAATCGCTTGAACCCAGGAGGTGGAGGTTGCAGTGAGTCGAGATTGTACCACTGCACTCCAGTCTGGGCGGCAGAGCGAGACTCCGTCAAAAAAAAAAAAAAAAGGGTGGGGGGAAGGAAAGGTAGAGTGAAGATCAGTGGGAGGAAAAGGACACAGTGGAGTGGGTGAGGGATGCAGAATGTTACTGCTGGCAACGTAAGGATAAGGTTTGTGATCATCAAATACAGGCAGGGCTGACTCAGGGAAGAGAGATGAGATTCATTCAATTCGGCAGCAGGGGACTGTTCTGGGATCAGTAGGTAGAGACACATTTTGACTCAGTGTGAGAATTCACATTGCTGGTAGTGGATCCAACTACCTAGTGAGTGGTCCATTCTACATACCTCCTAGGAGTGGAAGACTCCTAGAGGTCATTAGATCTCTGTGATCAGAATTTATAGCTGCTGCAGAATCAGAAACCTGGGTTTGGGTCCACGGCTCTGTCTCTTGCGAGCTTGATGACCTCTTTGATCTCTGGCTTCCTCATCATTAAATCAGAAATAAGTAACATCACCTCAGAGGGTGGCTATGAGAATGCAATGAAATAAAAGTATGCAAAGCACCAAGCCCAGCAGCTTCATAAGCACAGAAGATGTTTAATAAACATTAATAAACACTAATCCTTCCCTGGTGAAGAGGCAGCCCAGTTCCTGTACTCAAAAGCACTTGGGAACCACAGGAAGAGGCCCTGGACCCAAGCCATGCCTCAGCCACTACTCAGTAACTGTGCAAACTTAGAAAGTCAGGTTTCTTCCTCTTTTTTTTCTTTTTTTTTTTGAGACAGGGTCTTGCTCTGTCACCCAGACTGGAGTGCAGTGGCATGATCTCAGCTCACTGCAGCCTCGACTTTCCAGGCTCAGTTGATCCTCCCACCTCAGCCTCCCAAGCAGCTGAGACAGGCAAACACCACCACTCCTGGCTAGTTTTCTGTATTTTTTGTAAAGACCGGGTTTCACCATGTTGCTCAGGCTGGTCTGAAATTCCTGGGTTCAAGTGATCCTCCTACCTCGGGCTCTCAAAGTGTCAGGATTACAGGCGTGAGCCACCCCACCCCACCCAGCCAGGTTTCCATCTTTGTCAGAGAGAAGTTATCATTGTCAGGAGACGAAATCCAAGCCAGGTGGTTTAGTACAGCACTTTGTAAACTAAACCACCATAGAAATGTTATAGACTGTTACTATCAGACCTTTTCAAGATTTTAGTAAAGAAAGGATGAGCTGTTTTTCAACAAATCCAAAGAACTGAAAACATCAGGGTAAGGTACAGGGGAATAAATGAAAAAGAGGGACTGTCAATTTCTGAGTCCTTCTAGACAAGCAGTTGGGTGATCCACAGAAATATTTTGTTCAGCTGCATATAGTGTCCCCGTAGTTTAATTTGGATTAAACGCCAGCTAGTTAAAATGCAGATTTCAGGAAAACTCCACAGGTGGTCCACACTGGGCCTACATTACCACAGCAGCCCCTTTGGTGGGACACAGTCCTCCAGGTCCCCTGAGGCCTTCACATGGCCCAAAGCACTGATTCATTTTACTGGCCTCGCCCTCTAGGCATTTGGGTTTACAACCTTGGGTTCTCAAAAAACAACTATCTGTGAAAGCATTCAGACCTCCAAGGGAAACTTCAGTCAGGGAAGAAATCAACACCCAAGGAGACACTCCCTATCAGAGCCTCAGTACTATGCTCTCCTAGTTGTCTCTCAAATTTTTTTTCTCCTTGATACTTCTGTAACTTCAAGGTCTTCATCCCAGTGTACTCCTTCCTCTACTCAAGACATCATCTCCCCAAAAACACCATTGGTGATGATCTGCATCTAAGGGTTTTCAAGAAACAAAACATCTCTCTTTTTAGCAGGGCTACAAAAGACACACCATGACCTTTATTTCTTGCCTGATTACCACCCATTACCATCCACTCTCAGTCCATATGGTTTGGGTGCGCTGACTCCAGTCCATTTCTGGGGAAAGGCATGTGACCCAGAAGCATTCAGAGCCAATCCTGGGACTCGGGCCACAGTGACTGCGAGATGAGTATTCTTTCCCTCTGAGACTTGGAAGATGTGGAAGTCTCCCAGTGGACACAGTGCCTACCTAAAGAGTGGAACCGAGGCCAGGCGCAGTGGCTCATGCCTGTAATCCCAGCACTTTGGGAGGCCAAGGTGGGCAGATCATCTGAGGGCAGGAGTTTGAGACCAGCCTGGCCAACATGGCAAAACCACATCTCTACTGAAAATACAAAAATCAGTCGGGCATGGTGGTACAGGCCTGTAGTCCCAGCTACTTGGGAGGCTGAGACGGGAGAATTGCTTGAACCTAGGAGGTGGAGGCTGCAGTGAGCCGCGCCACTACACTCCAACCTGGGTGACAGAGCCAGACTCCGTCTCAAAAAAAAAAAAAAAGAGTGGAACCCCCAGAAGAAGCCAAATCTGCAGCCACACTACTTATTAGAGGCTCTTTTGGTCACTTATGAGCCAATCAATTCCCGTCTTTGCTATGAACTGGGTTTTCTTACAACCAAAAGAGACCTAATCAATACAAGAGATATTTGAAATAAGGGCTTGAAAATGAAGGCAGAGAAAGGTGCTCAGATTTTCTCCTCTGGGAAGCTTTTGTTACCTCCCTCAATCCAATGACAGCTGGGTTTTGCTCTGTGCATTAGCCATCCCTCTTAAGCACTTATCTCATGTATATAATTATTTTTTGCCTGCCTACCTCTTCCACGTATCTCCTGAGCTCCCTCAGGGCAGAAACCATGCCCGTATTCACCTTTGATTCTTTAATACCCTGGATAACAGGACACAGTGTAGGCTCAACAAGTGTCTGTTGAATGCATGAATCAACAAAAGGCAGGTGGACTAAAAGAACCATCCTACTTCTCTTCTTTGGGACACTCACACCATGAGACCACCTCATAAGCCTTGCCCCTGTGAGTTTCAGGCCGTCTTCTCAAATAGACTTACCCACCCATCGTAAACAAACTGCATCATGCGAACTCATTCCTTCCAGGCATTACTAATTCTCTACAAGTCCCTCCCCTGGAACCTTACAGTGAAAGTACTCAAAGGTCTCCCTTCTGAGGAGAATATCTCACTGCAAGACACCACCTAGAATTCCACAAATTGATAAACCAAAACACGATGGGCATGACATTCACATATATAACTTCCTTCTCCACCTAGATCGCAGGGGCGAAAACAAAAAAACCCTTTGCTTTGTAGCCTTCATCTTGACCTAAAAACACCCAGAATCCTGATTCTGGGGCCAACCAACCACCTACTTCCAAGCAGTAACAATTCTAGGCACTCTCCAGCCTCCGTTTATCTTCCTTAGTCCTTTCTGATTACTTAAGCAGAAAACACATACACACACACATCTAGGAAATCAACAGCAAGGAAGCAACAGGTTTCCCAGTTAAAAACAGATGTTCTGACTTTGGGTGCATAATTGCCACACCCTTAATAGTTCTGTAATAGCTTCAGCTTCCACTGGCATCTAGCAATAAAGATTTTTAAAGACAGTCAAAGGTCAGGCCCAGAATTACAGCTCCAGCATGAATCACCATCTACTCTATCCACTTCATGTTTTCCCATACTCGGGCCCACACCACCAAGGCGATCTAGTAAGAACTCAAATACCAGAATTAACAATGTCTACTGCACCCTGGCCATGGGGTAGGAACCACAGCAGACCCTGGGAATCAAAGGAGACACAGCAAGGACTCTCAAGGTATTTATCTGATGGAGAACACACACAAGAGGCAGTCACAGCACAGAAAAGCAAGTGCTACACAGGATTACAAGAACGCCCAGGAGAGGCATCCAATCTATGCTGTAGCATCATAGAAGGCCTTTCAGAGGCAGAGGGACCTTTCCCAGAAGGCTGAAGAATGAGCAAGAGGTGCCTGGAGAAAAGGTGTGGTGGGAGAGGCTTCCAGGAGTTCCAAGTAGATGCTAGCAGGTAAGAAAGCAAGACCTCCTGTGGAAACTGAAGGTAGGCAAGCATGGCCGGAATTTTAAAATGTGAAGGTGCCAGGCAAGGTGGCTCACGCTTGTAGTCCCAGAACTTTGGGAGGCCAAGGCAGGCAGATCAGTTGAGGCCAGGAGTTCGAGACCACCCTAGGCAACATGGCAAATCCCCACTCTACAAAAAATACAAAAATTAGCGGATGTGGTGGTGCCCACCTGTAGTTCCAACCACATAGGTGGCTGAGGCGAGAGGGTCGCTTGAGCCCAGGGAAGTCAAGGCTGCAATGAGACAAGATCGCACCACTGCACCCCAGCTTGGGTGACAAAGGGAGACCCTGTCTCAAAAAAAAAAAAAAGTGTGAAGGGAGAAGCCTCTAAGATGACCCAGGAGTCAAAGAGACCCTAAATAGCTTGGTAGATTTAAGTCTCAGAACTTTGTATAAAAAGAGTGAAAGTCCCTTACCTGTCACGAACAATGTAAAAACAAGCCAAACGACTATTTGACAAATGTATCTTGGCACTTACTAAATACTAGTTCCACAATGCACGTTGCTCAGAACACTAACAAGGGTACGAAACTCACAAGAAATTATCATGTGCTTGTAAACTGTTCCTTGAAACATCAGCCGCCATTACCACACGTCTACCTTCCTCTCAGCATTATTTCTTTAATTTTCCTGCAAATAACAGAAAAGTAGGTTTGTCTGGGCTTTAGGGGCAGCGATTAACCCTGAAAATAAGAGTTAATTCTCACCACAATAATACGGTAGGGAATCGAAAAAATTAAACAAGGAAACTAAGCAAAAAGATGGAGGAAATGAAACAGTAAAAAGCAAATTTAGAAAACTCGAGAGGAAGTAAAAGTATTTTCATACACTCAAAAAAAAGAAGTGTCCCACGTGCTTCAGCCAAACCAAACTCCCCTTAACTGTTAAAAACAGAAAATCAAAAGAAGAGCTGTGAGAAATTCATACTTTCGTATCTCTTTGCTGAATAAACACTAAATCGGTACAGTACAGCCAGCTGCCCTGAAAGACCTTGAAATATTAGCCCCAGATAATACAGCACATGACAGTCACCTCCAGAAACTCTCAAAAACCACAAATCATTTCTTGTTCTGACAACCTGATCTACCAACTCTGGTCTAGCCTGCCATTTAATAATCAATAACGTTTCTTGTTAAGCACTTCAACCGTAGCAAAGGAAGATAAAGAAGCATTTGTTTCCAAACCTAAGGTGAGACTTTTTAAATTGGCGCAAGGCGTCTCCATAATCCTTTTCCGCCAATTCCTAATTTCTAAATGTCAAGAACTGGCAGCAGCAGTCCAGTTCCTAGGAGCCCTGGTTTTGAGACAGCACCACCTCCGAATTCCCTCAAAGGGCGTTCTGAACTCACTGAGCAAATCCGGCTGGCTTTCATGTCCCTCTAGCCATTTCTTGCCGCCATGCACTTACAGGAGAAGGACTCGCAAACAGCGGGAGCACCGGGAAAGCCTGGGACTGCCGCCCCCCACAGCACAGCGCTCGGCACAGCGTTAGGGACAGAAGTCACCGTTGTTGAGCCCAGGGCAGCGATCCCAGCTGGCTCGGCCCCCGGGAAGGGAGGAGAAGGACCGGGTCTACTCCCCGAGGGCGATGCTCCCGGGGCAGGGACAATGGGCAGGGGACCCCGCGGTGTGGCGGAGGAGGCGGCGGCCCTCCCCTGCAGGTCTCGGGAGCCCGGCGGCGCTGAGAGACAGGCGGGCCGCCTGGAGCGCGGCGCTCGGGCCTCAGCGCGGCGCAGCCCCCGGGCCCGTGCCCCGCTGGTCTCGGGCAGGGGCTGCGGCCCAGCTCAGAGCCGCCGGACCGCGGAGGAGCCGTCCCGCCCCCGCGCCCTCCGCCCTCCGCCCCCAGCCCCGGTGCGACCCCCGTGCTGCCCGGCGCACTCGCCTGCCCACGGTCTGGTTAGCCAGCTGCTTCATGCGGTTGAACTGCTTCTTCATGGCGGCGGTGGCGGCGGCGGCCCGCGGGGCTCGGGCCGGGCAGGGCGGGGGACAGCCTGGCAGCTACTACATCGCTTCCCGGCCCAAACGGCGGCGCGGCGGTGGCTCCCCGGGCCGGCGGCCCCGCCCTCGCCTCGTCACTTCCAGTGGCACCGCCCGCCCGCCCTCTAGGTCTGGCCGAGCCGAGCTGAGCCCGAGTAGAGCCGAGTCGAACCGAGCCGAGGCTAACAGTGCCTTACCTGACACGGGCGAAGAGCTAGAAGGCCCCGGGCGAGAAGACCACTAGGCCTCCTCCGCCTGGCCTCCCCGACCCCAACGCTGCCCGGTCACCCTCTCGTTTATTTCAACGTATGAAAAGCTGTTTCTAGCAGGGCGCAGTGGTTCAACGTTGTAATCTCAGCACTTTGGGAGGCCGAGGGGGCAGATCACTTGAGCTCGGGAGTTCGAGAGCAGCCTGGCCAACACGGTGAAATCCTGTCTCTACTAACAATACAAATTTAGCTGGGCGTGGTGGTGGACGCCTGTAATCCCAGCTACTCAGGAGGCTGAAGCAGGAGAACGGCTTTTACCCGAAAGGCAGAGGTTGCAGTGAGCCGAGATGGCGCCACTGCACTCCAGCCTGGGCAACAGAGTGAGAGACCCTGTCTCGAAAAAAAAAAAAAAAAAAAAAATTAAAGTCAATGTGTGTTTTCCTTAACACACGTGCTCACACACTCATGTCTTCCTGGTTTGGTGGCCTTGGCTCCAGGTAAGCCCCTTCTTTGCATTGGATGGGCAGCAATGTGGCTTCTTTCATCAGCCACATCTCAAATGTGCTCCTAAATGTCATAGAAAAAGGAAAGAGCTCCCTAACTATGGGATAAAGGAGACTGATGCCAGTTTGGAATTCTTAATATCAAAGAATGAGGGACTTCAAGATCTTTTTAGTGACCTAGGAGAGACCTAGGAAGCATCAGAGCTTCAGATAGGGCAGCAAACTAAAAGTTATCGACATCAATTACAACAGAAAGAGGTAGAAATGAGCCTTCCTAAAACAAGAAAGCAAGCACTACAGGATCGGTTGCAGGACCGGCAGCCAGCCCTGGAGTCAGCACATTCAGGGAAGGCCGGAGGTTCCCATCCACACTGCATCCCCTCCATTCCATGTGGTACCCATCATGCTTCAGTGTTCCACGACGCTTACATGGGTTTTTATGACATAATTTCATCATAACAAGAAATAAACAGATAGTCCAATGAAGTTCTAAAACTTGAGTCTCCAGTTGGCCATTGGAAATGTATTGCTCAGACTTATAAAATAGGAGGAACAACTAGTTTTGATGAAAATGAAATCTACAAACTACAAACACCAAATATTAATATCATCAAGGAGCTCAAACAAAAAAGAAGTCAGGATACTGATGACCATCAGCTTGAATTATCAGTATTACAGAATGTTCATCAACAGAAATTGAGGGAAATAAGTTGTAAGCATCAAGAAAATCTAAGCAATTAGGAAGAAAAGATTGAAGAACTGGAAAATTTGTTACAGCAAGGTGGCTCAGGAATTACAGTACATGATCTCTCTAAACTTCAAGAGAAGGAAAACACTATTCATGCAAGCTCTACAAATTGAAAAAGTAGAGTCTACCAAAAAATTGAAGAATTTGAACATAGAGTAAAAGACAAATAAAAAATTATCTTCTGGGGCCAGGTGCAGTGGCTCACACCTGTAATCCTAGCACTTTGGGAGGTCAAGATGGGAAGATCACTTGAGCTCAGGAGTATGAGACTAGCCTGGACAACATACTAAAACCTCATCTCTATGAAAAATTTAAAAAAAAAAAAAAGGCCAGAAGCAGTGGCATGCACCTGTACTCCCAACTAGTTGAAAGGCTGAGGCAACAGGATCATTTGAGCCCAGGAATTTGAGGCTGCAGTGAGCTATTATCACACCATTGCACTCTTGTCTGGGTGACAGAGTGAGACCCCTAGCTGAAAAGAGGCTATTGGAAGAAACAACTCTGAGAAAACCATGAAAAGATTGTCCACTGAAGCTAACCTGGAGAGCTCTGCCTTACAGCTAGAGCAAGAGTGTGTAATTAAACTCAGCCACGAGAAAGACTCTGAAATGTCAGCACTCAAAAAGAATATTGAGGCTGGGTGCAATGCATCACACCTGTAATCCCAGCACTTTGGGAGGTCGAGGTAGGTGGATCACCTGAGGTCAGGAGTTCAAGACCAGCCTGGCCAACATGGTGAAACCCAGTCTCTACTAAAAATACAAAAATTAGTCAGGCGTGGTGGCGGGCGCCTGTAATCCCAGCTGCTGGGGAAGCTGAGACGAGACAATCGCTTGAACCTTGGAGGCAGAGGTTGCAGTGAGCTGAGATCTGGCCTCTGCAGGGTGGTCCAGCCTAGGTGACAGGGTGGTCCAGTCAAGGTGACAGAGACAACGTGACAAGGTTACTGTCTCAAAAAAAAAAAAAGAATATTAAACAGATGGACACTGACCATAAAGAAACTAAAGAAAAAGTGCTCCTAAATTTACTCCAAGAGATTGAAGAGCTAAGAAAATCGCTGCAGGAAAAAGATGCAACCATTAGATCCCTCCAAGAAGACAATCAGAGACTGATTTGATTTTGTCATCTAGTTGAGAAGAGCAGAAGCAATTGACACAACTTATAAGAGAGAAAGCAATTTTTTTAAAAAAAAACTTAAAGGAAGTTCAGAGCTTCCAGAGGAATTATTATACTAAAACCTTAAGAAAGAAAGAAAGAAATTTCATAGCAAACCATAGAGGAAAAAGACAGATGTCTTGCATCCATGAAAGAAAAAAAAATCTGATAGAAGAATTGAAATGACTCAGAGGACAACAAAGTCTAACTGCCCCTGTGGCTGAGCCTAGAATGGTAGATACTATTATGGTACTAGAATTGGAGATATTTCAAATGAAAATAATCAAAGGTAATCTTGAGGAGGGAATAAAGTATCATCAAAATATATTTGAAGGTTGGGCATGGTGACTCATGCCTATAATCCCAGCACTTTGGGAGGCCAAAATCACTTGAGGCCAGGAGTTCAAGAAATCACTTGAACTTTGGGAGGCCAAAATCACTTGAGGCCAGGAGTTCAAGACCGGCCTGGCCAACATGGTGAAACCCTGTCTCTACTAAAAATAAAATTAGCCAGGTGCGGTGGAAGTGCCTGTAGTCCCAGCTACTCTGGAGGCTGAGGCAGGAGAATCGCTTGAACCCAGGAGGTAGAGGTTGCAGTGAGCCAAGATCGCACCACTGTACTCCAGCCTGGGCAACAGAAGAAGAATCCGTCAAAAAAAACAAAAACAAAAACAAAAAAGACTGAAGAGGCCAGGCACAGCGGCTCACGTCTGTAATCCCAGCACTTTGGGAGGCCGAGGTGAGTAGATCATCTGGGGTCAGGAGTTTGAGACCAGCCTGGCCAACATGGCAAAACCTTGTCTCCACTAAAAATACAAAAATTAGCCGGGTGTGGTGGTGGGTGCCTGTAATCCCAGCTACTCAAGAGGCTGAGGCAGGAGAATTGTTTGAACCCAGGAGGCACAGGTTGCAGTGAGCCAGGATTGTGCCACTACACTCCAGCCTGGCCGACAGAGCAAGATTCTGTCTCAAAAATAAATAAATAAATAACCATAATTGAAGAGCAAACACAGAGTAAGATGCAACTGCTTCAGTCTTTAAAAGAGGAGAAAAAAGTAGGAAATGGATGATTTTTAAAACCAGCACAAGCAAATGAGTATCACATACACCCAGCTCTTTTCAGTAAAAGGTGAAGAAATTAGGAATTTGCAAAACACAATAGGAAAAGAATCAAAACCCAGCTGCATGAAACAGGACAAGACATTAAAAGACTCTGAGCCATTTTTCAAGCAACAGAAGTTGAATGTCCCAATATAGAAAGCAGAAGTGAAACGCATAGTTTATTTAAATCTGAAACTGAAAGATTAGTGAAAGGAATGAAAGAGCAAGAATTGGAGATTAATCCTGAATCAAGGACCAGAGGGGGAAAGAAAGAATTGGAGAATAAATTTATAAGTAAAAATAATATGACTTTAAACAGATGGATCAGCTGTCCATCAATGGGGTTGGTCAGGAAGATACAGAGGTGCAGGGCCTTCAGGCTAGAACAGCTTCAGCCTCTGACACCCAGGGCGTTGCTCACCTTCAGCAGCAACTGCAAGCACCTGCTTTGGACAGAGAACAAATACAGGCTGTTTGGAATAAGGCAGCTCAAGAAAATAGCTGTCTCAAAAAGGAAGATCACCAAACAATGGATATTATTGCTGGTAATGAAACAGGCCCCCATAAGCTGCAAGAGGAAAATAAAAAACTGTCCACTAGTAATGGTCAGGAGAAATTTAAAGACACTTTTCAGAAGTCATCATGTCTCATTCTAGAAAAAGACATTGAAACAGATGCATTAAGTCAGGAATGTCAAACTTTAGTGACAATTTTGCAAGCATCCAGCACTGGTCATGAGATTGGAGGTGTTAATGGTAATCCGTTTGAGGAGCTTCCACAAGGACCTAATAAATTAAAACAGCCAGTTAAGAAAATGGAAGTGTGGGCCGGGCGTGGTAGCTCATGCCTGTAATCCCAGCCCTTTGGGAGGCCGAGGCGGGCGGATCACCTGAGGTCAGGAGTTTGAGACCAGCCTGGCCAATATGGCAAAACCCCATCTCTACTAAAAATACAAAAAAAAATTAGCCGGGCGTGGTGGCGGGTGCCTGGGAGGCTGAGGCAGGAGAATTGCTTGAACCTGGGAGGCGGAGGTTGCAGTGAGCTGAGATCGCACTATTGCACTCAAGCCTGGGCGACAAAAGTGAAACTCCATCTCAAAAAGAAAGAGAGAGAGAGAGAGAGAGAGAAAGAAAGACAGAGACAGACAGAAATAAAGAAAGGAAGGAAGGACGGAAGGAAGGAAGGAAGGAAGGAAGGAAGGAAGGAAGGAAGAAAGAAAGAAAAAAATGGAAAGAGCAGCTGGCGACCACAGTGGGTGCAGCATGGGGCAGCCCAACTCCAAGAAGAACTTTGTCACCTTCAAGCAAAGCTTTTAACTGACAGTGATAATGATTTTAAACTCCAGATGAACTGTAGTGACCTGATGCAAAAAAACGAAGGGAATGAAACTCAACTCAAAAACCTGGGGCAGGAGTTAGCACACACGCAGCACAGCATCAGACAGCTCTGTCACGGCAAGGACAGTTTCTTCCCACAGCTGGATATTTTACCCCAGCTCCCCAGAGAAGCACTTTCTTCACATGCCGCAGAATCTCCTCACGCAAGTGAGTCTGCTCTGTCGAGTGAGTCTTCTAAATTGCTCCAAGATATTGAAGAGCTAAGAAAATCACTGCAGGAAAAAGATGCAACCATTAGATCCCTCCAAGGAGACAATCAGAGACTGTCTGATTCCACTGCTGCCATCTCAGAGCTAGAAAGAAAAGAACATATATAAATGCATTCAGAAATTCAGCAGCTGAAGGAGAAACAAAATGTCTTAGACAGGTTACTTAGGGGAAAAAACCTTTTCATCAAAGCCAAAAGTAGTAAATTACATTCTTAGAGAGAAAATCTCACTAATAAATGAATAAAAATGAGCTTTTGAGGCAGGCAGTCAGAAACCTGAAGGAGAGAATATCAATTTTAGAAATGCATATGGGTAAACTAAAACAGGACAATGAAAAAGTAGTAGAAACATCCAGGGGGGAAAAAAAACAGGCCAGGTGCAGTGGCTCACGCCTGTAATCCCAGCACTTTGGGAGGTCAAGGCGGGTGGATCATGAGGTCAGGAGTTCAAGACCAGCCTGGCCAAGATGGTGAAACGCCCATCTCTATGAAAAATACAAAAATTAGCCAAGCGTGGTGGGAGGCACCTGTAGTCCCAGCTACTCAGGAGGCTGAGGCAGGAGAACCACTTGAACCTGGGGCGGGGGGGCGGAGGTTCCAGTGAGCTGAGATCGTGCCACTGCACTCCAGCCTGGATGACAGAGTGAGAAGACTCCGTCTCAAAATATATATATATATATATACGCGTATATATATATATATATATATATATATACACGCGTATATATATATATATGCGTATATATATATATATATGCGTATATATATATATATATATATATATATACACACGTATATATATATGTATATATCAGCCATTACAAGAGATTAATATGCCAGGTGTGGTGGCTCATGCCTATAATACTAGCACTTTGGGAGGCTGAGGCAGGCAGGTCACACTTGAGCCCAGATGTTCAAGACCAGCCTAGGCAACATAGGAAGACCTTGTCTCTCTATACAAAATTTAAAAAATTAGCTGGGCATGGTAGCATGCGTCTGTAGCCCCAGCTGCTTTGGAAGTGAGGAGGCAGAATCGCTTAAGCCCAGGAGTTCAAGACTGCAGTGAGCTATGATGACGACAATATATTCCAGCCTGGATGACAGCGCGAGACTCTGTTTCAAAAAACAAACAAAAAAAAAGTTACAGTATTGGAGGTAAATCTAGTTTCTTCTGCAAATCAAATGAAAAATGCAAGCCAGGAAGCAAGGTTGCAGGTGAAATCATTAAATGAAAAACTGAATATGGGCCAGGTGCATTGACTCACACCTGTAATCCCAGCACTTTGGGAGGCTGAGGTGGGCGGATCACTTGAGGTCAGGATTTCCAGACCAGCCTGGCCAACATGCTGAAACCCCATCTCTACTTGAAAAAAAAAAAAAAATTATGTGGGCATGGTGGTGGGCGTCTGTAATCCCAGCTACTCAGGAGGCTGAGGTGGGAGAATCACTTGAGCCTGGGAGGCAGAGGTTGCAGTGAGCGGAGATCGTACCACTGCACTCCAGCCTGGGCAACAAAGCGAGACTTCGTCTCAAATAAATAAATAAAAATATACAACAAAGTTTAGGAAACACACCAGCTTTCATACCCAGAGGAACAGATGCCAATCCCTGTTCCTCTGCTGTGTCACTTATGAGGCTGACTGGACTAGGACCGGGTGGGTCAGGGCATGTTCTATAAAATGCTGCTGCAGAGGTTTTGCCCACATGTGCACCTCTGCTGACTTCACCTGGCCAGAGGGCAGGAGCTGGGCTGAAAGGCTGTCAAAGCAATGGATGATTCTCAGAGACTAGGAAAGATCAAGCCATGCTGTGTATCTACTTTATCATTAAGTAGCCTTTAGGAAATAGTCATTTATTTGTTCTCAGTTTTGCTCTCTTTAATTTTTTTTTTTTTTTTTTTTTTGAGACAGGGTCTTACTCTATCACCCAGGCTGGCATGCAGTGGCGAGATCTCAGCTCACTGCAACCTCCACCTCCCAGGGTCAAGCAATTCTCTCACCTCAGCCTCCTGAGTAGCTGGGATTACAGGCGCCCACCACCATGCCCAGCTAATTTTTGTACTTTTAGTAGAAATGAGGTTTTGCCATTTTGGCCAGGCTGGTCTCAAACACCTGGCCTCAAGTGATCCGCCCACCTTGGCCTCCCAAAGTGCTGGGATTACAGGTGTGAGCCATTGCACTCAGCTTCTTTAAATTTAATAAAAATATTCTTAATGATTTTAAGTGTCTTTGAAGGGCTGTAAAGGTATTCACCCAACTTTAAACTGTGATTACTTCTTGTGAAGGTGGGTATTGGTGACATTGGAGGTTGTGGTCAAAGGATACTTCAGGTAGGGTTTATAATGCTTTTATTTTTTTGCAAGAAACAGGTATTTGTGTATATGTTGGTTAATTAAAATATTAATTTGTGGCCAGGCACGATGGCTCACGCCTGTAATCCCAGCACCACTTCGGGAGGCTGAGGCAGAAGGATTCCTTGACCCTAGGAGTTCAAGACCAGCCTGGGCAACATAGTGAGATCTCGTCTCTACAAATAATAATTTAAAAAATTAGCTGTGCGTGGTGACATATGCCTGTAGTCCCAGCTACTCCAGAGGCTGAGGCAGAGGATCCCTTGAGTCCAGGAGGTCGAGGCTGCAGTGAGCTGTGATCATGCCACTGCACGCCAGCCTGGGCAACAGAGCAAGACCATGTCTCAAAAAAAAAAGAAAAAATATATATATATTAGTGTTAAGGATCAACTATTAGAAACACCATAGGTGTATACTCCTTACGTAAGAAAAAAGATGAACAGCACAAAAGTACAAGTTGTATAACATTTTAAAAATTAAAGTTCCCTTTTTTGGCTACGACTCACTCTCCTTTCCATTGCCTAGAAAACCACCTTATTGTTTACTTGTTTGTTTGGTTTTTTTTTGATTTTTTTAAAAAAGTGCATATTTGTATATATGTCAGTGTATTATTCTCTGATTTGCTTTCTATTTATTCTTATTTTATTATCATCATCATTATTATTTTGAGACAGAGTTTTGCTGTGTCGCCCAGGCTAGATTGCGGTGACGCGATCATGGCTCACCGCAGGCTCAACATTGCAGGCCCAAGCAATCCTCCCACCTCAACCTCCCAAGTAGATGGGACCACAGGCATGTGCCACCACGCCCTGCTAATTTTTTTATTTTTTTGAAGAGATGAGGTCTTCCTATGTTGCCTAGGCTGGTCTCATACTTCTGAACTCAAGCAATCCTCCCACCTCGGCCCCCTCAAAGTGCTGGGATTATAGGCATCAGCCACTGTGCCAGCTGCTTTCTGGGGAAAAAAAAAAAAAAAAAAATATATATATATATATATATATATATACACACACACACACATACATATATACGTATATATACATATTAAAAAAGTGCATATTTGCATATATGTCAGTGTATTCTCTGATTTGCTTTCTATTTATTCTTATTTTATTATGTATGTATTATGTATACACATACATACACATATATACACATATACACACACACACAAATATATATATCTCACTACATCTTGGACATCTTTCCAGATTCTGTGAATGATTTCATCATCATCTTTCTTTTTTTAGAGACAGGGTCGGTCTCTGTCATCCAGACTGGAGTGTAGTGGCACATCATAGCCTATGGCAACCTCAAACTACCAGGTTCAAATATTCCTCCTGCCTCGGCCTCCCAAAGTGCTGGGATTACAAGCATAGCCACCAGATCGGGCCATCTTATTTTTTCTTTTCTTTTCTTTTTTTTTTTTTTTTTTTAGATGGAGTCTTGCTCTGTCGCCCAGGCTGGAGTGCAGTGGCACGATCTCGGCTCACTGCAAGCTCTGCCTCCCAGGTTCACGCCATTCTCCTGCCTCAGCCTCCCGAGTAGCTGGGATTACAGGCGCCCACCACCAGGGCCGGCTAATTTTTTTTTTTTCAGTATTTTTAGTAGAGACAGGGTTTCACCGTGTTAGCTAGGATGGTCTCGATCTCCTGACCTCATGATCTGCCTTCCTCGGCCTCCCAACGTGCTGGGATTACAGGCGTGAGCCACCACGCCTGACCCAGGCCATCTTATTCTTTCTAAAAGCAGATGTTCATCCTATGCATATACTGTAATTTATTTAACTAGCTCCTATTCGTCAGCATTTGTTTGTGCCCCAAATCCTAGGAAATGTTCATGGGCAACTCCCTTGTTTATTTCCTCAAGGGCCTCTCCAAATCTTTATCACTTTGCTCAGGCATGATCATGCCTTATTAAGACATTAGAGACCAGCAGTCAAGACCCCCATACCCCCTTCCTGTATCCCACCATCCTCTCTTCATTCATCTATACTCCTTCCCTTTTGTTTCAGAGGAAAGGGATCCAGCTTTGCAATTGAAGGCTAACAGTCCCCTGGACATTATCTATTCAGACTTCTTCAAAGACCTCATTCTACTGATCTCCCATTCTGCTTTGTCTTTCATCTGTCTCTATCCCTAAGCACACAAGCATGGCTGTTTCTCCTGATACATCACATTCTCCTTTCAGCTCCTCCAGCAACCAACCACCGTATCTCTCTATCTTTCTATCTTCTGAAAGAATTCTTTACTCTTTATAAGTGTCTCATTTTGTAATGACTTCTTTTTGAAAGTTCTACAAAATCTTGTCTCATTTATGCCCCAGGAATCTTCTCATGGCTAAATCCAATGTATATATATTTTTGTCTTTGGTTCACTTAAGTCTGATAAATATTAACCACATGTTCCACATACTCATTCTTTAAATTCTTTTTTTTTTTTTATTGAGACGGAGTCTCACTCTGTTGCCCAGGCTGGAGTGCAGTGGCGTGATCTCGGCTCACTGCAACTTCTGCCTCCTGGGTTCAAGCGATTCTGCTGCCTCAGCCTCCCAAGTAGCTGAGATTACAGGCACTTGCCACCAGCCCAGCTAATTTTTTTGTATTTTTAGTAGAGATGGGGGTTTCACCATGTTGGCCAGGATGGTCTCGATCTCCTGACCTCGTGATCCGCCCACCTCGGCCTCCCAAAGTGCTGGGATTATAGGCATAGGCCACCGTGCCCAGCCTCATTCTTTAAATTCTTTCTGCCTTCTTCATTTTTAGTGATACCACTCTCCTCAGGTTCCCTTCCTCACACCAGACCCTTCTTTCTCAGTCTCTTTTGTGGCTGCTTCTTCTGACACCTCTTAACTATAAACATACTCCAAGGTACCATCTTTAACTAACAGGATCTTCTCATTCTCCCTGCAGTGTCAGGGCCAGCTCAACCACTCCCATGATTCTGCTTTCACTGGTATGCCAATGACATCTGAATGTCTATGTCTAACCACCTCATTCTCCTGATGCCACACTGGTTTATCTAATTGTCTGCTGAACACATTTATCAGCATGTCCATAAGCATCTCAAAGTCAACATGTCTTAAGAAGAAGCATCACCAGTCACGGTGGCTCATGCCTGTAATCCCAGCACTTTGGGAGGCCGAGGTGGGTGGATCACGAAGTCGGGGGATCGAGACCATCCTGGCTAACACGGTGAAACCCCGTCTCTACTAAAAATACAAAAAATTAGCTGGGCGTGGTGGCGGGCACCTGTAGTCTCAGCTACTCGGGAGGCTGAGGCAGGAGGATGGCATGAACCCGGGAGACAGAGGTTGCAGTGAGCTGAGATAGCCCCACTGCACTCCAGCCTGGGCAACAGAGCAAGACTCTGTCTCAAAAAAAAAGAAAAAAGAAGCATCATGCCTGTAATCCCAGCATTTTGGGGAGGAGGATTGCTTGAGCCCAGGAGTTGGAGACCAGCCTGGGCAGCATAGGGAAACCCTGTCTCTACAAAAAAATTAGCCAGGCACGGTGGCTCATGCCTTTAATCCCGGTACTTTGGGAAGCCAAGGTGGGTGGATCACTTGAGTTCAGGAGTTCAAGACAAGCCTGGCCAATGTGGTGAAACCCCATCTCTACTAAAAATACAAAAAATTAGCCGGGCGTAGTGGTGCACACCTATAATTTCAGATACTTGGGAGGCTGAGGCAGGAGAATAGCTTGAGTCCAGGAGGCGGAGGTTGCAGTGAGCCAAGATTATGCCACTGCACTCCACCCAGCCTGGGCGACAGAGCAAGACTCTAACTCAAAAACAAAAAAATTTTTTTTAATCAGCTAGACATGTTGGCACATGCATGTAGTCTCAGCTAGGCACACTCATGTGGGTGTGTCCAGAGGCTGAAGTGGGAGGATTTCCTAAGCCCAGGAGGTAGAGGCTGCAGAGTGAGACCCTGTTCAAATAATAATAATAATAGAAAAGTAAAAGAAACTCAATATCTTCCATTATAGCCTTCTTATAACCCAAGGAAGAGGCCTCAGAACCATGACTGATCTCTCTCTTTCTCTCTCCCCTGTATTTTTGAGACAGAGTCTCACTTTGTCACCTGGGCTGGAGTGCAGTGGCGCAACTTGGGCTCACTGCAACCTCCACCTCCCAGGTTCAAGCAATTTTCATGCCTCAGCCTCCTGAGTAGCTGGGATTACAGGTGTGCACCACCACAGCTGGCTAATTTTTTGTATTTTTAGTAGAGACGGAGTTTCACCATGTTAGCCAGGCTGGTCTCGAACTCCTGACTTCAGGTGAACTGCCTTCCTCGGCCTAACAAAGTGCTGTGTCTCTCTCTCTCTTTCACACCCCCTTCATATCCAATGAACCAATGAATATATCACATTTTGTTCCTCTTTTCCCTGTCCCCATGTCTGTGGTCCATTCCTTCCTGTCCTTATATGGACTGGGGCAATTGACTCCTTACTGACCTTGCTGGTTCCACTCCTGGCCTCCCTTGAATCCATTCCCCACACCGCCATGAGGGTGGACTTTCTGGCATGAAAATCTGATAACGTTGCTTACCTACTTTAAATTATTTCAGGAGTTTCCACTGCCTGGAGTCCAAACTTTAACAGGGTATTTGAGGACTTGCCTTTAGAGCCTTGCTTTCTACTCATAGACCACCCTCCAGCCACGTGTCACTTCTTGCAAACCCCAAACAGACTATTACCCAAATAACTTTAAACCCATAAGCCTAATCATAGCAGGGTGATGCCTTCAACAAAGTTTGCACTAGAAACATTTTACTTTTATTTTATTTATTTATTTATTTTGAGACAGAGGCTCCCTCTGTCACCCAGGCTGGAGTGGAGTGGGGCACGATCTCAGCTCACTGCAGCCTCCACCTCCTGGGTTTAGCACCTAACCACGAGAAAGAGGACCACAGGGCGAGGTAGTCTTCAAAAACATGAGCTTTACAGATGTCCCCCAGGCTGGCCAATACAGGCAATTGAGGGACCTGTGTGGCACTGGCATAGGAATTGTGGGTCCCCGCTGAGGTGTGACTAATCGATGACTGTGGTGACAGGGAAACAGGAGTGGAGGTGTGAAGGGATGATGTGCATTTTCCACTTTGTAACTTAAATAAGAGTTCTTCCAGGAGCACGTATGCCTCTCGAGCCTGCTGCTTGGGGATATCAGAGAAGTGGAAGGTTCTATTAATGCCTTCTCCAAGAGCCCATGAGGCACTGTGGATTCTGAGATGTGAAATAAGTACCCTGATCACTACCAGTAATGTGTAGGACTTCCAAGAGTATATGGAGTGCCACAGTGAGACCTTATATTGTGGCCTTTGTATACGTAGATGTAGAGATATCTTTTTTTTTTTTTTTAATTGAGAGAGAGTCTCACTCTGTCGCCCAGGCTGGAGTGCAGTGATACAATCTCAGCTCACTGCAACCTCCACCTCCTGGGTTCAAGTGATTCTCATGCCTCAGCCTCCCAGGTAGCCAGCTAATTTTTGTATTCTTAGTAGAGACTGCCATGTTGGCCAGGCTAGTCTCGAACTCCTGACTTCAAGTGATCCTCCTGCCTTGGCCTCACGAAGTGCTGAGATTATAGGCATAAGCCACCACACCCGACCATTTTAAAAACATGAGTTATCTATTACCTCGGTTTATATTTTCAGTATTTATGAGGCAAGAGATTCCCAGAGTTCTTTATGAGCACAAAGGGAACAATTCTTAGACAATGGCCCAAGAGTTTGCTATAAATATGGAGATGGAGTCATTTGTTGGCTAGGGCATTGCTGTGGTCTGAATGTTTCTGTCTCCCTGAAACTCAAATGCTGAAATTTTAACTCCCAGTGTATTAGGATGTGGGGCTCTTGTGAAGCGATCAGGCCACGAGGGCAGAGTTATCATGAATGTGATTAGTGTCCTTATAAGAGAGACCTGAGAGAGACACCTCGCTCCTTTGACCAAGTGAGGATACAGCAAGACAGCATCATCTATGAGTCAGAAAGCAGGCCCTCACCAGACACAGAATCTGCCTTGACCTTGGACTTGCCAGCCTCCAGAACCATGATAAATAAATTTCCGTGGTTTATTTTTATGTATGTATATATGTATTTATTTTTTGAGACAGGGTCTCTCTCTGTCACCCAGGCTAGAGTGCAGTGGTGCAATCATAGTTCACTGTAGTCTTGAACTCCTAGACTCAAGTGATCCTCCCCATCTCAGCCCAGTCCCAAGGCTGGGACTACAGGTACACTCCACCATACCCAGCTAGTTTTTAAATTTTTTTGTAGAGATGGGGTTTCGCCACATTGCCCAGACTGGTCTTGAATTCCTGAGCTAAAGTGATCTTCCCACCTTAGTCTCCCAAAGTGCTGGGATTATAGGTATTAGCCACTGTGCCCAGCCATTCTTTTGTTTATAAGTCACTTAGTTTATGATATTTTGTTATAGCAGCCAAAATGGACTAAGATAGCCATTCAGTGCTTACTGCCTGAAGTGTAGCCACTTGGGCTGACAGTGTACCATGTTTCAATTTAGTGGGATTCCAGGTGGTTCTTCTTCTTCTTTTTCTTCTTCCTCTTCCTCTTCTTCTTCTTCTTCTTCTTTTTTGAGATGGAGTTTTGCTCTTGTCACCCAGGCTGGAGTCCAATGGCACGGTCTCGGCTCACTGCAACCTCCACCTACTAGGTTCAAGTGATTCTCCTGCCTCAGTCTCCTGAGTACCTGGGATTACAGGCACCCGCCACCACACCTAGCTGATTTTTGTATTTTTAGTAGAGATGGGGTTTCAGCATGTTGACCAGGCTGGTCTCGAACTCTTGACCTCAGGTGAGCCGTGCACCTTGGCCTCCCAAAGTGCTGGGATTACAGGCATAAGCCACCGTGCCTGGCTGGATTCCAGGTGTTTTAAGGGTATCCCCACCCCTGTCCAAATTCCCTCAAGTTACAGGGTTTTTTTGTCATCAGATCACATGTGACTCTTCTCAGAGGTTATGAGGAAAGGGAGGCCAGCAGCCTGCTCTATGGGTAGCCATCCTCCTCCTCCAGAGAATGCCAGTCAATCTACTAGTGTCGTGGTCCACACCCAGTAAGTTCACTTTGTCTAGAGTCCAACTAACCAAATTTCCCTGAATTACCAGCTGTTTTGAATCAAGGCTCACCCAATAACAAAGGTGTGCCAATACATCTGCCTCCACCTTCTTCTAGTCACCTTCAGTCTCACCGTCCAGACCTGTGGGATTAACATCTTGTGCTACTTACTGTTTGACATTATCCACTAACACCCATGGAATTTAGACACTGCCAAGCTGGGAGACAATGCTTGCGCAGTGGTTTGTATTACCTTTTTGGTAGAGGAATGCTCCAACAAAATGGTGTATTTCAGCCCATTGCTGCTATCCCTGGCAAAACTTCCTAACCTCAGCCATTCCCCACTGTCATTTCTGCCTTGACTGTCAATGAGATCTTGTGTCTCCACTGAATACTAAGCAAGCATTTGCTATCTGATCTCACCCCAAGGTGTATATTCTGGGTTTCTGTTATTTTGCTTTAAAAAAAAAAAACTTATATAGAAAGGCAGTTTCATTGGCTCGTGGTTCTGCAGGCTTTACAGGAAGCATGGTGCTGGCGTCTGCTCAGCTTGTAGGCAGGGAAGCGAGAACATGCATATTTTACTTTCTGTGTCTGAGTTGTTTCACTTAAGATAATGGCCCCCAGTCGCAAGGATGTTGAGTTCTGCATGGCTGGGGAGGCCTCAGGAAACTTAACAGTTATGGTGGAAGGGGAAGCAGGTACATCTTACGTGGCGGCAGAAGAGAGAGAGCTATTTTGCTTTTTTAAATAGGTGTGATTCAAAGTTCTTAAAGTATACCCATTGCCTGTGTCCAACACCTGACAGATAATCAAGTGGAATACAGTAGCATAGTTCTTCTTTTATTTATAAAATATTTTATAACAAAACTAGTAAAAATAGATGCATCTTGAATATGCATCATAATGAAACAGACACACGTGAACTCACTCCCACCTGAGAAACTGAGAATGTGTCTATGTGCTCCTTCCCTGCCTCTCCCTACCCTCTCGTATGCTACCGTCCCACTCCCTAGAGGTCATCAATGTCCTGACTTTTTTTTTTTTCTCATGTCTTGGCTTTTCTGTACAGTATTTTACCGTATATGTATGTTTCTCTAAACAACATTAGTTTTACTTGGTTTGAACTTTACAAAAGTGTCGTTAGACTTCCTTCTTTCACTGAACATCACGTTTCTGAAATTCAGCCCTTGATGCTACCTGAGAGTTCGAGTTCATTGATTTTTACTGCCACGTGGTTTCCCATTCTATTACTTTTCCACACGCTACTTCCTTTACTACATTTCAAAGGCGATTATGTCTCTAAAGCTCTTAGCACAGTCCCTGGCATGGACAGCACTTAACAAAATTTTGTTAAACTGTTGAGTGACAACGAGCCCAGACTGAACGTAACAGCTGACATTTGCTTCTGGCTGGATTCTCTGCCCTTAAAATTCCGTGACGAGTCAGAAGAAACCTGGTGGCCTCTCCAGGCACCTAAGACTACACTTCCCAGAAAGCATCGCGGTACTCCGCCACTGACTTTTAGTTTCCTTTCTCCGTCGGCAAACTTCCGGGTTGGGTGGGCGGGGCCAAAAAACTTATCCAATGAGTACCTTTGTAGGCTGAGAGGAAGGGATAATTGCCCAATGAGCGACTAGGCAGAGGAGCCAATAGGCGGAGAGGCTGCTGGGGCAGCCGGCCTCCGGGGTGTCACTGAGCCGCGCCAGCTGAGCCAGGTGGAGCCCTACTTTCCTCTCCTGCTTTCTGCCTGTGACTAGCGCCGTCCCCTACCGCCCGTCGACCCCACTTCCATGTCTGGCGGACACAGCTCCCCGGAACCTCCACGCCCATGGCCACTAGACAGAGGGAGTCTTCCTTCACCTCCTGCTTTTCCACCTGGAATTGCGACGCGGGCGACGAGGGCGTGGGCTGCACCTGCGAAGATGCTTCCTTGTGCAAGAAGCGCCTGTCGGGCGCGGGATTCGGGGCTGGCATCTGGGACGCGGGCTGAGGTGGGAGGCGGGCCTGCATCTGAAGAATACGCTCGGAGGCTGGCAGGTTGCTGCCCCCGCCTCGCACGACCCTCGCTTCCCACCTGTGAAATGCACAGAACAGGGCTTCATTTATTTAACGAATCGTTTCTGAGCTCCTGCTGTGAGCCAGGCTTGGAGCAAGCCTGGGTACTGTGGATGGGAGCAGGCCCCTGAACCAGGCGGACGGGGTCTTGGCGTTCTCGGAGCTAAACGCTGCTAGAAAGACAAACATGATGCACCTAACTACTGTCTCCGTAGATTATGAGGATGAGAGGTGGAGGTTCTCTCTCTTTTAGGTATGATCCCCGTTGTGCACCTGAAACTCAGGCGATGACTTTCAGTGAAGGAAATGACCTGTCTAGGGCCACATAATACCTGTTTGAAAAGCCAGTACCACACTAAGTCTCCACTATTAAGGGTGTGATGGTGAGGGTGGGGTCGTAGGGAGCACAGGTATGTGTCAGAAAGAGAAAACATGAGGCTTGAGTGTCCTCCATTTATTCACTCATTCATTCTACAAAAATGGAGAGCTTACTTTGTGCCAGGGCCTTATTTGGGCTGGTTGGTGGGGATTCAGTAATGGGAATACACCAAGAACAAGACAGACGTGCTGCCAGACATACTGGAACTCACGGTTTAGTTGGGAAAGACTGACAGGAAATAATTATCCATGAGATACATAATTAAAATTTGGTGTTGTGCACTGAGAAATACCGCGGTGTCATTAGAGTTTGTAATTTAGTGATATTTAAGCTGAGAGCAAAAGGCTTAAAAAACAGGGGTGTAGGCCGGGCGCGGTGGCTCATGCCTGTAGTCCCGGCACTTTAGAAGGCCGAGGTGGGCCGATCACCTGAGGTCAGGAGTTTGGGACCAGCCTGGTCAACATGGTGAAACCTCGTCTCTAATAAAAATACAAAAATCAGCCGAGCATAGTTGTGGGCGCCTGTAATCTCAGCTACTCAGAAGGCTGAGGCAGGAGAATCGCTTGAACCCGGGAGGCGGAGGTTGCGGTGAGCCAAGACCGCGCCATTGCACTCCAGCCTGAGCAACAAGAGCAAAACTCTGTGTCAAAACAACAACAACAACAACAATAATAATAATAGTAATGTGGGAGAGTGTTCAGACAACACAAGAGAGGAGTACGAACTGTTAGAGGATCTCAAAGAATGCCTTCTAGGCGAGAGACGTAGGCTTGCCACGTAGGGATTATAGAGTGGGGAAAACCAAAGTTTTGAATTAAGCCTTGCACTTTCTGTAGGTTCCTGGAGACTAAGTGTTGTCATTCAGAGCATGGATTCTGGAACCAAACTCTGTCAAACTTAGTGCCACTCACTGGCTGTGTAAAATAGGGGAAGTTACAGGCCGGGCATGGTGGCTCACGCCTGTAATCGCAGCACTTTGGGAGGCCGAGGCGGGCGGATCACGAGGTCAGGAGATCGAGACCATTCTGGCTAACACGGTGAAACCCTGTCTCTACTAAAAATACAAAAAAAAAAAAAAAATTTAGCCGGGCGTGGTGGCGGGCGCCTGTAGTCCCAGCTACTCGGGAGGCTGAGGTAGGAAAATGGCTTGAACCCGGGAGGCGGAGCTTGCAGTGAGCCGAGATCGCGCCACTGCACTCCAGCCTGGAAGACAGAGAGAGACTCCGTCACAAAAAAAAAAAAAAAAAAAAAAAAAATAGGGGAAGTTACTAAACCATTCTGTGCCTCAGTTTTCTGATCTGTAAAATGAGGATGATGATACTACGTACTTCATAAGTGGTTGTGAAGATTAAATGATATTTAATGTTAGTATAGCACTACAGCAGTATTTGGCATGTAGTTGTTGGCAGTGGTTGATTAAATAGATAAATACATAAGCATTAAAGGCAGTCCCTGGTGAAATTTGTGACCTTAAATGGATTACGATCAGCTTTATCTCATCTCTAGCTTTCATTTGTTATTTGGCCACACTATAGCACTGTTTATTTTTTATCAATTAATTAATTTATTTTTTGAGACAGGGTTTAGCTCTTTTAGCCAGGCTGGAATGCAGTAGCGTGATCATGACTCACTGCAGCCTCAACCTCCTGGACTCAAGTGATCCTTCAGCGTTAGCCCTCCAAGTAGCTGGGACTACTGGCTCATGCCACCACGCCTGGCTAATTTTTCAATTTTTTTGTTGAGACGGAGCCTCACTTTGTTGCCCAGGTTGGTCTCAAACTCCTGGGCCCAAGCTATCCTCCTGTGTCAGCCTCCCAAAGTGCTGGGACTACAGGCATGAGCTACCGCATCTGGCCTGTACCACTGATTAATTAGAAATAATTTTTTTCCTGGCCACGTGCAGTGGCACATACCTGTAATCCCAGCACTTTGGGAGGCCGAGACAGGTGGATTACTTGAAGCCAGGAGTTTGAGACCAGCCTAGCCAACATGGTAAAATGCTGTCTGTACTAAAAATACAAAAATTAGCCATGCATGGTGGTGCTCGCCTGTGATCCCAGCTATTTGGGAGGCTGAGACTTGAGAATCGCTTGTGCCCTGGAGACGGAGATTGCAGTGAATCGAGATCGTGCCACTGCACTCCAGCCGGGGGGATAGAGTGAGACCCTGTCTCCAAAATATATATATAATAATAATAATGATAATAATTTTTCTCATATTAACTGCTATTTGCTAAGATAATCTGAAGTGACATCAAAATTGTCAGAAATAAAATTCTGTTTAGTAGCACATTAGGGTTAGCATATTTGTTGGTAATATTTTTTGCAAACTTGCTTACATAACAATAGTAAGTTATAAAATAGTTCAAACAGAAAGAAAGGTACAGAGAAATAGAGCATGCCTTTCATTGACTTTCTGTTGGATAGTTTTGATAATTTCAGGTTTTCTCTGTATCAGTTTCTGATGCCCTCTGGATCTACAAACATCTAAACATAATAGGGTAAGGTTTGGTTTGGAGCTGCAGAGAATATAAAGCAGCCCTTCCTAACCTGAGCAGCATAGCCTGGGAGACCTAAGAAAAATTCAGATGTTCAGGGCCTATTGTAGCCCGATGAATCAGAATCTTCTGGGTCAAGTCCAGGATAATAAAGACCACAGGTGTTCACCATCTTGGTGCATTTCATAACAGCTTTTTTTTTTTTTTTTTTTTTGAGACACAGTCTTGCTTTGCCACCCAGGCTGGTGTGCAGTCGTGCAATCTCAGCTCATTGCAACCTCTGCCTCCCGGGTTCAAGCAATTCCTCTGCCTCAGCCTCCCGAGTAGGTGGGATTACAGGCGCCTGCCACCACGCCTGGCTAATTTTTGTGTTTTTAGTAGAGAAGGGGTTTCACCATATTGGGCAGGCTGGTTGGGAACTCCTGACCTCAAGTGATCCATCTGCCTTGGCCTCCCAAAGTGCTGGGATTACAGGCATGAGCCACCGAGTCTGGCTTTTTTTTTTTTTTTTTTGCACTACATTTTGCCTCGCCTGAAAAAAACATGCAAAGAGATTGTGAGAAGTTAATGGTTTAAGACATTCTGCAGGACTCTGTGTCTTTCAGGTTCTGTAATGTATTGAACCTTTAGATCTTGTCCAAAAGTCATGATGTTAAATAAGGATTGCTTGCACGAATCATGGGCAAATTACTCTTTCTGCCTCAGTTTCTTAATCTTTAAAATGGGGATTATTAGGGTAACCTGCTTTTCGGGTGTGAGGGTTAAATGAGATAATTGATGCAGAGCAGTTAGCACAGGATCTGGCCCAAAGCGAAGCCCCCAGTAAATGATTGCATGTTTTCATTTTCCTCCAGGCCGAATATTATTTGTTGAAGTTGCTGCATATGCAGTAAATATGAGTCAGGCTGGTTCCTGCTGTCCTGAGTGAGTTACAACCATAAAATCCCTAAGATAACATTTTAAAAGCCAGTCAGCCTCCGAGGGCACTGATATTTCTGTTTAGTTTGCTTCCCCCTTTGGTACAGAGTCCTTCTGGGGATAAGGAGGATGTTACCTGTCTCAGAGGGTTGCTGCCAAGGTGAAATGTCAGTGCTTCCAGCAGTGCTTGGCATATATAGGAGGTGTTCAGAATTGGTAGTTACTGTCATCACCACCCCCATTGTCATCAAACTATTATCATCAACATCATCATCATCATCATGGACTTATGCGATGAGGTCGGGTTTTTCTGATTAGATACATTAGGTTTATATCCATGTGACTCAGCAGATACAATTGAGCACTTCCCGTGGTAGCCGACTTCCCCACCCTCCTCTCCTCTCCTCTCCTTATGATGTCCATCATGCTGTGCCCCAGAGTTTTTTCTCCCCACTTTTGTTTACCTGTGACCCAACCATCCCACTACCCCCTCACTGTGTCCTCTGCAATTACCACTCCATAATCAGTAGCCGCCTCTGTTTCCTCTGCCTCTCGTTAGCCATTCCCTCCCTCCCTTTGCCTTCACCCTGACCCTTCCCCAGGGATATCCCGTTCTTGAAGCCCTCTCCTGTGGCTCCTCCTTCTCATCCCTTGTGTATCTCAGGATCAGGGGTTTGAGCTTTGTGTCCTCCTGTGTGTTTCCCCCCATCTCATTCCATGGAGATCCTTCCTGCCCAGCGGGAGCCCTCCTGGTTGCTGTTGTTCGCCTTCTCCTGGTCATTCCTCTCATTCATGGAAGACTGGGGTGCCTGCTCCAGAGTGTCTTCTACCGCAATTCATGACATCACCCTAGGTGACCTCAGTGTCCACATGGAGCCTGTGCATGGGGCACTCACTTTCTTGAAGGCCTGGTCTGCAGCAATAACCTCTCCCCATCTGATTCTGTCACCCCTTTTTTCCTTGACACCCTATGTTTTTATCCTGATGCTGCACTGCCTCACAGATGAGAGTGCAACACTCTCCAACCCTGACCCCTTTTTCCAAGTTGCTTGACCAGTTCTTTCCCATTTCCCATGCTGTGCCCATTTCTCCTTAGCATCTTGTTGGTTTTCTGTATCCTTTAGATACTCCCTCTCCTATCACTTCTCAATTGATCTTAGAGCTCATCCTCCAACCCTCAGTAATTCTCTTGGCAGTGCCTTTATATCTCCCTTACCTTTTGGTCCTGGTAGAGCCAGAACCCTGGCTAAACCACACTGTCCATTTTTGCCTTGAATATAGGTGGTAGAAATCACACAGCAAGGTGGCTTGGTGCCACTGTGAATTCATGTCACCCAATCGCACCTGTGCCCTTAACAGAACCTGGTCATTGTAGTATGTTTCTCATTCCACTCACTCTCCCTTTCTACAGGATACTTAATTCAGACATTTTCCACTGTCTTCAAACTTCTGACTTACCCCACCCCTTCTTCATTCTCAAGATAATGTCAGCTATTGCTCAACATACAAAATGGGAGCCCTCAGATAGAAACTCCATGAACCTCCCCCAAGAAACTTAACCATCCATTTTTTACTGTTACAGTTGTGAATGTCCTCCAGTAAAGACCACATGAAACACTTTGTAGTTAAGCAAGTTTGGTTTATTACTTGTTGCAAGGAGGGAAGACTCACACCATGAGGAGCCTATCAGTAAGAGGATGTTAGACCTTTAGGATCTGGGCTTTGGCTGGGTGATTTGGGGGAGGGTCCAGGGATTTGCTCTGGATTGAGTGCTGATAGGACGTAAAAAAATTCTATCACCCAGTAGCTGTATCTTTTCTAGAAGGAGGTTTGCCTGGAGTAGGGCTAAAGCTGTAATGTGTAAAGAAGCAACGTCACTGATCAGCTGGGAGAAAGGGATGTCTGGTATTCCGTGGTGGCACGGTGACCTTGTTTTTGTCTGTGCTTACACAGAATGATGATGTGGTCTTGTTTAGTCTCTCGTCATCACTGTTGCAGGCCCTTGTGTGGGTGTTCTGTGTGACTTTGTGTGTTTGTGTGTGTGTGTTGGTGGGGAGGGTTTAGAGTGGAGGCAAGTTTACTAAGAAAGTAAAGGAATAGGACGGGTGTGGTGGCTCATGTCTGTAATCCCAGTACTTTGGGAGGCCGACGTGAGCGGATCCCAAGGTCAAGAGATCAAGACCATCCTGGCCAACATGGTGAAACCCCGTCTCTACTAAAAATACAAAAATTAGCTGGGCGTGGTGACGCGTGCCTGTAGTCCCAGCTACGCAGGGGGCTAAGGAAAGAGAATTGCTTGAACCCAGGAGATGGAGGTTGCAGTGAGCTGAGATCATGCCACTGCACTTCAGCCTGGTGACAGAGCAAGACTCTGTCTAAAGAAAAAAAAAGAAAAGGAATAAAAGGGTGGCTACTCCATAGGCAGAGCAGCTCTGCAAGATTATATCCAACAGGAAAACAACACGGCCTCACTGTGGGTGCCAAAGCGAGGGCTTGCCAGGCAGAAGACAACAGCATGAGCAGAGGCATGGGGCCTGAAGCGGAACTGTGTGTTAGGCGAACCTGACACAGGGTGGGGAGTGGGTACCAGGAGAGAGTTCTGGACAGGTTGTCACACAGTGAACCGTGGAAGGTCACAAGGAGTACAGGTTTTATCCTGAGGGATTTTAAGTGGGGAACTGACATGATCTGGATTTGTATTCGAAAAATCCCCAGCAGCTGTGTGGAGAAGTGTTGGTGACAAAGGGGAAGCCTCCTTTTCTTTCCCACACCCACAGCCCCTGCACCTGCTGTCTTTGCTCATCTGATCTGCAACACATCCATATTCCACCTGTGGCCAGGGTGATTTTTCAGAATCACAAATCTTATCTTGTCACTTACTAAAACCTTTCAGTTCCCTATCACCTACCAGTTAAAAATCTGTACTTTGTTACATGACATACATACTGTGCCTTACATGATCTGGTCCCTCAAGCCTGGTATCTGGCTACCAACTTGAAATCTCCACTTGGATGTCTCGGAATTATCTCACATTTACTATTTGCAAAACTATGCTTACGATCACTTCCCCATGTTCTACTGCCCTGTCCAAGCCCCGACTTAGTGAATGGTTCTATAGTTCATTTAGTTCACAAGTTTAAAAGGTAGGTGTCATCTTGGAACTCCTTTTTTTTTTTTTTTTGAGACAGGGCCTTGCTGTGTCACCCAGGCTGGAGTGCAGTGGTACAATCATAGCAGCCTCGATCCTGGGCTCAAGCGGTCCTCCCACCTCAACTTCCACAGGTGTGTGCCACCTCACCTGGCTAATTTTTGTATTTTTTTCTAGAGGCAGAGTTTTGCCGTGTTGCACAGACTGGTCTTGAACTCATGGACTGAAATGATCCACCTGCCTCAGCCTCTCAGAGTGCTGGGATTACAGGCATGAGCCACTGTGCCTGCCCAGGAACTGCCCTTTTAATATCTGCCTTGTGCAATCAGTTACCCAGACTTCTTATTTTATTATTTTTATTTTTTTATTTTTTTGAGTCAGAGTCTTGCTTTGTCGCCAAGGCTGGAGTGCAGTGGCGTGATCTCCGCTCACTGCAATCTCTGTCTCCCAGGTTCAAGTGATTCTCGAACCTCAGCCTCCCAAGTAGCTGGGATTAAAGGCACGTGCCACCATGCCCAGCTAATTTTTGTATTTTTGGTAGAGACGGGGTTTCACCATGTTGGCCAGGCTGAACTGAAGAGTGAGGTGGCCTGACTTGGTTTTAACAGCATCACTTCAGCCTCTGTTAGGAGCAGACTGCAGGGGTAAGGACGGAGGCAGAATCAGTTAGTTGGCTGTGGGGGTGTCCCCTGTGAGACAGGCTGGTGCTTGGATCAGGATAGTGGTGATGGAGGTGCTGAGAATATGTCAGATTCTGGGTGCATTTTGAAGGTAGAGCTGATAGAATGTTCTGGCAGAGTGGATATGGGGCGAGACTGAGGCGGCCAAGATGACTACAAGGTTTTTGGCTTAGCTGACACGTGGCTCACTCCGAGAGTCCTTTCTGACACCCATAGACAAGACCTAGCTTCTGTTGAATGTTCTCATAACACCTGTGAGTCTCCTTGGTGGTCGTCGGCCCAGTTGTGATTTAGAAAGTGCCTAGTGGGCTGGGAGTGGTGGCTCACGCCTATAATCCCAGTACATTGGGAGGCTGAGGTGGGCAGATCACCTGAGGTCGGGAGTTCAAGACCAGCCTGACCAACATGGAGAAACCCCATCTCTACTAAAGATACAAAATTAGCCGGGCATGGTGGCAGGCGCCTGTAATCCCAGCTACGCGGGAGGCTGAGGCGGGAGAATCGCTTGCACCTGGAAGGTGGAGGTGGTTGTGGTTGCGGTGAGCCGAGATCCCGCCATTGCACTCCAGCATGAGCAACAAGAGCAAAATTCCATCACAATAAATAAATAGGAAAGTGCCTAGTGTTCATCTCTGCCACTGGAATAGACACAATACCGAGCACAGACCATGCCTACCTTTATGCCACATGCACAAATAAATATTTGTCAGCTGGTCACAGTGACAGGGACTGAGCACACATGTTCAAGATTGTATTTCCTGATGAGGTCTTAAAATTCTGGTTTTCTGTTTCATTGGTTCTGAATGGTCTATGTGTTCTAGAGAGCAGACCAGGGCTTATAAGGCTGAAATTTCATTGTGAAAATTATGGTGCTTAATCTGATTTCTCAACTGAAAGGAGAAATATTCCCCCTTGACATAGAAGCAGGTCACAGGGTCACCTCTGGGGAAAACCAGCTTTTCCCCGAGGGCTTAGCCCAGGGCCTTTCCGGCACCCAGATCGCATCTTCTTAGCTGTGCCCCAGAGAATGAGGTCGAGATTGTGATCTGAAATATTTTCAAGGCAGGTGCTGCTTTTCATGCCCAAAGAAGGCATGCCACTTCAGAGCTAGAACATTCTGTTGCACATAAATTAGCTGTAAAACTTGCCCATCAATAAAGTCAGATAAATCATGGGGTTGTGCTTGTGTTTTTCTTTTTAAGGATCAAATTAAAGTTTGGGAAACATTCGCTAAAGATAATGTTATTAGATCTGGAATGTCAATCTCACGTCATTTTTTCCCTTAAATGCTTAATTTTTTTAATGACAAAAATAACTTTTCCCTCCACTTAATAATTTAAACATATTTCCTATAGATCTGCCTTATTCTTTTTAGTGGCTACAGGGTGTTCTGCAGCATAGTAGTATTAATACTTTATTTGGCCATTCTTCTATTGTTCATCATTTATGTGGCTCTGGTTTTGCTGTTGAGAGTGCAAGGCTGGGCACGATGGCTCATGCCTGTAATCCCAGCACATTGGGAGGTCAAGGTGGGAGGACTGCTTGAGTCCAGAAGTTGGAGACCAGGCAGGGCAACACAGTAAGACTTCATGTCTCAATAAAAAATAGACTGGATGCTGTGGCTCACGCCTGTAATCCTAGCACTTTGGGAGGCCAAGGTAGGAAGATTGCTTGAGCTCAGGAGTTTGAGACTAACCTGGGCAACATAGTGAGAACCTTTCTCTGCCAAAAAGAAAAAATTAGGCATGGTGATGAGCACCTGTGGTCCCAGCTGCATGGGGGACTGAGGCAGGAGGATCGCTTGAGCCTAGGAGGTCAAGGCAGCAATGAGCTATGAGCTATAATTGCACCACTGCACTCTAGCCTGTGTAACAGTGAGACCCTGTCTCAAAAAAAAAAAAAAAATAGTGCTGGGATCAGCATTTTTGCATGTGCGTGAGTTTTGCTATGAAATAGATTTTAGGGAAGAAGTTTCTGCAAAGTAGTCCTTGAAAGAGGTTGTGTCAGTTTCCATTCCCACCCACAGTGAATGTGATGCCAGTATCGAATATTCTCAATCTCTTTAATTGTTTACCACCTAGCAGGTGGAAAATAATCTCCCTTTATCCTATAATCACTCTTGAGGCTGAACATTTTTTAAAAAAACTTTTAGGGCAGGGTGTAGTGGCTCATGCCTGTAATCCAAGCACTTTGGGAAGCCGAGGCAGGTGGATAACTTGACGTTAGGAGTTTGAGACCAGCCTGGCCAACGTGGTGAAACTCTGTCTCTACTAAAAATACAAAAATTAGCCAGGTGTGGTGGCAGGCGCCTGTAATCCTGGCTACTTGGGAGGCTGAGGCAGGAGAATCGCTTGAACCCAGGAGGCAGAGGTTGCACTGAGCCAAGATTGTGCCACTGCACTCCAGCCTGGGCGACAGAGCGAGACTCTGTCTTAAAAAAAAAAAAATGCAAAAAACTTTTAGGTTCAGGGGTACATGCACAGCTTTGTTGAATAGGTAAATTCGGGTCATGGGGTTTGTTGTATGATTTTGTCACACAGGTACTAAGCCTAGTACCCATTAGTTATTTTTTCTGATCCTCTCCCTCATCCCACCCTCCAGCAGACCCCAGAGTGTGTTGTTCCCCTCTGTGTGTCCATGTGTTCTCATCATTTAGCTCCCACTTATAAGTGAGAACATGCAGTATTTGTTTTTCTGTTCTTGCATTAGTTTGCTAAGGATAATGGCCTCCAGCTCCATCCATGTCCCTGCAAAGGACATGATCTTGTTCTTTTTTATGGCTGCATAGTATTCTATGGTGTATATGTACCACATTGTCTTTATCTAGTCTGTCACTGATTAGCATTTAGGTTGATTTCATGATTTTACATGGTGAATAGTGCTGCAATGAACACACACATGCATGCGTCTTAATGGTAGAATGATTTATGTTTTGGGGAGTATATACCCACTAATGGGATTTCTAGATTGAATGGTATTTCTGTCTTTAGGAATTTGAGTAATCGCCACACACTGCTTTCGACAAGGTTGAACTAATTTACACTCCCACCAACGGTGTGTATAAGTGTTCCCTTTTCTCCACAACCTCACCAAAGGCTGACCATTTTCAGTATGCTCACTGTCATCGATTTTTTTTTTTTTTTTTTGAGACAGGGTCTTGTTCTGTTGCCCAGGCTAGAGTGCAGTGACATGATCACCGCTCACTGCAGCCTCAACTTCCTAGGCCCAAGTGATCATTTTGTCTCAGCCTCCTGAGTAGCTGGGACTACAGGCACAGGCCCCCATGCCTGGCTTATTTTTAAATTTTTTGTAGAGGCAGGGTATCACCATTTTGCCTAGGTGGGTCTCAAACTCTTGAGCTCAGATGATCCTCCCTTCTCAGCCTCCCCAGGTGCTGTGATTACAGGCATGAGCCACCACACCAGCCTGATATTTTTTATGTGAACCTTCTCTTCATATCATTTCCTGTTGGGCTGTATGTCTTTTTCTTGTTTGGTTATTTATATTTTTATTACCGATTTGTAGGAAGTTTTTATGTTGGCATAGTATCCTTGGCTAACTATTTGTTGTAGTATTTTTTTGTCAAGATGATGCTTGTCTGTTGGTTTAACTTGTACAGTACACTTCATAAGTCAGAAACTATGAATCTGTTTTTTGAGTTGAGGTTTCACTGTGTTGTCCAGACTGGTTCTCCCCTGGACTCAAGTGATCCTCCTGCCTCCACCTCCTGAGTAGCTGGGATACAGGTACTTGCCACCATACCCGGCTCCAGAAATTGTAAATCTTTGATGCAAAATCTGACAATTTTTACTTTTGTTTTTGTTTTGTTTTTTTGATACAGGGTCTCCCTCTGTCTCCTAAGCTGGAGTGCAGTGGCACAATCTCAACTCAGTGCAGCCTGGATCTCCCAGGCTCAAGTGATCCTCCCGCCTCAGACTCCCGAGTAGCTAGGACTATAGGCACACGCCATCATGCCTGGCTAATTTTTATTTTTTGTAGAGATGGGGTCTTGCCTTGTTTCCCAGGCTTTTCTTGAACTCCTGGGCTCCAGCGATCCTCTTGCCTCGGCCTCCCAAGGTGCTGGGATTACAGGCGTGAACCAGCCTCTCTTGTTATCTTTTTCTAGTTTCCTAACCCTACTTTGCAGCCATTTTCTGATTTTGTCTACTATAGATTAGATTTGCCTATTTTTGAATGTCATATAAATGGAATCACACAAATGTATTCCTCTGTGTGTCTTTTATTCAACATGTTCTTCGAGATTCATCTGTATTGTGTGTGTTGTCAAAGATAAAGCTGGACACTGAAGTGGTAAGAACCAATTTTCATCAGTAATAACGATTGCAGTTTAGCCAAATTCAATCCAGTGTGAACTGAGCTTAACTTCAATTTGCATAGACAGGACAGGGTGTTTTACAAGGAGAATGAGAAAGGGGCTCAGTAGAGTCAGGGAAGTGAAAAATCACAAAAAGTGGGGAGGGAGGGTTGGTCCTGTGAAACCCATCTGGGTTTGGTAACTGGCCATTAAGGAAGTTAGGCTTCTGCCCTCCCACAGAGAGTGGGAGGCAGGCCCTGTCTTCAGTAGTGTTGGCTGAAACACAGTAAATTCTATAGGCAGCTTTGAGTTTTCTCAGACAGGCAGCTTACTGGGGGCTGGGTCATCCAAAGGATGCAACCTTGAACTATTGGAAACCATGTTTTTAGGCTGGGCGCCGTGGCTCACGCCTGTAATCCCAGCACTTTGGGAGACCAAGGCGGGTGGATTGCTTGAGGTCAGGAGTTCGAGACCAGCCTGGCCAATGTGGCAAAACCCCATCTCTACTAAAAATACAAAACTTAGCCAGATGTAGTGGCACACGCCTGTAGTTCCAGCTACTCAGGAGGCTGAGGCAGGAGAATCGCTTAAACTTGGGAGGTGGAGGTTGTAGTGGGCTGAGATCATACTGCTGCACTCCAGCCTGGGCAATAGAGCAAGACTCTGTCTCAAAACAAAAACAAAAACAAAAAACAAACAAACAAAAAAGGCCAGGTGCGGTGGCTCCCAGCACTTTGGGAGGCCAAGGTGGGAGGATGGATCACTGGAGCCCAGGAGTTCGAGACAAGCCTGGGTGACATAGTAATACCTCCCTCTCTACAAAATAAATAATTATTTTTATATTTTTGAGATGGAGTCTCACTGGTTCACCCAGGCTGGAGTACAGTGGCACGATCTCGGCTCACCGCAACCTCTTCCTCCCGGGTTCAAGTGATTCTCATGCCTCAGCCTCCTGAGTATCTGAGATTACAGGTGTGAGCCACCACACCTGTAATTTGTGGCTAATTCTTGTATTTTTAGTAGAGATGGGGTTTCATCATGTTCGCCAGGCTGGTCTCGATCTCCTTACCTCAAGTAATCGCCTGCTTCGGCCTCCCAAAGTACTGGAATTACAGGCGTGAGCCATGGCACCCAGCCAACAATTTGTTTAAATAACAACAAAAAGAAACTATGTTAGTGTTTGCTCAAGTCTTTTTTTTTTTTTTTTTTTGAGACAGAGTCTCACTCTGTCACCCAGGCTAGAGTGCAGTGGTGTGATCTCGGCTCACTGCAACCTCTGCCTCCTGGGTTCATGTGATTCTCCTGCCTCAGCCTCCCAAGTAGCTGGGATTACAGGCTTGTGCCACCAAACCCGGCTAATTTTCATATTTTTAATAGAGACAGGGTTTTGCAATGTTAGCCAGGCTGGTTTCAAACTCCTGACCTCAGGTGATCAGCCTGCCTTGGCCTCCCAAAGTGCTGGGATTACAGGTGTGAGCCACCGTGTCCAGCCTGATTTTTGTTTATTTATTGGCTTTTTTGATTTTGTTTTTTTGTTTTTGTTTTTGTTTTTGTTTTTGTTTTGTTTTTTTGTGACTTGCTCTGTCACCCAGGCTGGAGTGCAGTGATGTGATGTGATCACAGCTCACTGCAGTGCTGACCTCCCCAAACCCAAGTGATCCTCCTGCCTCAGCCTCCCTAGTAGCTGGGACTACAGGCATGCACCACCACGTTCTGCTAATTTTTAAACTTTTTGTAGAGTTGGGGCCTGTCTCTGTTGCCTAGGCCAGTCTAGAACTCCTGGGCTCAAGTGACACTCCTGCCTCGGTCTCTCAAAGTGCTGGGATTACAGGCACGGGCCACCATGCCCAACCTTGCTCAAGTCTTTATAGGCCAAGGTTAAGGCCTAGTTGAGAAGAGGGGTCAGAGGAGCTGGCTAGAGTTTGGTCAAGGAGACAGTCTTTGCCATTGGAAAGTCATTTGCTCCTTTTTGAGTTGTGTGAATATAGGATTTGTTCATCCATTCACCTTTTGATGAACATTTGGGTTGTGTCCAGTTTTGGACCAGTGTAAATTGGCTGCAATGAACATTCTTAATTTATTTCTCTTAGATAAATGTTTAGGAGTGGAAGTGCTTAGTCATAGGGTGGGGACATATGTAACTACCACACTAATATCCAAAGTGATTTATCAGTTGACACTTCCCACCAGCTACATAGCAGAACTTGCAGTTTCTCCATATCCTTGTTAACGTTCTGTATTGTCCGTGGGTGTGAAATAGCATCTCATGGTTTTAAGTCATATTTCCCTGGCGACTAATAAGCGCTTTTTCATGTACTTATTGGCCATTCCCATGTCATCTTTTGTGAACTGTCTGTTTTGCACATTTTTGTTGGTGATACTGTTGTTTTATATTTGTTGGAGTGTATTATATATTCTGGATAGGAATTTTTTTTTTTTTTGAGATGGAGTCCCACTCTGTCACCCAGGCTGGAGTGCAGTGGTGCAATCTCGGCTCACTACAACCTCAGCCTCCCAGGCTCAAGCAATTCTCCTGCCTCAGCCTCCCAAGTAGTTGGGACTATAGGCATGCACCATCACACTCGGCTAATTTTTCTATTTTTAGTAGAGACGGGGTTTCACTATGTTGGCCAGGCTGGTCTTGAACTCCTGACCTCAGGCGATCCTCCCACCTCGGCCTCCCAAAGTGCTGGGATTACAGGCATGAGCCACTGCGCCCAGCCTGGAATATTTTTATCAGATATATATATGTTGTAAATACACACACACACACATATATACATGAAACATATATATATATGAAAATGTAAAATACCATTTGCAATAGCATCAGGCCAGGCACGGTGGCTCATACCTGTAATCCCAGCACTTTGGGAGGCCAAGGTGGGAGGATCCCTTGAGCCCAGGACTTTGAGCAACATAGGCAACATAGTGAGACCTTGTCTCTACAAGAAAGTGAACCAAATTAGCTGGGTATGGTGGCGAGTACCTGTAGTCACAGCTACTTGGGAGGCTGAGGTGAGAGGATAGCTTGAGACTGGGAGGGTTGAAGCTGCAGTGATCTGTGATCATACCACTGCACTCCAGCCTGGGTGACAGAGAGATCCTGTCCCAAAAAAAGAAAAAAGGAAAAACAGCATAAAAACAGTAGCATCAAAAATCATTAGAATAACTCTAATGAAAGACATGAAAACACCTTTACCAGAAAAGTATTGTGAGAGAATACTTTTACTCTCTCACTAAAATATTGGTGAGAGAAATTAATAAATACTTAAATAAGGAAGAGGTTACTTTGTTCATATATTAGAAGACCTGATATTAAGATGTCTGTTCTCCCCAAATTGATCTATGGAGTCAATGCAATCCCAGTTAAAATCCTATTTGTTTTTTTTTTTGAAGAAACTAACAAGTTGATTCTAAAATTTATATGGAAATGCAAAATATCTAGAATAGCAAAAAAAAAAAAAAAAGAGCAAAGTTGGAGAACTTAAACTGCTAATTTTTTATACCACTTAATTTTAAGACTTACTATAAAGCTACACTAATCAAAACATTGGTCTTGACATCACAATAGACAAATATATCAGTGAAACTGAGTCCAGAAATAGACCTGCATACGTACTGTCAGTTGATTTTTGCCCAGAGCGAGTAAGTCAATTTTCTGGTGGAAGGAAGGAAAGTCATTTAATTTCTTTTTTTTTTTTTTAAGAGAGGGTCTTCCTCTGTCGCCCAAGATGGAATGCAGTGGTATGATCATGGCTCACTGCAGCCCCAGCCTCCTGAGCTCAAGTGATCCTCCCACCTCAGCCTCCCAAGTAGCTGGGAATGCAGGTGTGTACTTCCATGTCCAGCTAATGTTTTGTTGTTTTTTGTTTGTAGAGACAGGGTCTCACTGTGTTGCCCAGGTTGGTCTCGAACTCCTGGGCTCAAGCAGTACTCACACCTCAGCCTCCCAAAGTATTGGGATTGTAGGTGTGAGCCACTGCCCAGCCAGGAAATTATTTTTAATGAATAATTCTAGATCAACTGGATATTCACATGAGGAAAGAAATTAACCTTCACCCCATCTCATGCCATACACACAAATTAGTTGGTAATTGTTCATAAACCTAAACATAAAAGCTAGAATCGTAAATCTTACACATGAAAACATGGGAGAATATCTTTGCAACCATGGGGTGGGCAGATATTTTGTGAGTAGAACACAAAATGCACTTACTACAAAGGAAAAATAAATACATTAAGAAAATGTACAGGCAAACCATATAATATTTGCAATACGTGGTAAGGGTTTTATTCTTTTCCCAAAGTACTTTGGTATTACTCAGGTCTGTGGCATCTTGCATGATATTCTGTATTTACTGGCTTTTTGTTGAGTTAGATACAGAACATTGATCCAAGAGAATTTTCTGATTGGGTTTCCCCATTTCTTTTACCTTCGTGTGAATGTTGCTCCCTTTGCCATTTATGCTTTGCCCAATATTCAGTGACTGCTTACAACAGAGACAGATTTTAGATCATATTATTCTTTGTAAAGTAAAGAGACATTAGATGAAAGCAAAAGGCAACACGGGCAGTCTCCTCTGGAAGGGAATTGCAGCCTATATGAGTCTTCCTGGTTATTGAGGATTGAGGCTCAGCTTTTTAGGTGACTCAGCATTTAAGTCCTGGCACATTAACTATATACTAGCCACAGACCTGAAAGGAGGAAGGGAGACGAAGCCTAGCTCTGTTTCAGTACAGCGTCTTTTGCCCTTAAGACTGCTTCCTGGCCAGGCGTGGTGACTCATGCCTGTAATCCCAGCACTTTGAGAGGCTGAGGCGGGCGGATCACTTGAGGTCGGGAGTTCGTGACCAGCCTGGGCAACACGGTGAAACCCCGTCTTTACTAAAAATACAAAAATTAGCCGGGCATGGTGGTGGGTGCCTGTAATCCCAGCTACTATTTAAGTCCTGGCACATTAGCTGTATACTAGCAACAGCCCTGAAAGGAGGAAGGGAGACGAAGCCTAGCTCTGTTTCAGTACAGCGTCTTTTGCCCTTAAGACTTTGCTTCCTGGCCAGGCGTGGTGACTCATGCCTGTAATCCCAGCACTTTGGGAGGCTGAGGCGGGCGGATCACTTGAGGCCAGGAGTTTGTGACCAGCCTGGGCAACACGGTGAAAACCCGTCTCTACTAAAAGTACAAAAATTAGCCGGGCATGGTGGTGGGTGCCTGTAATCCCAGCTACTCGGGAGGCTGAGGCACGAGCATCAGTTGAACCCCGGAGATGGAGGTTGCAGTGAGCCAAGATCATGCCACTGCACTCCAGCCTGGGCGACAGAATGAGAGTCTGTCTCAAAAAAAAAAAAAAAAAAAAAAGATTTTGCTTCCTGCCTTCCGTTTATAAACCAATAATAAAACCAACAGGAAATAGAAACTAAAAATGAAACTAAAAGGTATAAAAGAACAATAGAATTAAAGTTGGAGGTAGTGCCATATCTTACAGACCACAAGCAGCATGCAGTTGAAATTCTAAATCTGAGATTTTAATGCTGAACATAGTTGAATTTTGCAATCTCAAATACATGTACAGTGATGCCTTCGGGTAACAGCTGCCCGCATATATGGTGGTGGCGGTCCCACGGGAATTTTTCAGCTCTATTATCTTATCACCTAGTGACGTAGCTGTCCTAATGTCTTAGCACGGTACATCACTCATGAGCTTATGTGGATGCTGGTGTAAACAAACCTACCGTGCAGCCTGTCCTATAAAAGTGTAACACATACAATTATGTACAATACATGAAACTTGATCATGATAAAAAACTGTGTTAACGGTTTATGTATTTACTATGCTGTACTTTTTATTGTTATTTTAGAATAACAACTTGCTGACTCACCCAGAGCAACTACTTATTAACAAAAAGTTAACTGTAAAAGCCCTCAGGCAGGTCCTTCAGGAAATATTCCAGAAGAAGAAATCATTATCTTGGGAGATGTCAGCTCCATTCATGTTATTGCCCCTGGAGACCTTCCAGGGGAACAAGATGTAGAGGTGGTGGAGAGTGATATTGATGGTGCTGACTCTGTGTAGGCCTAGGATAATGTATGTGATTGTGTCTTAGTTTTTTTTTTCTTTTTTTTTTCTTTTTTTGAGACAGAGTCTGGAGTGTAGTGGCACGATCTTAGTTCACTGCAACCTCCACCTTCCAGGTTCAAGCGATTCTTCTGCCTCAGCCTCCTGAGTAGCTGGGATTACAGGCATGTGCCACCATGCCTGGCTAATTTTTTGTGTTTTTAGAAGAGACGGGGTTTCACCATGTTGTCCAGGAAGGTCTCGAACTCCTGACCTTGTGATCTGCCCACCTCAGCCTCCCAAAGTCCTGAGATTACAGGCGTGAGCCACTGTGCCTGGCTAGCATACACTGCTTTTAAAGTTTACACAGTGTAATGTCCTGCGTCTTCACACTCACTCACCCCTCACTCACTGACTCACCCAGGGCAACTTCCAGCCCTGTAAACTCCATTCAGTGCAGGTGTCCTATAGAGGTGGATCATTTTTAGCCTTTTATACTGTATTTGTAGTGTACTTTTTCTATGTTTAGCTGTGTTTAGATACACAAATACTTAACATTGTGTTACAGTTGCCTTCATTATTCAATACAGTAATGTGCTGTAGAGATTTGTAGCCCAGGAGCAATAGGCTATACCATGTAGCCTGGGTGTGTAGTGGGCTGTACCATCTAGGTTTCCGTAAGTGCTCTCTGTGCTGTCTGTACAACGAAATCACCTAAGAATGCATTTCTCAGAATGCATCCCCATTGTTAAGCAACACATGACTTTATGCGCACAAACAGATACACACACGTACACATACGCATATCATTTAAACAACTCAAGTGTTATGAGGGATAAAACAAATGTTCAGGGGTAGGAACATCTAAATCCAGGTGGGTATGTTTCAAAACCCACATTATGGCTCACGTCTCTAATCCCAGCACTTTGGGAAGCGGCAGTGGATGGATTCAACACCAGCCTGGGCAACAAGATGAAACCCCATCTCTACAAAAAATACAAAAATTAGCTGGGTGTGGTGGTGTGTGCCTGTAGTCCCAGCTACTTGGGAGGCTGAGGTGGGAGAGACACCTGAGCCCAGGGAGGTTGAGGGTGCAGTGAGCTGTGATCACACCACTGCACTCTAGCCTGGGCAACACAGTGAGATCCTGTCTCAAAAAAAAAAAAAAAAAAGAAAAGAAAAGAAAAGAAAAGAAAAAAAAGGAAGGAAAACATACATTAAACCTTCAGTTACCTAGTTAATAGAATTAAGTTCCGCAGCTGAGGAAACTGCCTCAACCTAGATCTATAAAGCTGAGTCTGCCTTGTAGGGTCCTACGAGGTTTGTGTGTGTTCATATTTGTCAAGCATTTGGAATAATGCCTGGCACATAGTAAGCACACGGTGTCACTTAAAGAAGTAAATGAGGCTCCAGCTTGATCCTTATAAGCTGGGTGAATGGGGAGGCCCCGTCTCATTCCCTGAAGCCTCAGATGAGGAAATGGCTATTGGAGGGGATTTCACACCTTTCAGAAGGACCCATTGTTCCAATTGAGCTCTTGGAGATAGGACTCAGTCAGTAAATGCTTCTTGAATGAGTAGGTGGTTGGACCAGATCAGTGTTTCCCGTGGGAGGAATGTGAGATGGTTTTGGGTGGTACACAGATGTTTTACATGTTAATAGATATTTATTACAGCATTGTGCTAGCAGAAAATATTGGGCAGCACATTTGACCTGAGTGTTTTTTAAAAAGTGAGTGATTTAAAAACACAGTAACTTGAACAGGCAGCATGTGAATGTCATGGAAACTGAAAGCATTTGTGGATTGAAAGAAGAGTGGGAAAATCTCTGAGGTCTTTCCACATCTGAGACGTTTGGTTCTTTGAATCCGGGCTTTAAATATGAAATCAGGATATAAAAATAGAAGTGATATTCTCTGGGTTTTGTGAGCAGAGATGTGTAATGGAAATTGACAGGCAGAACTGGATGTGCAGCCTCGTGGAAGGTGCAGAGATAACAGTGTATTAACACTTTGGTGTCTGCTGTGGGCAGCCTTGCGTGTGTATACATCATTTAACAAAATTGGGAACATCCTATACATACAAACAATAATCGGGTTGGTTCACCTGATACTGTAACTCTGTGTTCAGTTTTAGATGGGATCATTTGGTCATTGTATATGTGTGTGTTTCAGGCTTTTTGTACCTGTCGTCGCAGTGCCTTGCAGTATGACTGTGCCAGTTTAAGCTTCGGGCAGCTCAAGCACCCTCTTCCTCGTCTTGGCCAATGCCAAGTTAGATTAAACAATACTTTTGTTGACAATTTGATAGGAGAAATATAACTCTCTGTTTTTACTTTCATTTCGGGTTTTTTACATTATTGATAAGGCTGAGCTTTTGGTGTGTTCATTGATCTGTTGTGTTTCTTTTGTGAACTGCCCCCAAGTTTGCCTTTTGTCTTAATTTTTTCCTCTGGGATTTTAGGGTTTTTTATTTATTTGTTTTTAAGAGTCCTTCATAATGTAAAGATGTTAGTATTTTGTGACATGTTAGTTATTTCTCCTAGTTTATTTTAGAGACCGTCTCGCTCTGTCACCCAGGCTGGGGTGCAGTGGCGCAATCCTAGCTCATTATAATCTTGAGCTCCTGGGCTCAAACAATCCTCCCACCTCAGCCTGCCAAGTAGATATGACTACAGGCATGCACTACCGTGCCTGGCTAATATTTATTTATTTATTTATTTATTTATTTATTTATTTATTTATTATTTTTTGGTAGCAATAGAGTCTTGCTATGTTGCCCTAGTTGGTCTGAAACTCCTAGGCTCAAGCAGTCCTCCTGCCTCAGTCTCCCAAAGTGCTGGGATTACAGGCATGAGCCACCATGCCTAGCCTGTGTTTCCTAGTTTAATACTTGCTTTTCATGTTTGCTTGTGATATTCACACTTACTGTATTTCTTGTTGTAAAGGTAAATATTTGATTCATTCTGTGACACACCTGCTCTTCCATTTAATTTGTTTAAGGCTAATGAACCATTTATCTTCTTATAAACTTTATTTATTTATTTATTCATTCATTTATTTATTATTTTTTAGATGGAGTCTCACTCCCGTTGCGCAGGCTGGAGTGCAGTGGCACGATCTCGGCTCTCTGCAACCTCCACCTCCCAGGTTCAAGCGATTCTCCTTCCTCAGCCTCCCGAGTAGCTGGGATTACAGGTGTGCGCCCAGCTAATTTTTGTATTTTTAGTAGAGATGGGTTTTTGCCATGTTGGCCAGGCTGGTCTCGAACTCCTGATCTCAGGTGATCCACCTGTCTCAGCCTCCCAAAGTGCTAGGATTACAAGCAAGGACCACCATTCCCAGCCTTAAACTTTATTTCTATTTTTTATTTTTTTGAAATGGGGGTTTCACTTTGTTGCCCAGGCTGGACCTACATTCCTGGGCTCAAGCAATCTTCCTGCCTCAGCCTATAGAGTAGCTGAGACTACAGGCACGTGCCACCATGTCTGGCCCATTTAACTTCTTTGAAATCAGATGTGATTGGTTCTCTGTGTCCTGCAGTCACTGTCAGTTGTCATTACCTGTGCATGCTTACGTGGTTGTTATTCCTGGTGGCATGGCTGGGCAGCTGTGACTGCAGCCCCTGGATGCTTTAGTCCTCATACCACTTAAGGACCATTTGAAGAAGGAGCACAAATCCTGATTGTTGTTCAAAAACTGTCTATTCATTACTTCTGATGAGATGAAGAAAGAGCCAGCATTAAAACTTACAGAGCGAGGGCCAGGGCTCAGAAGACAATCTCAGAGAGGACAGTAAAGATCTCTCTCTCTCTTTTTTAAAAATTTTTTTGAGACGGAGTCTTGCTCTGTCACCCAGGCTGGAGTGTAGTGGTGCGATCTCGGCTCACTGCAACCTCCGCCTCCAGGGTTCAAGCGATTCTCCTGCCTCAGCCTCCTGAGTAACTGGGACTACAGGCATGCGCCACCACGCCCGGCTAATTTTTGTATATTTAGTAGAGACAAAGTTTCACCATGTTGGCCAGGATGGTCTCGATCTCTTGACCTTGTGATCTGCCCACCTCGGCCTCCCAAAGTGTTGGGATTACAGGCATGAGCCACTGTGCCTGGCCTAAAGATCTCTTAAGAAATGCCATATCACCAAAGCCCTTGAAAGCACAATAGTCCATATTGTATGGAAACTCAGACATCCTGAAACTGAAGACAACCAGCCTTTCCCATTGATCTTTTCCTTTTCATATGTGTGCAAGAGAGAGAAGTGATACCAGTCTGTTTTAATAAGTCCAAAAGAACTTTTCCAATAAACTCACAGTTACAATTATTTGGCAGTGTTTTTTCTTTCTTGGGAGTACATCTTAGGATTGATGCCTTCTTATTTGATGAAATACGTCATATGGTTAGTGTAGAAAATTTAGGAAGGATAAACCCAGAAATCAGAGAGATAATCATTTTCAGTATTTAGGTATCAATCCACTAGTAATTCTCTGTGTAATATAGATACATATGTATGTATTTACGGGCACATGTGGTACATATATTTTTGGCCTTACCTCTTTCTCTTAACATTATATCTGGAATGTTTTGCCATGTCTGATTTTCTAGTTTACTTTTTAAATGATGGGTTAGTATTTCAGTGAATGGATACACTGTAATTTGTCCAGTTACTCTCCAGCTGATGTCCTGTAAATCCTGAAACTTGCTGCTTGTCTCCCTTCAGAACTCCCATCAGCAGCGCCCGACAGCACTCTCCTCCTCACTGCCCAACACTGGGTGGCAAATCTTTTCATCTTGGCCACTCTGATAGGCTGGACAGTGAGATCCTTCTTCCTAGGGCGCATGGAAACCTGTTGCAGTCACCTGGGTTTGCGGAGTGGGAGGAGGAAAGTGTTAGGGGCACTAGAGGTGGGAGACGGTGGGAGTTGCTGGCTGGGTGTGTTTGCATTATGGACCCGTGCATCTCACCACTCTCTACCACTGTGCACCACTGTGACCATGGACAGGGTGCTCCTGAGGTCAGTCCCAGATGCCCACCAGGCGCTGCGTCCTGAGCCTGCCTCTCCCTCTGGCCTCCTCTCCAGTTTCTTACTGTCCTCCGGCCTCCCTGCCTCCTTTCTGTACTGGAGGCTCAGGTGTGTTCCCTGAGTCTTTCTGCCTGCCCTTCCTCCTGTCTAGAATGCCTTTTGGACACCTGACTCTCCCATTCTCCAGGGCTCGCCACGGCCATCCCGTTCTGAGAGAGGCCTCCCCCTATCATCTTCATCCTCTCTACGAGTCACTGCCTTCATTCCTCATCATCTTGTAATTATCTGCCTCTCCTTTCTCTCCTTGTTTACCACTGTACCCCCAGTGCCTAGCACTTGGCAGACACCCACATGTTCCTTGACTACACTAGTCGTATTGAATAGTGTAAGGAATCCGGAGGTGAGAGAATAGAAGAACCTGCTCTTTATTATGCAAGAGAGTAGTTTTGTAAGTCTACCAAGTTAGGGCTTCCAGAGGGAAGCATTTTGATCAGCTTTTCAACAGAGTTGCTTAGCAGTGGGGTGAGTGCCTTCCTCAGGGGAGTGGTCACGTAGTGATATTGTTGCAATGGTTCTTGCACTGGATGCTGGGGTTGGCAAGATTAGGCTTCTTCCAACCCTTAGAACTGTGGGGTGTGTTCTCATCTGTGGGTTTCAACTGCAGATAAAACTGTTAACACTAGATGGCACTAGAGGATTCATTTGAAATCTGTTTAAGGCCAGGCCGGTGGCTCAACCCTGTAATCCCAGCACTTTGGGAGGCCGAGGCGGGTGGATCACCTGAGGTCAGGGGTTCGAGACCAGCCTGGCCAACCTGATGAAACCCCCGTCTCTACTAAAAATACAAAATTAGCGGGACCTGGTGGCTCATACCTGTAATCTCGGCTACTTGGGAGGCTAAGGCAGGAGAATCGCTTGAAACCGGGAGGTGGAGGTTGCAGTGAGCCGAGATTGTGCCATTGCACTCCAGCCTGGGCAACAAGAGCGAAACTCTGCCTCAAAAAAAAAAAAAAAAAAAAAAAAGGAATCTGTTTATGAAACTGCCACCCACAGTGAAAAAATAACCTTTATCATTGCACTTATACCCTCAACACACACTTGAAACAAAAGTTGTCTAAGTGCAATGGCTCACACCTGTAATCCCAGCATCTTGGGAGGCCAAGATGGGAGAAATCACTTGAGGTCAGCAGTTCGAGACCAGCTATAGCAAAACTTCATGTCTACAAAAAAATTAAAAATTAGAATTAGAAACAAAAGGTTCACAAATGTCTTAACACTATGTGTAATGCATCTTATTTTTTATTTTATTCTATTCCATTTCTTCTTTCTTTCTTTTTTATTTGAGCTGGAGTCTCATTCTGTGGCCCAGGCTGGAGTGCAGTGGTGCAATTTTGGCTCACTGCAACCTCCGCCTCCCGGGTTCAAGCAATTCTTGTGCCTCAGCCTCCTGAGTAGCTGGGATTACAGACGCGGACCACCATGCCCAGCTAATTTTTGTATTTTTAGTAGTTTCACCATATTGGCCAGGCTGGTCTTGTACTGCTGGCTTCAAGTGATCCGCTTGCCCCGGCCTCCCAAAGTGCTGAGATTCCAGGCATGAACCACCATCCCAGCCTCACATTAAAAAAAAAAAAAAAAAAAGCAGGTTTGCAAACTAATTGATCTTATGATATTAATTAGTCACCACTTACTGTTTGAAAAGCACTATTTTAGATAACTGAGTAAGTGTATGGTTATAAAACTGAGTATGTTTTCCTTGGACAGTCTGGGCTTGTATAGCAAATTGTGCACATTAGTGAATATTTCACGTTTCTGTGAATTGCTGCATGGAACACCTGAACATGTGTTTTGGGTGTCTATGGATGACAGATTGGGAGATGTGTTTGTACAGAATTCAGCACCTATTGTAGTCAAGGCAGAAGTAAGCCTTGGCAGTAGATATAAAGAAAAGGTATATTATCTGCTTCTAGGAGCTCAGAGACATCACACACACATTCCCTACATTTTACCTTAGCAGGGAACAAGGAAATGGGGGTATTACTCAGGGTATCATTAGGATGCTTTAGGCTGTTAACAGAAGCCTGACTCAAATTGGCTTAAAGGGTAAAAACACTTATTATCTCACAAAATATACGTTCAGAGATAGAGCAGTCCACAGGCCCAGAGCAGCTGAGCATGGCCTTCGGGATCCAGGTTCTTTTCATGACTCCTCAGTCGTCCTAAAGCTGGTTCTACTCATGATTGCAACAAGGCTTCCTGTGCTAATCAGGGTTTCAGCTCCCAGCCTTGAAACACAAAGCCTTAACTCCTTGTACTGTAGACCAGAATAGAGACAATTAAGGCTCCCATGGCATTTCCCAAGTTGTACACGTATTGTTCATTCGTTCCTGGTTTCCCCACTCTGACCTCTGTAAGGGGAGTAAGAGGACGGCACCTAATACAGAGTCAGGAGAAACACTTGGGTTAATTCATGCTGTTTGTCAAGTGTTTCTGAGTCTCCCTTCCCCTGGGCACAGGTCTTTTCATTTAGTGGAATTAACTGACTAGCTCTGGCCATGAGTTTGCAGAGTGAATAAATGGCTGCACATCTTTTGTATGAAGCATGAAGTGAGGTTATTTGCTATGTAGGGTCCTGAGAAGTGAACTAGCACTATGAGGAAAGGGAGTCAGAAGCCCACTGTGGGCAATGTAATGGGCGGTACGTGAACATAAAGATGAATGGATGGCTGCGTCTTCGCATGTGTAACGGGGCACTGAATGTGCACTTGGCCTTTCGAGGTGGATGGTTGGTTTTTGTCGAGTTCCTTGACCTGGTTCCTGATAACTTGGCAGCGGACCCTGGCCCGAACCTACTCAATCTCTACTCACCTTCCTCTTTTTTTCTCCCTTCCAGGCTTGCAGTAAGGTTGGGCTGCTGGCACGACCCTTACATCCACCACTTTGTGAGACTGTCTAAAGACAGGAAAGTCCCTGAAATCAACAGAGGTAAGTGACCATCTCCCTCCCCGAAAGCTCCTTATCAGCCAAGAGACCTGAAGTTTCAGGGGTTCATTCATGTTTTTTTTCCTCACTTTGTTACCCAGGCAGGAGTGAAGTTGTGTTCGAAATTGGTGGGTTCTTGGTCTCACCGACTTCAAGAATGAAGCCGCGGACCCTCGCAGTGAGTGTTACAGTTCTTAAAGGTGGCATGTCTGGAGTTTGTTCCTTCTGATGTTTGGATGTATTCGGAGTTTCTTCCTTCTGGTTGGGTTCGTGGTCTTGCTGGCTCAGCAGCGAAGCTGCAGACCTTCGCGGTGAGTGTTACAGCTCATAAAGGCAGTGTGGACCCAAATAGTGAGTACTAGCAGAATTTATTGCAAAGAGCAAAAAGAACAAAACTTCCACAGAGTAGAAGGAGACCCCAGCAAGCTGCTACTGCTAGTTCGGGCAGCCTGCTTTTATTCTCTTATCTGGCCCCACCCACATCCTGCTGATTGGTAGAGCCTAGGGGTCTGTTTTGACAGGGCGCTGATTGGTGCCTTTACAATCCCTGAGCTAGACATAAAGGTTCTCCAAGGCCCCACCAGAGTAGCTAGATACAGAGTGTCGATTGGTGCATTCACAAACCCTGAGCTAGACCAGGGTGCTGATTGGTGTGTTTACAAACCTTGAGCTAGATACAGAGTGCGGATTGGTGTATTTACAATCCCTGAGCTAGACATAAAGGTTCCCCCACGTCCCCACCACACTCAGGAGCACAGCTGGCTTCACCCAGTGGAGCCACCTGCCAGTCCCGTGCCGTGCGCCCGCACTTCTCAGCCTTTGGGTGGTCGATGGGACTGGGCGCCGTGGAGCAGGGGGTGGTGCTCGTCAGGGAGGCTCGGGCCGCACAGGAGCCCACGGAGGGAGTGGGAGGCTCAGGCATGGCGGGCTGCAGGTCCCGAGCCCTGCCCCGCGGGAAGGCAGCTAAGGCCCGGCGAGAAATGGAGCGCAGCGCCGGTGGGCCGGCACTGCTGGGGGACCCACTACACCCTCCGCAGCCGCTGGCCCTGGTGCTAAGCCCCTCATTGCCCGGGGCCCGCAGGGCCGGCCGGCTGCTCCGAGTGCGGGGCCCGCCAAGCCCACGCCCACCCGGAACTCCAGCTGGCCCGCAAGCACAGCGCGCAGCCCCGGTTCCCGCTCGCGCCTCTCCCTCCACACCTCCCTGCAAGCTGAGGGAGCCGGCTCCGGCCTTGGCCAGCCCAGAAAGGGGCTCCCACAGTGCAGTGGTGGGCTGAAGGGCTCCTCAAGTGCCGCTAAAGTGGGAGCCCAGGCAGAGGAGGCGCCGAGAGCGAGCGAGGGCTGTGAGGACTGCCAGCACACTGTCACCTCTCACAGTAGGGCAATCTCCGCTCACTGCAACCTCCACCTCCCAGGTTCAAGCGATTCTCCTGCCTCAGCCTCCCAAGCAGCTGGGATTACAGGCACACACCACCACGCCCAGCTCATTTTTTTTGTTTTGTTTTTTTGAGACGGAGTCTTGCTCTGTCGCCCAGGCTGGAATGCAGTGACACGATCTCTGCTCACTGCAAGCTCCGCCTCCCAGGTTCACGCCATTCTCCTGCCTCAGCCTCCCTAGTAGCTGGGACTGCAGGCACCCACCACCACGCCTGGCTAATTTTTTGTATTTTTCGTAGAGACGGGGTTTCACCATGTTAGCCAGGATGGTCTCAATCTCCTGACCTCATGATCCGCTCGCCTCAACCTCCCAAAGTGGCTACTTTTTTTTTTTTTTGTATTTTAGTAGAGATAGGGTTTCACCATGTTGGCCAGGCTGATCTCGAACTCCTGACCTCAAGTGATCCACCTGCCTCGGCCTCCCAAAGTGCTGGGATTACAGGCGTGAGCCACCGCGCCTGGCCCAGGTGTTCATTCTTGAAGGGAGTTGTGGCGTGCTCCCTTTCCAGCTGTGGCAAAACTGCTTATTTTCTCACCAACACAGTTTGTTATAAAACTTGTTAATCACCGGGCGCGGTGGCTCACGCCTGTAATCCCAGCACTTTGAGAGGCTGAGGCGGGTGGATCACCTGAGGTTGGGAGTTTGAGAACAGCCTGACCAACATGGAGAAACCTCGTCTCTACTAAAAATACGATCTGGGCGTGGTGGCACATGCCTGCAGTCCCAGCTATTCAGCGGGCTGAGGCAGGAAAATCGCTTGAACCCGTGAGGCAGAGGTTGAGGTGAGCCAAGATAGCACCATTGCACTTCAGCCTGGGCAACAAGAGCGAAACTGGGTCTTAAAAAAAAAAAAGAAAGGAAAACTTGTTAATCTTTTATATGAAAGATGGTATTTAATTGTAATTTTATTTTTTACTCTTCCTATTTATAGGTGGTTGAGCATCATTTTCGTGTGTTCGAAGCCCACTTACATCTTTTTACTCTGAACTGTCCATATCAGGAATTACTTTTTTCAGTTAAAAATACAAATAAAGCATTATTTTCCACACGTGTACTCCTATACTGATTGGATCAGTATGGAGAAGCTGCTTCATAATACTGGTATTTGGAGGAGAATCTCTTAGAATTTACGTTAGACTCTTCCTTTGTTTTGGTAGAGGGAGAAAGGGCTCTGTTTTGCCTATGGCTCATCTAGGTGTGTGGACTAATCATGTGGATTATTATTGTTATTTTTGAGATGGAGTTTCGCTCTTGTCCAGGCTGGAGTGCAGTGGCGTGATTTCAGCTTACTGCAACCACCGCCTCCAGGGTTCAAGCGATTATCCTGTCTCAGCCTCTAATCATGTGAATTTAATTGGGTTCTTCTATGAGGAGACTTTCCAGAGGCTTTTGTATATTTCAGGCTGAGCATATCTGAGTTTTCACACCTCGTCTGTGCTTCTGAACCTTCCCTAAGGATGGAGATTGAAGATTGCTGCCCAGCTGCACAGCTTGAGTGTTGCAATTTTAGAGGACAGGGTTTTCTACAGTTTTGTTGATATCTCTTACTGTGGAAGGAAGGGGAAGTGGTAATTCTCAGATGAGGGAGGTCTCAGAGGTGCTGACAGCAGTAAGCTTACCAGGCTCAGAAGATTTGGCTCTTAACATTCTGCAACAGAGTGGTATGAAGTGAGGCTGGGGAAGTAGACAGAGCAGGTGGGGCCCTGTAGACTATATAAGGAACTATGGTCTTTTTGTTTTTCTTTTCTTTTCTTTTCTTTCTTTCTTTCTTTTTTTTTTTTTTTTTTGAGGCAGGGTCTCACTGTGTCACCCAGGCTGGAGTGCAGTGGTGCGATCACAGCTCACTGCAGCCTCGACCTCCTGGGCTCAAGCAATCCTTCTGCCTCTTTTTGGTAGTGACAAGGTCTCACTATGTTGCCCAGGCTGGTCTTGAACTCCTGGCCTCAAGTGATCCTCCTGCCTCAGCCTCCTAAAGTGCTGGGATTACAGGTGTGAGTCACCACACCTGGCGACACTCTGGTCTTTTCCCAACAGCAACAGAAAGCAGTTGAGCTAGGGAGTGACAGGAGCAAACAGACCTTTTACAAACCTCTGGCTTCTGTGTGAGATATGGATTTGGGTAAAGTCAGAGTGATTGGGGGAGCTCACTTCACAGATACCAAAAGGAGAGGTGGAAGAAAAGTAGATTCCAGAAATACTTAGCGGATAAAATCAACATATTTGGGGGACTGATTGCATAAGGGGAAAGAAAAAGGGTAGTTCCAAGATGATGCCTACCTTTTTTACTTTTGAACTGAAGGAGCCATGGCACTGTTTGCTAAGTTGGGAGGTGGAGACAGCAGGGAGGAGATTGGGGAGGTGATCTTGAACACAGCTTTGGAAATAGTGAATCTGAGATAGTACTGAGACCCCCAAGTGGAGATGCCAGCTGGCAGCCTGATACAGTTTGGATCTGGGTCCTCACCAAATCTCATGTTGAAATGTAGTCCCCACTGTTTTTTTTTCTCTTTCTTTTCTGAGACGGAGTTTCTCACCCTGTCACCCAGGCTGGAGTGCAGTGGCCCGATCTTGGCTCACCACAACCTCCGTCTCCTGGGTTCAAGCGATTCTCCTGTCTCAGCCTCCCGAGTAGCTGGGATTACAGGCGCCCGCCACAATGCCTGGCTATTTTTTGTATTGTCTGTAGAGATGGGGTTTCACCATGTTGGCTGGGCTGGTCTCAAATTCCTGACCTCAGGTGATCCACTTGCCTCGGCCTCCCAAAGTGCTGGGATTACAGGCATGAGCCACCACGCCCAGCCTGTAGTCCCCAGTGTTGGAGGTGGAGCCTGGTAGAAAGTGGTTGGAATATGGGGGTGGATTTCTCATGAATGGTTTAGGACCATCCTCTTGGTGCTGTTCTGATAGTGAGTTCTCAGGAGTTCTGGTTGTTTAAAAGTGTGCAGCACCGTACCCCTTGCTTTCTGTGGCTCCTGCTCCCACCATGTGAGATGCCTTGCTCACCCTTTGCCATCCGTCGTGATTAGAAGCCTCCCAAGGCCTCACCAGAAGCAGAAGCTGCTATAATTCCTGTACAGCCAACAGAACTGTGAGCCATTTAAACATTTCTTCTTGGCTGGGCGTGGTGGCTCATGCCTGTAATTCCAGCACTTTGGGAGGCCGGGGGTGGGGGTGGGGGGTGGGGGTGGATCACCTAGGGTCAGGAGTTCGAGACCAGCCTGGCCAACATGGTGAAACCCTGTCTCTACTAAAAATACAAAAAATTAGCTGAGTGTGGTGGCGGGCACCTGTAATCCCAGCTACTTGGGAGGCTGAGGCAGGATAATCGCTTGAACCTGGGAAGCGGAGGTTGCAGTGAGCTGAGATTGCACCATTGCACTCCAGCCTGGGCAACAAGAGCGAAACTCTGTCTCAAAAACAACAACAACAACAAAACAAAACAAAAAACAAACCACACACACATTTCTTCTTTATAAATTACCCAGTCTCAGGTATTTCTTTTTAGCAGTGCAAGAATTAACTAATGCAAAGCCAGATACCAGGCTAGAGGGAACAGATGATGAAAGGTACAGTTTGTGTGTCAGGCAATGAAGTGCAGATTTTTCACTGGTAATTGATTGGGAATCAAAAGGTTTTAAGGAAGTTACAGGAAAAGATCTGTGATTCTGAAAAATCACCCTGGCCAAAGGTAGAATAAGGATGTGTTGCAATAGATCGGATGAGCGAGGACAGCAGGTGCAGGGGCTGTGGGTGTGGGAAAGAAAAGGAGGCTTCCCCTTTGTCACCAAGCCTTCTCCCACGCAGCTGCTGGGGATTTTTCTGAAATGCAAACCCAGGTCATGTCAGTTCCTCACTTCAAATCCCTCAGGATAAAACTTGTACTCAAAAAATAAATAAGATAATTTCACCTATTGCTTAACATAGAAAATGGGAGCCCTCAGAATGAGACTCCCTTAACTTCCCCCAAGAAACTTAACCATCCTTTTTCACTGTTACAGTTGTGAATGTCCTCCAGTAACGACCACCAGAAACACTCTGTAGTCAAGCAAGTTTGGTTTATTACTTGTTGCAAGGAGGGAAGACTCACACCATGAGGAACATATCAGTAAGAGGATGTTAGATCTTTATAATTTGGGCTTTGGCTGGGTGATTTGGGGGAGCTTCCACGATTCACTGTGTGAAAGCCTGTCCAGAAATCTCTCCTGCTACCCCTCCTGACCCTATATCAGGTTCACCTAACATGCAGTTCTACTGCAGACTCCATGCCTCTGCTCACGCTGTTTTCTTCTGCCGGGCAAACCCTTATCGATCTCTTTAAGGCTCACCTCCTCCACTGTGAAAAACAGAAAAGCAAAACTGACTTCTAGGAGCTTGCCTGGTGCTGTGAGCCAGGCCGTATGTTTTTGGAAGCTGGCTGGTGCCCACAACAAGGCCATGTTGTTCTCCTATTGGACATAAACAATCATGCAGACCACTCACACAAGGACACTCTGCAGTGGTGATGATAGGAGATGACACGAGACCACGTCATCATTCTGTGTAAGGACAAAAGCAAGGTCACTGTGCCACCCACAGAATACCAGACATTCCCTTCTCCCAGCTGATAGGAGTGACTGTGGCTTCTTTACACATTGTAGCTTTAGCCCTACTCCAGCCAAACCTCTTTCTAGAAAAGATACCGCTACCGGATGATAGAATTTTCCTACCTCCTATCAGCACTCGATCCAGAGCAAACCCCTGGACCCTCCCCCAAATCACCCAGCCAAAGCCCAGATCCTAAAGGTCTAACATCCTCTTACTGATAGGCTCCTCATGGTGTGAGTCTTCCCTCCTTGCAACAAGTAATAAACCCAACTTGCTTAACTACAAAGTGTTTCATGTGGTCTTTACTGGAGGACATTCACAACTGTAAGAGTAAAAAAGGATGGTTAAGTTTCTTGGGGAAGTTAAGGGAGTCTCATTCTGAGGGCTCCCATTTTCTATGTTAAGCAATAGGTGAAATTATCTTCTTTCTTTATTTTTTGAGATGAGGTCTCACTCTGTCACCCAGGCTGGAGCCCAGCAGCGTGAATATGGCTCAATGCAGCCTTGACCTCCTAGCCTCAAGTGGTCCTCCCACCTCAGCCTCCCATGGAACTGGGACCACAGGCTCTCATCACCATACCTGGCTAATTTATATATTTTTTTTGTAGAGATAGGGCCTTACCATCTTACCCAGGCTGGTCTCGAACCTCTGGCTCAAGCAATCCTCCCATCTTGGCCTCCCAAAGTGCTGGGATTACAGGCGTGAACCACTATGCCACAGTTGAGTTTAGAATGTTTATTTAAAATCTTGTGACACTGAACTCAATGACTAGTTCTCGGAAAACTTACTTTTTAATAGTGTATTGTGGTGTAAGGCCTGAAATTAGGATTCATATCAAATTCTGTCTTTACATCCATTTAAATCAAGAGGGCCTCAAATGGCTGAACTCCAAGCCTCGCTCCCTGTCTGCTTCCGCAGATGAAATTCTCTGGCTAAACACTCTCCTTATTTTAGGGATCAGACACAGAGCCTGCTTATCCCCAAACAGTAGGCTTCAGTTCCCTGCCAGCTCAAGGACGAATTATTCAGACAAGCCAGTCACACCCTCCCGTGGGAACCAGGGCTCACTCTGCACTTTTGTTACTACAAAGCCTGCCTCCAGCAGCCCCTCCTTGTTACCGTGTTCCGGAGTGTAGCCTCCACATTGCCCTGCATAGTGTGCAGGGTCCTTCTCCCCTGGACTGGAGTATCTGTGACCAGTCAGCTGCTGTTGATTGCATCCGTCCTGCATCAAGTGTTGTGTGTTCGGCCATCCCCGTATCTCTGGGGGTGGGGACAGGGGCGGGGGCAGGAGCGTGGGGGGAAGGAATCCCTCTTTCATCAATGGAGTAAAGAGTGTGAATAAAACGATTGGCATCACAAACAGTGTGGCCCATCCTTGATTGAGGACCCCTGGTTAGCTTTAACTAGCTGCTCCTTTACTAAGTAGCTGGTTTTGTTTGTTTGTTTATTTATTTATTTAGAGACGGAGTCTTGCTCTGTCTCCCGGGCTGGAGTGCAGTGGCGCGATCTCAGCTCACTGCAACCTCCTCCTCCCGGGTTCAAGCGATTCTCCTGCCCCAGCCTCCCAAGTAGCTAGGACTACAGGCGCCCACCACCACACCAGGCTAATTTTTGTATTTTTAGTAGAGACGGGGTTTCACCATACTGGCCAGGTTGGTCTTGAACTCCTAGACCTTGTGATCCACCCACTTCAGCCTCCCAAAGTGCTGGGATTACAGGAGTGAGCCACCGTGCCCGGCCTAAGTAGCTGGTTTTATAAGGCGGCCAGGACTATTGAGAACATCACTGCCAGTTGCTGGCCAGCTTGCCCTTCAGCTAATGAGTTTTGTTATCTCAGTAGGTGTTGCCACTTCTTCCCACCCTGACGAACGTTAATGGACTGTATCTCCTTGTGAGGTCCCATCAGGTGTGGCCCGTGTCGGCCAGGTGGTTTCCCAGGCTCCCACCTGGGGGCAGCAGCAACACGACATCCTAACGGGTGGGTGCCTGAGTTCCACTAGAGTGAGGCTAGACTCTGTGGTCTTTGGTCTAGCCTCATGACCATCGCTCCATCACCGGCTGCTTGGGACAGCCAGGCAGACACTGTTTGGGAAAGTGTTCCAGCATAGTCCTGTGGATAACCCTTTTTCCTTTCCCCAAACACCAGGGTTTTTGGAACCATCACCTGGGAAGATTTAGGAATGGCTCCCTGGTGGTCTCCTAACAGCCTAAAGACCCCATGGGCTTTTCTTGGCGGTGTTGCTTATCTGCATGCCAAAGGACCAATCCTGTGGGCAAGGGGCTCGATGGCCCCACCTGGACCCTAGACAAAATGAACGTACTAGGGGGATCCCAGCACTGAAGATTTGCCTGGCCTTCCTGGGGGAGCAGTATGGCCGCCCACGGAGCCGGCTGCTGGTCTCCCTTTCCCATAACCTCCCGGAAGATCCACACCACGAATGATCTGATGGGGACAAAAACCCCGGGACTCGAGGGACCGTTGCGGCGGACCCTTAAAACACCTGGCAATCCCATTAAATTGAAACATGGTACATATTTTGCTCTTCTAGTTTTGGCTAATACGTTCTATTTAAAGGGTCTCCCAGCCACAGTTTGCCAGCGGGCAGGCGGCGCCGCAGGAAGTGACCGGGCAAGAACGGGGGTCGCCGCCCAGCTCGGCCTTCTGGTCTCTGCGCCCTCGGCCTGGGGCTCCAGGCCACAAGGGGAGGCCGTGCTGGGCGGGCCCGAAGGGGGTGGGCGGGGCCCCGGAAGAGACGTGGGGGCGGGGCCAACGGACCGCGGAGGCGGAGCCGCTACAGTCTGGGCGCTGGAGCGGTGGGAGCAGCGCTCGTCCGCCGTTGGGGCCCCCAGCCCGCGCGCGTGAAGCAGCTAGCCGACCAAGCCCCGGAAGGCGAGTGCCGGAGGGGGCGGGACAGCTCCTCCGGGGCCAGCGGGCACCAGGCTTGGGGGCTGAGGCCCAGCGGCCCGAGACCAACTGGGCTGACCGAGGCCGCCTCCCCGCCAGCCCTGGGGTCCACTGCCCGGGGAGCAGCTCCCTTCCCAGGTCAGACTCGGGCTTCATCCTCTCTTGCCGCGCGCCGAGCGGTTTTCAACTCTCACTGCTAGAATTCCTCCAACCACCCAGGATAGCAGGACCGAGATACATGGCCACCCATGACCCGGAGCGTCCACTTCCAGGGACAGGCAGTGGTGATTGGCTTCGGTTGTCATCTGTGCCATCTGTCCATGGTTCGAGAAGCTGCTGTTCACGTTTTGGGGAGGATCATGGTTTGAGGGCTCCCGTGGTAGAATTTGGGGAGCTCTCATAGGCAGAAGGCTGAGAAAAGTTGGTGCTGTGGGAAGTCAACTGGCAGCCGATGGAGTCGGGACCCGGGAGGAATGGAAAGGGAACCCAGATAGGAAGCTACTGCAGTAGGCTCAGAGAGGTGATGACGGCAGGGCTAAGACAGCGGCCTTGGGCGGTGACTGGGAAGAACGTTGAACACCGTGTTTGGGCTGAAGAAAAGAGCAAGGGAAGAGGTGAGGAACTTCAGGTGAGGGTTGATGTAGATGTTACTTACACAGGTAACAGACATTCTTCACCTTTTCATTGTTTTACAATGATTCATTCTCTCTCTCTCTAACATATAATTGTGATATTTTCACCTGTAGTCCCAGCTGCTCTGGAGTTTGAGGCAGGAGGATGGCTTGAACCCAAGAGGTGGAGGCTGAAGTGAGCCAAGATCGCGCCACTGCACTCCAGCCTGGGCGACAGGGCAAAACCCTGTCTCTAAAAAGAACTTTTTAAAAAAGCACCTGTAGATTTAAGCACATAATAACTACACTTTTGTCTGTTTTATTATGATATCAAAGTTAAATTTATGATGAATGACTAACTGGACAAAACTGAGAGCAACCACCACAGAGGTGAATATACTGAATGTATAACACTCTCTAATAATTTTAAGAACTCCGCTCTAATGAGCAGATATCACAGAAAGAGACTTTTCAGATGAAATACCGATGACCAGGAAATCTGTGAGACCATTTTAAAAAATTCGAAGTCATTGAAGAAATGCAAAGCTTCCAGGCTCCACTTTTCACTGATGAAATTGGCAGAGTTTGGGACAATGAGATGTTGCTGTCCCGGGAGTGCGGATGGGGCTGTGTCCTGTGATGGCGGTGGGCACTGGCACTCTTGTCCAGAAAGACATTCACCACTGTGGTTCAAGAAGCACCTCAAAGGTCTTCACCTTGGTCCCTTGTCCACCTCTGCCCGCGGTCTCTCCTCCTTTCAGCCTCCTCTTTCCCACACAGTCCCTCCCGCCCTGGCTTGGTCCCCTTTCTTCTGACTGGGTCAGGCATGTGGGTGACTCTTTGACTTCCAAGGCTCTGTCTACTTGGCTTTTTTCTTTCACCTGTTCTGCAGAATAACAGCCTGATTCGTTCCTCTTTTTGGGTCCTTCACTTCCATACCTGGGATTCGGGGCGTGGCCCAGAAAGACCCTGCAGTCTTGCAGTGTGGGGCTGCCAGCATTTCATGGCCTCCAAGCTCAGCTGGGCTGAATGAACGCTGCCATCCAGCGCTTGGCTCATTTTCTGTCCCATTTTCCTGAGTGCTTTTGCCAGACTTACACTTTTCTGAAAGCTACTCCACCCTACCCCAGACACACCCTCTCTCCTCGGATGACCTGCCTCCTAATTTCCTGAGAAAACTGGACATGGCCACCTTTCCCCAGTGTCTGAGGCCCAGGTTGACCCGTGGTCATGGTCGCTGTCACCACCCACCTGCCTGTATGACAGAGTGAGACCCTGTCTCAAAAAAAAATAAAAAGAATGCCTCATGTTAGGCTGGGTGTAGTGGCTTATGCCTGCAATCCCAGCACTTTGGGAGGCTGAGGCAGGAGGATAGTTTGAGCCCAGGAGTTCAAGGTCAACCTGGGCAAGAGAGGGAGACCCTGTCTCTACAGTTAATTTTTAAAAATTAAGGCAGGGCATGATGGCTCGTGCACGTAATCCCAGCACTTTGGGAGGCTGAGTCAGGACGATTGCATGAGCCCAGGAATTCAAGACCAGCCTGGGCAATGTAGAGAGACCTCCATCTCTACAAAGAATTTTTAAAAATTAAGGCAAGGTATGGTGGCTGATGCCTGTAATCCCAGCACTTCGGGAGGATGAGGTAGGAGGATAGATTCAGCCCAGGAGTTGGAGGCTGCAGTGAGCCATAATCACACCACTGCACTCCAGCATGGGCAACAGCGTAAGACCCTATCTGAAAATACATAAATAAAAGAAAAAGTTAGCTAGGCGTGGTGGTGCATTCTTGTGGTCCCAACTACTCAGGAGGCTGAGGTGGGACAATCACCTGAGTATGGGAAGTCAAGGGTGCAGTGAGCCAAGATGGTGCCATTGCACTCCAGCTTCGGTGACAGAGAGCCAGACCTTGTCACCAAAAAAACGAAAAGTCTCCTGTGAAAAATGACAATTTCCAGTGGAACAGTTATGAGGAAGAGATGGGATCTGCCTGGGCTTTTTCAGTCTTTTGGACAATCCAAGATTCCTCTAGCTAATGACTTCACAGTTGGTAACAGCTTGTTAGCTTTATGGTGTTTCTTTAATGTTTGTTAAATGTTCCTGGGATATAGATACCAGATTACAATTCACACCAGCCGGGAGGGACAATGGAAATTTCTTTAGGAGGCTTGCAGATCCCTTGGACCTAGGGCACCCAACCTTTTGGGATATTTAGGAGAAAAAGGAGGGTTTTACTTCCGTCTTCCCTGGGGTTCCAGATGAATGTGTCATCTTGGCTAGTCATTTAGAGTCATCTTATGAACTCTAAATGAAACTGAAGTCACACCTTTAACATTACTTTAAGGAAGAATCACAGAAGCCAACCTTAAATCACTTAAAATGAGAATGAAACTTGAAGCAATAGATAGGAAGAACCATTATCTGGTCTGTCCTGCAATTATTGGAAGTGTTAAAGGAGATGAAGTTTACAATGGCTGGGAGTAATGACTCATGTCTCTATTCCTCATGCTTTGGGAGGCAGAGTGGGGAGGATCCCTTGAAGGAGTTTGAGGCTGCAGTGAGCTATGATTGTGCCGCTGCACTCCAGCCTGGGTGACAGAGCAAGACACTGTCCACATCAGAAGAGAGCCCAGCAGCTGCCCAGGCCCTGGTTGGTCCCCATGGATGTGGAGCTGTGGCAGGTCATGCAGAACCATGTGGATTGTGCCATCCAAGCCGGACCGTTCTTGGATTCCTCCATAGTGGAAATATGGTCGCTGACTTCTCCAATGGGGAAAACATTCTGTCTTCCCCCGATTCAGAGGTGAAACCTCCTTGCCATTCACACACTCTAGTTCAATGGTATCTACTCTGGCACTGCTAATCCTCCGGAAGACGCTGTTCAATCAAGTCTAAATCAGCCTTCCAGTAGTTTCCATCCATTGGGTCTCACCATACTTTCTCAGCGTGGGGTGGCCATGGTTTGCTAAGCCTGTTTTTCTTTTCTTTAAATGCATGTAACAGCCTTTCTGAAGATCTTTTTTTTTTTTTTACATTTGCTGTCTGGTACTCATTTGGAGGCCCGGAGTCCAGCAGAGTTCCTTTCCATGTTTTCTGCAGTCCTTCAGCGGGGTCTGCACACCTGATGGCCTGGAATTGGGCTGGCCCTCGGCAATCCTGCCCACCCTGTGGGCAAGTAAGTTTGCTCACAGACTTCAGTAGGCCCCGTGTACCTGAGCTTCAATGGGGTGGGGTTCTCCCCCAGCCATGTCAGCTGTGTCTGCTCCTCCCTGCTCTCTCTTCCCTCTCTTCTCCCTGCCCTGAGTGCCCTTGTAATATCCAGTCTCCGGGTTTCCAACTCATCTAGTAGGTCTCAGAAGCCATCACCAGTTTCAGGATCTCTTTCTGGTACCCTGGGTTTGTGTTCAGGGCCCCTCCTGTCATGTCTGTAATGCTCAACAATTTAATGAGCTTCTCTGTGCCTAGGTTTCTAATCTTTAAAATGGGTATAATAGTAGTATCAGTCTCATAGTTGTCTTGAGGATTAGGTGGGTTAATATTTGTAAAGCATGTATCAGGTAGGTTAAGGACAGGGTACCTGAAGTAATACTGCCGAGATTCAGAGCAGAGCCAGGAAACCTTGGGCAAGTCACTTCTCTGTGCCACATCTTATCCACATCTCTGTAACATGAGGATGATAATATAGAGTTATTGTAAACTTTTAGGCAACTATTTCTTGCAAAGCACCTGGAACAGTGGCAGGCTCTTATTGATAAGGGCTCAATAAACGTGAGCCGTGGTGATGGTGACAACCTGGGGGGACCCTGCACTTCCCTGTGGGGTCGCCATTGTGCTGGAGTCTAATGGCTTATTTTCCTCGATAGTTCTCAAGTGCTGTCAGAGCAGGGGATGGTCATCAGTATCCTGACTTCTCTTTTGCTTGAGCTCCTGGATGGTATCTGGTGTTTGTAGTTTGTAGATTTCATTTTCATCAAAGCTAATTGTTCCTTCTACTTTAGAAGTCTGAGCAATATGCCTTCAGTGGCCAACTGGAAACTTGTGTTTTAAAACTTCATTGGACTATCTATTTATTGCTGTGATGAAATTATGTCACAAAAACCCATGTACTCATCGTGGAACACGGAAGCATGATGGGTACCACCCGAATGGAGGGGATGCAGTGTGGATGGGAACCTCTGGCCTCCCTGAATGTGTTGACTTCAGGACTCGCTGCCGGTCCTGCAGCCGATCCTGCAATGCTTGCTTTGTTGCTTTAGGAACGCTCATTTCTGCCTTTCTGTTGTAATTGATGCCAATAGCTGCCAGTCCTAAAACACATCCTGCAGTGCTTGCTTTCTTGGTTTAGGAATGCTCATTTCTGCCTTTCTGTTGTAATTGATGCCAATAGCTGCCAGTCCTAAAACACATCCTGCAGTGCTTGCTTTCTTGCTTTAGGAACGCTCATTTCTGCCTTTCTGCTGTAATTGAAGCCAATAGCTGCCAGTCCTGCAATGCATCCTGCAGTGCTTGCTTTCTTGCTTTAGGAATGCTCATTTCTGCCTTTCTGTTGTAATTGATGCCAATAGCTGCCAGTCCTAAAACGCATCCTGCAGTGCTTGCTTTCTTGCTTTAGGAACGCTCATTTCTGCCTTTCTGTTGTAATTGATGCCAATAGCTGCCAGTCCTAAAACGCATCCTGCAGTGCTTGCTTTCTTGCTTTAGGAACGCTCATTTCTGCCTTTCTGTTGTAATTGATGCCAATAGCTGCCGGTCCTGCAACCGATCCTGCAGTGCTTGCTTTCTTGCTTCAGGAACGCTCATTTCTGCCTTTCTGTTGTAATTGATGCCAATAACTTGTAGTTTGCTGCCATATCTGAAGCTCTGATGCTTCCTACGTATCTCTGAGGTCACTACAAAGATTTTGAAGTCCCTCATTCTCTGATATTAAGAATTTCATACTGGCTTCAGTCTCCTTTATCTCACCGTTAGGGAACTCTTCCCCTTTTCTGTGCCATTTATGAGCACACTTGAGATGTGGCCACATTGCTGCCCACTTGCTCCAAGGAACAGCTTAAGCCAGAGTCAAGGCCACCAAACCAGGAAGACATCCCTATTGTTCATAGAAGTCATCTGGTTGGCTCCAAGTAAAACATCCAGCGCAGTTGGATCTGACTTTAGTCTGGAGGTCCTGTCTCTAAAACAAAGGAGAGAAACTCGCAATGAGATGCTTCTAGGCAGCGCCTGCTCAGAGGCCCACCCAGGGTAGGGCACTGCCGGGAAACGCAGAGGCCTGGCCTAGAGCCTCATTAGGGCTGGTCTTCGGTGACAGCCCTAATAACAGGGCAGGCCTCTGTTCTTCCCTACACCTTCCTCATCTCTGGGTTGGCCTCGTCTCCCTCTGCATTAGTGATTTTCCCCAGCGCCATGCGTGGCTCCTGCCAGCCTGATGCTGGCCACCAGGACACCGGCTCCAAAACAGCCACCCCCAAATGCCTTTTCCTGAGTGTGCATGAGTGCGTGTGTCAGGGAGAATGCTCATACCCTTCAGTTTTTTACCAAGTGGTAACATACAGTACCTATGTATCCTGCAGCTTGTGGTTTTCACACAATTGCTTTTTTAAATGCAGGTAAAAATTATACAGTGAAACACATTCATCTTGAGTACAAATCAGTGGGTTATGACAAATGTCTGCATCTGTGCCTAAGCAGTACCCTGAGGAGGACACTGAACGTTTCCATCATCCAAAAAGTTCCCCATGCTGTTTGCCATTCGCCCTCACCCTCCGGCCCCAGCAAGCCCTGTTGAGTCTCATCGGAGTTCCTTCCTCCACCAAGGGATAGAAACTCACCTGATTGCTGCATGCAGACACTGACACTCCCGACCCCTCATTCGTCACAATTGATGCCTTACTCCTGCCTGATTGCTGTCTTCCTGCTCATAATTAAATTCCTTCCCCCCGCTATATAATGCCTCCGGCTTTAGTCAGCTGGAGAGAGGGATTTGAGACTGATCTCCTGTTCTCTTGGGCTGATGTCAACCATAATATAATAAAGTTTTCTTCCCCGGCATTACTTTTCTTAATGATTGGCTTTCTGTGCAGAACCTATACTGAACCTATACTGAACCCCTGGCATTTCGGTAACAGATTTTGGTCCACTAATCAGGAATGGGTTGCCTCTGGCTGGTGGCCACAGATGGGGAGAGTCTCAGAGGCCCTCCTAAGCAGCTGCCTGACCTTTTTTTGGCCAAAGGTGGATTTCTGTCTGTCTCTCTTTGTCCCCACTGCTGCTGACTCTAACTGTGTTCCTGATTTGTCTAGGAAGAGCAGCCTTTGAAATGTGACATATGCATCTGACCGGTGTCTTTTGTGGGTACCAGATGGCAGGATCTGCTTCTCTCAATTTGGGTGGGGAATTGTGAAGGAATTTGCATTTGCAGGTTGAACAAGCCCAGCTGACTGTGAGAGGAAAGCACCTCAACTGTTTTGGCTTGGATGGTCTTGGGGGCTTGTTAGTCGCTACTGTGGTTAGATTGTATTTTCATAATTATTTATGTGTGTGTGTGTGGATATAGTCACAAGAAATCAGAATTTGATCTTAGAATGTAGCCCACCTGGGTGCATTCTTTAGAATTAGTCTGAATATAGTTATGAGCCAATGGAACAAAGGAAAATAATATTATTTTGTAACACTGTTTGGCTCCAGTGTTCTTTGAAGTCAGGGGAGGCGGGACTCTCCAAGGGTCTTTGAATTGTACTGCTTGCTGTCTTATAATTGCGTTCATTTTTCTGTTGGATGGGAAGGCAGGATGGAGTTCCATGTATCCAGGCTTTTCTGCTGCTGTCCTAAGCAAGGTTGGGCCTGGCTGCTTGTGATGTTCTTCAGTGGTACTGTTTGGCCCCAATATTCTTTAAAGTCTGAGGAGGTTTTGCCTTTAAAAATCAAACTGCCATGGAAAGTGATTTACCCAAAATTTTGGTTCACAGCCTTCACTGGATTACCTATTGGGGCAAACAAAGTTTAGCCATGTGAACATGTTCATAAACCAGTGAGTTTGCATTGCTATCTAATGGCTAGAATTCCAGGGTAAATGCTGTTGGATCTTTGTATTTGTGTATATGTCTCTGGATGTTCTGTATCATTTTCACAGGGTACCGAATTGTCTTATAAATAAAAAAGAGTGTGCATAAATTAGGTAAATAAGTCCAGTCATTTTCCAAGTTCATGTGACTTAAGTAAATCTTTAATAAGCTGACTTTAACATTATTGGTAAAATAGAAATGTCTTCGGACTTGTCAGCCTACCTTTTTGTCTGGGTGTTATATTTGCTAGATGTGTTAAGGTGTCAGAGTTTGACAGAAAAGGTTATAAGACTATAAACCCAGCCAAGAAGAAAATAATCTTAGTGTGTGTGTGTGTTTTTGATAAATAAGACTAATGTTGTCGTTTAATAAAAACAGCTGAATTTTCTGAGTTATTGGCAAATATACCCATGTGTTTTAATTTTAAAGTTCTTAATTAGGTGAACACCTGATATTCATTGGTTATAAAAATGATTATCAAGGAAGCAATGACTGGCTTTGTCTAATATCTCAGTTCTCATAGTTAATGTAGAGAAATGGCTAAAAATGCATAAAATAGGAATGGGGTAAATGTATGTGAACTTTTTCTGTAATTTAAAAATCTTGAGGTTTTGGCGCTCATTAGATGTCTGAGTCATTTTAAATTAAGAAAGGGTTATGATATGGGGAAAGATTTTTTAAAAAACTATGGAAGGTTGTCATCTAAAATGCTAATATCTGGTAAACAGTTCAGGATTTCTTGCTTCCTAGGTTTTTCATTAAAATGTAAGGTTACTAATAATTCTAGTTAATATGTAATTCCGTATATAAAATGTGTCACAGAAGTTATATCTTTACTGAGAAGAAGAATAATATCTAACTCAGAAGTTATCTAAAAGTTGATTCAAATTACGGAGTTGGGGCCAGGCACAGTGGCTCATGCCTGTAATCCCAGCATTTTGGGTGGCCGTGGCGGGGGGATCACCTGAAGTCAGGAGTTTGAGACCAGTCTGGCCAACATAGCGAAACCCCATCTCTACTAAAAATACAAAAATTAGTCGGGCGTGGTGTTGAGAGCCTGTAAGCCCGGCTACTTGGGAGGCTGAGGCAGGAGAATCACTTGAACCCAGGAGGCAGAGGTTGCAGTGAGCCGAGATCGCGCCACTGCACTCCAGCCTGGGCAACAAGGTTATCTAAATGGGCTTCCCATAAGGAGAAGCAATTACACTGCAGAAAGTCTTTCTTTGCCTTTTGGTAACTGGCCTAACGAACAGATTTACGTTTTATTGATAATTCTTATGTCATCATTAGTTTTTATATTGCTTAAAAATAAATCTAACAGAATTAAGGTTTTTACATCCATGTAACTTTCTATATTGCTTCTAAAGTCCTTCTGCCGTTAAGTTACAGGGCTTTGACTCCTGAGTCTGAAAAAGGCACAGATTCCTGCTAAATCTTGAACACTGACGCCAGTCAAAGCCTCATCTTCAGACCTGGGAGAAGGTGACAATCGAAATGAAATGCTTTCATGAGACGCAGGGCCAGTAATTACAAGTATTCAATCCCCCTAGGCCCAGGGACTATCGCGGAAGAGGTGGGCGTGTGAGATTGTAAGGGCCAACTTTGAGGGATAAAATTAGAGTTTTTTTGTAAACATTAATATCAAAGGCACACTGAGGCCAGGCAAGCGTCTGGCCCCTGTGTCGGAATAACAATTTTCCTGGACCACTGATCTACTCTTTAATAGAAGATTGTAAAAGGTTATACAAGGCGTATGGAAATCTTACTTCGTGGTCAAACTGATTAAAATTAGATTTGTTTATAAGGTTTTATTAGCTTTAACATTAATAATACCCCTAAAACATTAATAAGAGATCAAAGATTTTTGTTTACCTTTTAAGTAAACTACAGGAAAAAAAAAGGAGAGAGACAGACATTTAGTTGGTTTCCTGCTGTCTTCATTGGATCTTACAGTTGGGGAAACTGAGTCTCCTTCATATCAATGAGTAAAGGTCTTTGGTGTTTTGGTTTTTTGTTTTTTTGGAAATCTTTGAATTATCGTTTTGGCTAAATGAATAACTATTTTATAATGAACCGTGATCCTATTTTGTGGCATCAAATGTTTTAAACTTTTGATATTCGACTGATGAACTTCCCAACATCAAGATTTCAACTTCTGGCCGGCTACAGTGGCTCATGTCTATAATCCCAGCACTTTGGGAGGCTGAGACCAGGCAGGCAGATCATTTGAGTTCAGGAATTTGAGATTAGCCTGGCTAAAATGGTGAAACTCCACCTCTACTAAAACTACAAAAATTAGCCAGGTGTGGTGGTGTGTGCCTGTAATCCCAGCTACTAGAGAATCACTTGAACCTGAGAGGCGGAGGTTGCAGTGAGCTGAGATTGCACCACTGCTCTCCAGCCTGGGTGACAGAGCAAAACTCTGTCTAAAACAAACAAACAAAAAAATCAAGTTGTAAATTCAGTCTCTTTGACCTTAAGCTAACTTAAAAAAAGGCTGGCCATGGTGGCTCACACCTGTAATTCTAGCACTTTGGGAGGCCAAGGTGGGTGGATCACTTGAGGTCAGAAGTTTGAGACCAGCCTGGCCAACAAGGTGAAACCCCGTCTCTACTAAGAATACAAAAATTAGCCGGAAATCACTTGAACCCAGGAGGTGGTGGTTGCAGTGAGCTGAGATTGTGCCACTGCACTCCAGCAACAGAGCGAGACTGTCTCAAAAAAAAGAAAAATTAATGGTGGATGCAGTGGCTCACACCTGTAATTCCAGCACTTTGATAGGATGAGGTGGGCAGATCACTTGAGCTCAGGAGTTTGAGACCAGTCTGGACAACATAGTGAGACCTCGTCTCTACAAAAAAAAAAAAAAAAAAAAAACCAACCAAACAAAAAACCCAACAACAAAAAACATGAAAATCTGGGCAGGGTGGCATGTGCCTGTAGTGCCAGCCACTCTGGAGACTGAGATGGGAGGATTGCTTGAGCCCAGGAGATCAAGGCTGCAGTGAGCTGTGCTGTGATTGCACCACAGCACTCCAGCCTGGGCTACAGAGTTTTGGAGACCCTGTCTCCAATAACAACAACAAACAAAAAATAATATATATTTTTAAAAGATATTAGGTCCTCTGGCCGGGCGCGGTGGCTCCTGTAATCCCAGCACTTTGGGAGGCCAAGGCGGGTGGATCACAAGGTCAGGAGATCGAGACCATCCTGGCTAACACAGTGAAACCCCGTCTCTACTAAAAAAATACAAAAAATTAGCTGGGTGTGGTCACGGGCGCCTGTAGTCCCAGCTACTCGGGAGGCTGAGGCGGGAGAATGGTGTGAACCCGGGAGGTGGAGTTTGCAGTGAGCCTCCAGCCTGGGCGACAGAGCGAGACTCTGTCTCAAAAAAAAAAAAAAAGATATGCGGTCCCCTGAAGTCCAAAAGAGACATATTAGGCTTATTTGGTATGTTAAAATTACACAGGAAGCATTGTCAAATATGAAATGGTGTTTAACCTTCTTTGGGTTATATTTATATAAATGTGTTATTGATGTGTGCCAAAATTACATGGCACTCCTAAAATCCTGATATGTCTTAGTATATGCCATTAGTAATATGTGTATTATGTTAAATTGTTGTATGCCACAGAAATAACCAGATTTCCTTGACAATTGTATATTTAATGTGTCTTTGACTAGAATGTCTTAAAAATTTTATCATCTACAATTATTGTTTTATTGGATTCTTCTCAAAAAGCGGCTTACAGTCAACTACAGTCCAAAATTTGCTCCTTGGAAGACTCCTGAATGCAGGTTTCTGATGATGTCAGAAAGACTGTGCTGTTGGATTAGACAGAAAACTTCTAGGACTCTAATTAAAAGGCTGATGTGGTCATAAAGATTGCTAACCCAGTATGAAGCAAAACAAGAGTTAATTGCATGGACTGAGCTAATAGAGGACTGAACTGATTCTTTTGTGGCTTTTTTGGTTTGAAACATTGCTGATTCTTTTTGTTGTTCAGTGTCAAATTTTTTTTCTCTTGAGCTATTTGTAGCCCTTAACAATTGAGTATACTCTTGTAAATAAAATTTAAAGCAGATTTCTTGCTGTCTGCTTGATTTCTCCAGAATTCAAAAACTATTTGCGAATATTCTTAACTTGTGGCAATATAGTTATTTGCATAAGTTCAATAAGAATGTTTTCTTTTATAACAGCACATAATTGGAGGTACTGGTTTTTTGACCAAGGGTTTAACTGGAATGACATTTTTAGATATAAGCAGACTGCTTTGAGGAATTGAGATTGACTTTATAGAGCTGATAAATGTCCCTTGGAAAGACTGGCCTCACACCTCTCTATGTAGTTCCTTTGCAGGATTCCTGACCTGTGCTAAGTAACGAATGTCACTTTCTGACAGGCCCAGGAATCTAAAGTTACTTTGAGACCTTGAGAGGAGCGGAATTCACCCAATTTGTACAGGTATCTGCAGGCACAGATACATTCTTGGCTGAGCTTGAGAGGCCTTTAAAAGTTGAATCTGAGATTCCTTTTGGGAAGTTCCAGCAAAGCCAACTTAAAAGAGCCTATATGGACAATAATTCTTGCTGTACTTTATGCAAATAATCTGGCTAAGTATAATAAGACTAAAACTTAATTTGCAAATAAATTGGTCTTACCATGATTTGTCTTTGGTAGAGATGGGGAACTGGCCAGAGAAAAATTATGTTTCAGAAGAAGACTGTAGTATACCTGTTATTACATTAACCTATGATTCCTGGGTGGCAACCTGGAGCTGCAGCTATGCTGCATTCAGTTATTAAAGGTAAAGTTTACCAGTGGAATTTTTTGTTGTTGTTGTTTTAATTTTTTTTTACTTTTTTTCTTTTTAATAGAAAGCCATTGCAAGAACCAGTGGAATTTAAAGATGGATCAAATTCCTGGGGAGTTGGATCACTGGATGCATAAGGAAATCCAAACTAATAAGGAAAAAGTGAAATATTCATTCCTTAGTTATTGTTATCTATAATAGCTAAAATTAAAGTAAGAGTGCTGGATTAAGCCTTGAGGCTGGACCAAGCTCAGATGTGGGTCTGAGTTTAGATCACTAGCCTCAAAGCCACCCACAAAAGAGGTAGTTTCTGGTGCCTCTTAGACCTGTGGTTTCCAAGAAGGTAGTCAAGGTAGGGAAGGGCAAAACGAAGTAACTACTGAAGCCAAATGGTGTGATGTGAAGGAAGTGTTCCCTTTTGTAGACTGGTATCATCAGCTTCCTTGAGGCACCTTTCCTAATAATGGATTGTGAGAATAACTAATTTGGAAGCAGTGTCTTTTGTTTTAAATGCTGCAGAGTGGAAGAGCATGTCTGGTTAATGTAGGGCCCACAGCTCACAATTGAACAGTCGTAGAAGGATATATAATTCAGACACACAGGAGGTTATTCCTGAGCGTGGACTGGATAAAAGTCACTGTAAGATCTGTTTACCCCAGATAAGTGGAACTGCCCAACTCCACTTATCAATGCCACCTGGAGCACCTCAGATGAAGCAGCTGATATGCTTTGTACACTAGCCATGGGGGCCTGGCTTTAAGAGGACAGGAATTTTAATCTTACATTTTGCTTTTTGACCCTTGTGTTGCTTAAAAGGTTTTCAGGATTAATGAGTGCCTACCCACCGCCATTTCTATCTGGCCTAGAATGTTTAATTGAAAATCAGTCTTTTGATTCTGAGTCCCTTGGCCATAGAAGTGTCCCACTGAGAGATAGGATGGACCCAGAGCAGGCAGCCATACCACCCCAGCAATGATATGGGACAAAATAAAAGCTTGGCTATTGATGCTGCCTCTGGCATATCTTGACCAAAAGGGGCCAAACTAAAAATAAAGTCCTAAGCCCGTCATTGACTGAACAGACCCATTTGTGACCAAGGGAACCCCAGTTGCCAGGAGACAAATCTTACTTGGGGAAAAGTCTTGCCCCTTGCCCTGCTGAAGATATGAATACCCCAGAAATGGGTTGGCTCTTAGCCCCTTTGAAATACTGTACAGGAGACCATTTCTCCAGATTCCCTGATACTTGAGGATTTTTCCTCTCCAGAAAGAGAAGCTAGTTCTTATATAAAATCATTAGGAAGTATGTTAACTAGTCTCTGAGTTTGCTTCTAACAGGTTCCAATTCCTTGTGCCTCTTTATTCTTTGAAACTGGGGAACCAGGTCATGCTGAAGACCTGGCAGTCCCACCAGGCTCAAGACCAGCTGCAAGCACAATGGGTCAGCTCCTTTGCGGTGCTGCTGACCACCCACCCATCCGTCAAGTTTGCCAGTGTTACCCATGGACTCACCGTACTGGAGTAAAACTAGTCCCTCTTGGATCCCTCTAGAGGAAACACTCATGGTTGTGTGAACCCTTCTACGGCCTTAAGTTAGTATTCAAAGCCCAGCCAAAGACCTGAAATAAGAAACCATACAGAGAACACAGAACTCTGAGTCTTCTCTTGGATTTCCCAAGGGATCCACTCCATATTCTGTGGTATTTTTAAAATTTTTATTATCTATGTTATTTTTTATTTTTAGTTTTTGAGATGGAGCCTTGCTCCCATTACACAGGCTGGAGTGCAGTGGCGTGATGTCGGCTCACTGCAACCTCCACCTCCCGGGTTCAAGCGATTCTCCTTCCTCAGCCTCCCGAGTAGCTGGGATTACAGGCGTGTGCCACCACACTGGCTATTATTATTATTATTATTATTTTTTTTTTTTTTTGAGACATAGTCTTGCTCTGTTGCCAGGCTGGAGTGCAGTGGCGTGATCTTGGCTTACTACAACCTCCACCTCCTGGATTCAAGCAATTCTCCTGCCTCAGCCTCCCGAGTAGCTGGGACTACAGGCACATGCCACCATGCCCAGCTAATTTTTGTATTTTTAGTAGAGATGGAGTTTCACCATGTTGGCCAGGATGGTCTCGATCTCTTGACCTTGTGATCCACCCACCTCGGCCTCCCAAAGTGCTAGGATTACAGGTGTGAGCCACCGCATCCGGATGTTATCTATGTTATTAATCATCTTAGCATGGCTTGAAATGTTGCTCTAAAACCAAGATAAAAGGACCCATATTACCATGTTCCATCAAGCTGGATGCCAGCCAGGCACTTGTGAGTACTTCAGCTATAGGCATGACGTTTTCGTTCTTCGTCATTATCCCACAATGCCCCTTCTCAGCGTGAAGCAGTCAGAAAGATTGAGGACCAGATTCTCTGTGACTGGAGAAAGGATAAATGGCTAGAGAGTCAGTTTTGAGCTCTGCAGATCACACGGCGGTATCTATCACAACAACTCAACTCTGCTGTTGTAGCCTGAAAGCCGCCATAGATAGCACATAAACACAGGAGCCTGGCTGTGTTCCAATAAAACTTTCATGTACACTGAAATTTGAATTTCATATAATTTTCACGTGTTACCGAATATTATTATTCTTTTGGGGTTTTTTCTAGTCATTTAAAAATAACCACTCTTCTGAGCTTTCTGGCCATAAAAAATGGGCAGTGAGCTGGATTGAGCCTTCAGGTGTAGTCTGCTCCCTGGTTTAAATAAACTAAGTCTAGGGGTGGCTAGTCAAGCCCTCTGGGTTTGAATCCCACAATCCCACTTATTAGTGCTGGGGTCCTGGGCAAGTTACCTCTTGGAGTTTCACTTTCCTTATATGTAAAATGGGAGTAATAGTGGATCCTATCCGATTTGCCTGGTTTGAGAATTAGAATAGATGTAGGTGTCAACCCAGTGAGTGTCTGGGGCATAGAAAGCACCTAGCAAATATGGCTGCTACTGTTGGCTATTATGAAGGCTCAAGTAGATCCCTACAGCCTTGGAGGAACCGTTTGTGATGTGGAGGTTTGACGGTCTTGAGCTGTCTTCAGTCCACAGTTCAGTTAGATTGAATATGAGGCTGGAGGGTTTGGTGGTGCTGCCTTGCTTTCGTGCAGTTAAGTAGAACATGGTATATCCACAGAATGGCTTACTCTGCAGCCATAAAAAGGAGGTAGAGGTGTATATTTGTGTTCTGACCTGTAAAGATGCTCCACATATCTGTCTAAATGTGTACAGGTATGTGTGTATAATGCATGTACGTGTGGATATGTGTCATGTGTGCATATGTCCTTTGAAATCAGGGCTGTTCAGCCTTGGGTTGACATTTGGATCTAGAGTAGGCAGAAAAATGCTCTCCCCTCCCCAGTAATGTCCATTTCTGAATCTCCAGAACCTGTGAATGTGTTAGATTACATAGCAAAGGGGAATTAAGGTTGGAGATGGAATGAAAGTTGCTAATCAGCATAAAGGGAGATTAGCGTGGATTATCCCCACAGGCCCAGTGTAATCACAGAGGTCCTTCATAGTTGCCCAGGAAGTCCGTGAAGACACAACTTTGGAAGAAAGGCACAGCATAAATGCTGCTGGCTTTGACAAATGCAGGAAGAGGCCAAGGAACATGGGCAGACCCAAGAAGCTGGAAAAGGTGAGGAGGCAGATGCTCCCCTCACGTGTCCAGGAAGGCATTCATCAGCCCTGCTGCCACCTTGATTGTAGTGCAGGCAGATCTGGTTCGAACTTCTGATCTCCGGAAATGTGAGATAATCCATTTGTATTCTTCAAGCCATTAACTTTGTGGTGATTTGTTACAGCAACAACAGGAAACGAATCCCTTTGGAATGGGAATTGCTGTCCTATGCCTGACCCACCATCATATTTTGGAAGCACATTAATTTCCCAGGCCCATGGCGGAGAGGAATCTGCCTTAGGAGAAATCTTGCCCAAAGTCTCACCTGTATCTGATTCAAATGAGACTCTGGACTCTTGACTTGGTGCTGGAACAAATGAAAACATTAAACCTGTTGGGATGGAATGAATGTACTCTGCATGTGAGAGGACATGAATTTGGGGGGCTGGGGCAGAATGCTATGGTTTGACTGTGTTCCCCAAAGTTCATGTGTTGGAAACTTCATTCCCCATCCAGCAGTGTTGAGGGGGCGGATTTTTAAGAGGGGATGGGTCACGGGGCCCTGCCCTCATGAAAGCGTTAGTTATCGCAGGAGGGGTTCCTGATAAAAGAATAAGTACAGGCCCCTTCCCCCCTCTTCCTCTCCTGCAGGCAAGCATGCCCTCTTGCCCGTCCACCTTCCACCATGGGATGATGCAGCAAGAAGGCCCTCACCAGATGTGGGCCCCTTGACCTTGGACTTCCCAGCGTTGAGAACTGTAAGAATAAATCTTTGTTCTTTAGAAATTACCCAGTCTCAGATATTCTGTTACAGCAGCACAAAACAAAGTGAGACAGAGGGTGTAGGGCAGGAAATTTCCTCACCCAATTCAGTGAAACTGTAAATTGGTAAAAAAAGGACTTGAAAAGCCTGGCAGTGGCTATTCATAATGTGCAAACTCTGCACTAGCGATTCCTGCAAACATGCACATATACTTGTATTTGCTATAACACTGTTTAATATAAAAACATAGGCTGGGCACAGTGGCTCACACCTGTAATCCCGGCACTTTGGGAAGCTGAGGTGGGCAGACTGCTTGAGCTCAGTTCAAGACCAGCCTGGGCAACTTAAGCCCAGGAGTCTGAGGCTGCAGTGAGCTGTGATCGAGTCTCTGTACTCCAGCCTGGGCAACAGAGTGAGACCCTGTTTCAAAAGAAAACAAAACAAAACAAAAAATAAAAAGGCAAAAATCTAAGTGATTATCAGTAGGGAACAGATTAAATGGAGGGGAATTTCCCCTCTATTAAGATTAAATAGATTAAATAGAGGGGAATTTCCACAAAGGAGTACAATAAAGCAATTATAAATAACGATGCAGATCTGTATATGCTGACATGAAAAGAGCAAGTTACAAAACATGTATGTTATTCACTATTAAAATTACATAAATGTTTATATTTATAAACAAGTGGTAGAGACTCATTCATTCAACAGAAATATACTGAACTACAGGATATAGCTGTTCAGTGTGTATGTACATTTGTTCAACAGAAATATGTTGAACCAAAAAAAAAAGAAAAGAAAGAGGAGGAGATGAGTCCATGTACTCCTCAGTTTACTCATGAGCTCATTTACTGCACAAATGCAGACACTCACTACAAAAATGGCAAATATATATTTGCTACTGTTCAAAGCAAGAGCCCCTCTAAAAAGGCCTTCACTAGCTACTGGGAAGGCTACATTTGAGGCTACAATGAGCTATTAACCTGCCACTGCACTCCAGCTTGCGTAACGGGAGACCTTATTTACAAAAAAAAAAAAAAAAAAAGAAGTAAATAAACAAGACTTTAATTACATTCGGCCCTAAGCACATACAGTAAAAATTCAGTGGATGCAGGTCTCAGGTGAGGTCAGCGAAGCATTATGCTCAGCATTTGATGTCCAAATCACAAACGGATCATGAAATACTTACATGTAGAAATAACTAAGACTTGGCTGGGCGCAGTGTCTCATGCCTGTAATCCCAGCACTTTGGGAGGCCAAGGGTGGGTGGATCACGAGGTCAGGAGTTCAAGACCAGCCTGAACAATATGGTGAAACCCTGTCTCTACTAAAAAGTACAAAAATTAGCCGGGCTTGGTGGCACACGCCTGTAATCCCAGCTACTTGGGAGGCTGAGACAGGAGAATCGATTGAACCTGGGAGGCAGAGGTTGCAGTGAGCTGAGATTGCGCCATTGCACTCCAGCCTGGGCAAAAAGCGCAAAACTCCGTCTCAAAAAAATAAATAAAAAGCATATTTAATATAAAATATAGCTTTATATTGGGAAAGGCTGAAAAACTTAATTTCATAAGACAAACTAGAAAAAATAAAGCTTGACGAATATTTCCCATTTGTAAGTATTAGTCTTCTCTACAGGACAAGCTGAAACACATATTAATTTTTTAAAAGAATTAAGATTTTATTTACATGATTGATTAAAAGGGGTATGGGAATGTAGTTAAAACTAGTAAGAAGCCTTGAACTTGGGCTTAAAGTCACAGTTTAAATCTCAGCTCCACTCTTTCCTAGCGAGGTGACCTTGGGCACATTATCTTCTTTGAGCCTCAGTTTCCTCATCTGCAAAAACGTGATAATAACAGCACTTAATTCACGAGTCCGCTGTGAGGACTGAATGAAACAACCCAAGCAAACCACTTAACATGCTACTAGGCACGAACACTCAGCACACATTAGCAAACTTGTCATCTGCAACTTTGCAAACTCCTTGAATACCGGACTCGGAATGGCCCCATAATATCTCATCTATAATAACTAACTTCAGTCTTCCATTCATTCACACATACAAAAACCATTTACTGCACATCTAGTCTGGGCCAGGTAACCTTCTCTATGCCCTGGGGATCAAGAAAGACACATAAAGATTCAGATTATGAAATTATGAGAGGTCATTTTTTAAATGTTCAGGCAAATTACATTAATTGCTAGAAGAGTCGTAAGGAAAAGGATATCGCATTCTGAAGACTGCACGACATGCTGGAGTGAGGATCCCAGGCCAAGAAAGCAAGTGGGGAGGGGGTCAAAGGAAAGCAGTTCCCTAAAGTGAAATCTGCCATCTACCGAGAGCTGGGTGTGAATTCTACCTGGTTCTTTTTCTTCTGGCTAAACCACACTTACTTAATACTGTGTAGCTTTCTCATGACGATCATTTGAAAGTTGACCTCAACTTATTTATTTACTTATTTAATTATTGACACGGAGTATCACTCTGTCACCCAGGCTGGAGTGCAGTGGTATGATCATGGCTCACTGCAACCTCCACTTCCCAGGTTCAAGTGATTTTCCTGCCTCAACCTCCTGAGTAGCTGTGATTACAGGTGCATGCCACCATGCCGGGCCAATTTTTGTATTTTTAGTAGAGACAGGGTTTCATCATGTTGGCCAGGGTGGTCTCGAACTCCTGGCCTCAAGTGATCTGCCCGCCTTGGCCTCCCAAAGTGCTGGGATTACAGGTGTGGGCCACGGTGCCCAGTCAAACTCAACATATTTACTTGGGAGACGATCTTCATCCTGGGGAAAAACACAGAGTATCTGTAATTATTTCTCCAGTCATATGTTATGATCATATTCCACGAACCAAGCACTAGACACCTAAGAGCAATCAGGTGTGTAAGAATTTAAAATTGGAGCAAATATGGCCATAAATGTGTTTTTCAAATGACTCTGGTCTCAGCATGAAGAATACTGAGGAAGGATAGATGAAGGTGAAAAGTTAGGAGGCCACAGGAGATGGCCAGGTAAGGTGAGCTCCAGATAAGAGCCTGAGCTCAAGGGGGTGGCATCTGAGAGGAGGCAGAGAGGTGCTTTGGAAGTAGGATATACTCAGTATTTTTCAAACAGCAGTTGGGGCCAGGCACGTTGGCTCACGCTTGTAATCCCAGCACTGTGGGAAGCTGAGGCAGGAAGATCGCTTGAGCCCGGGGGTTTGAGACCAGCCTAGGCAACACAGACCCCAGATCTACAAAAAAGACAAAAATTCACCTGGCTTGGTGGCGCACTCCTGTAGTACCAGGTGCTCGGGAGGCTGAAGCGGGAGGATCATTTGAGCACAGGAGGCAGAGGTTGCAGTGAGCCAAGATCCTGCCACTACACTGCAGCCTGGGTGACAGAGCAAGACCACGGTCTCCAAATAAATGAAATGCGAAAACCATTCTGAGCCTGCAGCCGCCAGATTTCCCCCCAACACCAGACTTTGCTGACCCCTGATCTATGTACAAGTGAAGTCCATTTTCCCATGAAACTTTAGTCCTTTTTAATCACTTCCCAAATCCAAATTCTTCTTACTCAGAAGGGGGATTTCTGTGCTTTCCCAACTTGCATTTCAGAGGTTGAGAGACGATGGCTTTTCAAGACTTTGCCAAATTGCTCCTTTTCAATCCTTTCAGCCATTCTGGGGCCTTGAGAGCAGGGGCTCATCTTTCTACCACCAAGGGCACCCCCCACCCAAGGATAGCAAATATGTGGCCGAGGCGCCAACACTAACATCAAACATCAATGGCTCCCACTGCCCCTGGGCTCACAGGGCTGTTGGTTTTTGGTTTACAATTTCACATGAGAGATCACTGTTCTGCTGGCTTTTATTACACTTGCACACTGACTGATACGTCAATTAAAATGAAAAAATGAAGCATGGAGAGAATTTTTAATGAACTCATTTTCAATGCTGGTTACCAGGAAATATCTGAATGCATTTTTGAGAAATAAGAGACTATGACTAATCTACCAAGAAATCTGAATACTGTATATAGGGTAACAACATAAACATTACTGCGTGCAACGTGATTTGTATTCACAGTGAAATTACAGAGCCTAAGCCCACCCAGGGCTAGGCAACGGATTTCATTCTGCTGGGAATCTGATTTTGTGCAACACTGTCACCTCCCGTTACAAGTATTTACAAAATCCACCTGAGCCTCTGAGCCCAGTTTGGATGCAATAGTTTGATTTCATAGTGAGCTGGAGGACTATTGAATGAGTTTTTAACTGTTTTGTCTCATTAGATTAGCTGTCTTCTTACATTTCTGGGGATGAATCTACAATCTACCTAATTGGATTTTAAAAATAAAGGACTCGGCCAGGTGCGGTGGCTCATGCCTGTAATCCCAGCACTTCGGAAGGCCAAGGCAGGCGGATCATGAGATCAGGAGTTCAAGACCAGCATGGCCAATAAGGTGAAACCCTGTCTCTACTAAAAATACAAACATTAGCTCGGCATGGTGGCGTGTGCCTGTAGTCCCAGCTACTCGGGAGGCTGAGGCAGGAGAATCACTTGAACCTGGGAGGTGGAGGTGACAGTGAGCCGAGATTACACCACTGCATTACAGCCTGGGTAACAGGGTGAGACTCTGTCTCAAAAATAAAGTAAAATAAAATAATAAAGGACCCTCTGAAACTTAAAAAAAAAATTGTTATACTTGCCACAAAGCAGTTTAAAAGTCATAAGAGAGTTCAAGAACTCTAAAGGAATGGTATTGGGAAAAAATTGTTCCCATGCATAACACTGAAAAGAAAAAGGATACTTATCAGGGGGAAATGATTCAATAGAAAATATTTTGGCAATGGTGTGGGAAAAATAGGTCTAATAGTTCTATACTCTGAATTATTTCCCCAAATGATGGTATTTTGCCCACATATTTACAACTTCTCTAAGACATGGTAATAACATTTATTTCTTACTTTAAACAACAGTAACAAAACCCTTCTCAATCTTAATCTTGATAATATTATTTCAATTCCAGTGACTAAGATGAACAGTTACAGTTTACCCTAAATTGAATTGAGGTTTATCATTTTCCTGCACATGTAAGCTTATCCACGTGGCGTTTTGGTAGGTCAGTTGGTTTTTTCCCCTCTGGCACATGAAATGGAATCTATTTGCTATCCCTGCTCTAACCATGTGGACTGTCTCAAAGCTCCAGCAAAGATTCCTGCTCATGGCAAAGTCTGAAGGAAACTGCTTCTCCACCACCGACCACCTCAGTGGCCTCCCAGAAATTCCAAGTGCCTCATTCCCCAGCCTGCTCCGGTCACTCGTGGTACCTGCTTGGACCTGGAGGCAGCTGAGTTTGAGATATCAAATGTATTTAAGTAGGCAAAAGTATGTGAGAAAATTTTGTAAAATACTGTGATGCAGACAGTACATCCACATAGAGCTACTGCCTAAAGAGAAGGGAGCTCAGGAGGAGTCCAGTTTATTGCTCTGGTGAGGCAGCCAGGGGCTAGGAGGAGCTGAAAAGCCACAAAGAAAATCTAAAGCAAAAGTGCCCAAGGCCAGGCCACACAGGGTGGGGGGCTCCCTCCACACCTGGGCTCTGACTCAGTGCTGTGACTGATGGCTGCTCGGGAGGCGCGCAGCGTCTGAAGACAGGTTGTGCAGGCTCCCTTCCAAACTAGGTCAGCACGTTTGGACTTTGACAAACTCATCCCCATAAAAACAGGTTGTAAATGATCATTAAGTTCTCAGTCCAACTTACAAGGACTCATTTAGCTCACAGATTATCTAAGAGACAGCCCTGGCAGGGGCCTATTGAGTTTTCCGAGCCACTCAGAAAATTAGTGAAAAAAGATCTAGGAGGTAACGGTGGTTCTTAACCAGAGCTACATACGATGATCATGGGGCCTCTGAAAATAATACAGGTGATGCCACTTACATGAAATGGCCAGAAAACGGGACTCGATAGAGACAGAATCTATAGAGGTAGAAAGTAGATGAGTGGCTGGCCATGAAGCTGGAGGGTTAGGAACAGGGATTAACTTTAGAAGGGGCAAGAGGGCTCTTATTTGAGGTGATGAAAATGTTCCACAATTGGATAGTGATGCTGGTTACATAACTCTGTAAATTTACTAAGAATCATTTTGTATACTTAAAATGGGATAATGCCCTGATTCTAGGGCGGCCCAGAAGGAGCTCGGAAGTGCACGATTTAAATTGGCTTTACTCTCTTGCCCTCAGGCAGAATAAACTCAGTGATAAGAAACAGAGTGATAAGAAATGACTCTGGAGGCTAGGCGCAGTGGCTAACGCCTTTAATCCTGAAACTTCGGGAGGCTGAGGCAGGCTTCCTGAGTCTGGAGCTGCAGACCCTAGGCAACATAGTGAAACTCTATCTCTACTAAAAATACAAAAATTAGCCAGGCGTGGTGGCACGTGCCTGTAATCCCAGCTACTCAGGAGGCTGAGGCAGGAGAATCGCTAGAACCCGGGAGGCGGAGGTTGCAGTGAGCCGAGTTCGCACCACTGCACTCCAGCCTGGGTGACAGAGCAAGACTCCGTCTCAAAAAAAAAAAAAAAAAAAAAAAGAAAGAAAAAGAAAAAGAGAAAGAAATGGCTCTGGAGTCAAATCAGACTCTGAATCCCTGGCCTAGATGCTCACAGGTACGCTTTACTAAGCAACGTTTCCTCCACTGTGAAATGGGAATACTCATAACCATAAAATAATAATAATAATAATGATACCACCACCATAGTGGTTGTTTAGGAACACCATGTTATGTACTTCATTTAATGTGTTTGGTGGCACCTAGTGAGGGTTCATGGAGTGTTAGCTATTCTGAGAATTACAACAAATAATAACAACCTTCAGATAAATCCCAAGTCTTATCTAAGAATGACCTTTCCAAACTTATCAAGCTGTTGTAGCTTCTCTCTGGAAAAAGTGGCTGTTGAGCCCAGACCACACAAAGACAAAAAGCTAGTCAGACTTAGAGCAGGAGTAGCGCAGGACGTTCAATGAAAACACAGGATTGGTTGTGATAACACCGTGTGGGATGGCACCAAAGAGAATCACAGGCAAACGATAAACAGAAACTCAGGGACAGAATATGTGGAGAGTTAGTGAACCCTGCATCAGAAGCTAACGTCTTAAGCTGCTGGGCTTCCCACCACTGCTAATGAGGCTACAGAAACACCTGCACCAGCAGATCTCAGCTGAACATTCATAGATGAGCAAAAGCAAGTCCCCAGGTATAAACCACATATCCTAGGATGGACTTCATCCAAGGTATTGAGGATCTCAGATCTTGGTTAATGTGGCCATTATTTATGGAGCTCACGCTAAATGTCAAGAAACGGGAAGGAATAAAAAGGAGGGACAAATGACACACAGTCCCCACCTTTGGGAGCTCATGGGAAAGACAGAGATGTCAACAGTCATCCTTGAGGAGAGCTCTATGGGGGCACAGATAGAAGAGCAATGAGCTGTGTGGCCAGGAAAGCAGGGAAACAGTCCAAGTGGACCTCAGATAAGTCAGGACAACTAAAGAGCATGGGGAGAAGGGTTTGGGGAGGAGTGTGTACTCAGTAGGGGATAGAACAGGAGGTGGCTGCAAAGAAAGGCTTTGCCTGCCATGGAACTAGGGAGCAACAGAGAACCACTGATGGTTTTTCTTTTTTCTTTTTGAGACGGAGGCTTGCTCTGTGTGCTAGGCTGGAGTGCAGTGGCGCGATCTTGGCTAACTGCAACCTCCACCTCCTGGGTCCAAGCAATTCTCCTGCCTCAGCCTCTCGAGTAGCTGGGATTACAGGTGCCCACCATCACGCCCAGCTAATTTTTTTTGTATTTTTAGTAGAGACGGAGTTTCATCATGTTGGCCAGGTTGGTCTCGAACTCCTGACCTCAGGTCATCTGCCCGCCTCTGCCTCCCAAAGTGCTGGGATTACAGGCGTGAGCCACCGCGCCTGGCCTGATAGTTTTTCAATACTCGAATGGCATCAGGCCTCCAGCCACTCCCACACCACCTGCCTACCCTCTAGCTGATTGCAGTGTATGAAAATCGGCCTTGTGTTTGGCACCAACTTGGTGCCTTGCAATCTACTAGGACCTTTATATACTGTGGCTGATGGATCCATTCATTAATGAAGCAATTGCTTGGGAGTTAAAACTCACTACCCTGCTGAGATCTGAAACACATGTGGAAAAAAGCCAGGTATAGGGATTGTACACGTAGGATACTCTGTGTGGTGACCTTCAATAACATGTAAAACTCAACCATGGAAACAGAGACAAGAACAAGGCTTGCTGGGGCAGAAGGGTGAAGGTGAATCTCAAAGGGGACAAGGAACTTTTTGGATGATGGAAATGTTCACTATCTTCCTTAGGGTAGTGCTTATGTGCAGGTGTAGACGTTTGCCAAAACCCACTGATTTGTACTCTTAAGATGGGTGTGTGGCACAGTGTAAATTTTTACCTCCATTTAACAAAGTAACTGTGGCATGAAAATCACAAGATGCAGAACACATATGGAGTGTACGGTGCCACTTAGAAAAAATGAAAGGCAATGTTTTTCTTAACATGTACGCTCACACTCACACTCAGGGAAAAGCATCTGGGGTTTCTGAGCAGCTGTCCTGGTGGCTGGGTGGCAGGTGCTGCATGTGGCACAGAGGAAAGTCACTAATGCAGAGGGAGAGGGCGCCAACCCTGAGGGTGGGAAGGTGTGGGGATGAGCAGAGGCCCATGAGCACCAGTCTGGCCCTAGTGACGCCCCAGGCCAGGCCTGTGCATTGCCAGGCAGCATCCTACCCTTTGTGACCCTCTGAGTAGGCGCTGCCTAGCAACGCCTCATTGTGAATGTCTGTTTTAAAGACAGGGCCTCCGCCGGGCGCGGTGGCTCATGCCTGTAATCCCAGTACTTTGGGAGGCCAAGGTGAGTGGATCACGAGGTTGGGAGTTCAAGACCAGCCTGGCCAACACAGTGAAACCCCGTCTCTACTAAAACTACAAAAATTAGCCGGGCATGGTGGCACATGCCTGTAGTTCCAGCTACTGGGGGGGTGAGGCAGGAGAATCGCTTGAACCCGGGAGGCAGAGGTTGCAGTGAGCCGCGATTGCACTACTGTACTCCAGCTTGGGCAACAGAGAGTGAGACTTTGTCTCAGTTAAAAAAAAAAAAAAATTTAAAAAAAAGACAGGGCCTCCCTGACTTGCCCAGACTGGACGCGAATCCCAGTGCACTGGATGCTTTTCACGAAGGACAGCAGATCAGTTCTAAGATCCACCAATGTCTTCCTGGTTTGGGGGCCCTGGCTCTGGCTTAGGCCGTTCCATGGCGCGAGTGGGCAACAATGTGACTTCCTTCATCAACCACATCTCAAATGTGCTGATACAGGGAACAGATAAGGGGGAAGAGTTCCCTAACTGTGAAATCAAGGACACTGAAGCATGTGTGGTCTTCATAGAACCACTGAATGAGACATTTCAACATAGTCAAACCGCACCTATGGCCAAGCCTAGAGCAGATCCAATTATGGAACTAGAAACTGAGGTATCTCAACTGAAAGGAAACAACAATAGTTTTGAGGCAGAAATAAAATATCAAAAGATAACTGAAGAGCAGTTGCACAGTAAGATGCAACTACTTTGGTCTTTACAAGACCAGAAACAGGAAATGGATGATTTTAAATGCCAGCAAGAGCAAATGAATATCACACACACCCAGCGCTTTTCAGCCAAAGATGAAGAAATTAAGAACTTGCAAAATGCAAAACAACAAATCAAAACCCACCTGTGTGGAAAACGAGACTACATTCAAACAGACCACGATGTTTTTCAAACAACAGAAGCTGAGTGTCTTCATACAGAAGATGGAACTGAAAAGCCTGATTCATGTAAACTGGAAACTGAAAGATTAGTGAAAGGAACAAAAGAACAAGAACTGGAGATTAAAGTTCTACATGACAAGAATATGACTTTAACTAAATGGATGGATGAGCCGTCCATCAGTGAGGTGGGCAAACTCACTCACATCATCCAGCAGGAAGATGTGGAGGTGCCGGGCCTTCAGGCTAGAACGGCTTCAGCCTCTGACACCAAGGGTGTTGCTCACTTTCAGCAGCAACTGCAAGCACCTGCTTTGGAAACAGAAGAACTATCAGCTGTTTGGAAAGAGGTAGCTAGGGAAAACAGCTATCTAGAAAGAGAGTATCACCATGGAATGGATGTAACTGCTGACAACGAAGGAGGCCTGTGTGAGCTACAAGAGGAAAATAAAAAATCACCCACTAGTAGTGGTCAGGAAAGGTTTATAGACAATGTTCTGAAGTCATCACATCTCAATCAAGAAAAAGATATTGAAACAGATGCATTAAGTCAGAAATGTCAGCCTTTAGCGACAATTCTGCAAACATCCAGCACTGGTCATAACATTGTAACTGTTACTAACAATCAGTATGAGGGGCTTCCACAAGAACTCGATATCTTAAAACAGCCAGTTAAGAAAGTGGAGGTGTGGAAAGAGAAGCTGGTGACCACAGTGCAAAATATGCAGCAGGGAGCAGCCCAATCCCAAGAGGAACTTTGTCAACTTCAGGCAAAGCTTTTAATTGACAGTGATGACGATTCTCAGTGTCAGATGAACCACAGAGATCTGATCCAAAAATATGAAGGGAGTGAAACTCAACTCAAAAACCTGGGGCAGGAGTTAGCACACACGCAGCACAGCATCAGGCAGCTCTGTGACGGCAAAGACAGTCTCTTCCCACAGCTGGATATTTTACCCCAGCTCCCCAGAGAAGCACTTTCTTCACACACCGCAGAATCTCTTCATGCAAGTGAGTCTGCTCTATCAAGTGAGTCTTCTAAATTGCTCCAGCAAGAGATCGAGAAGCTGAGAAAATCACTGCAGGAAAAAGATGCGACCATTAGATCCCTCCAAGGAGACAATCAAAGACTGTCTGATTCCATTGCTGCCATCGCAGAACGAGAAAGAAAAGAACACGAGCAAATGCATTCAGAAATTCAGCAGCTGAAGGAGAAACAAAATGCCTTAGATAGGTTACTTCAGGGAAAAAACCTTTTCATCAGAACCAAAAATAGTCTAATACATTCGTTGAGAGAAAATCTCACTAAAAAAACGAATAAAAATGAACTTTTGAGGCAGGCAGTGAGAAATCTGAAGAAGAGAATATCAGTTTTAGAAATGGATACAGGTGAACTAAAACAGGACAATGAAAAAATCACAGAAACATCCAGGGAAAAGAAAATAGAATATCAGGAGCAACAAATCAAAGAACTTGAAAACCAAAATGTGGTCCTACAGGAAAGGCTGGATAGTTTCCAAAGGAAATGCATACAGTTAGCCAGCAGCACAGAAGCAAAAGTCGACAAACTCCTAATGAGAAACCTCTTCATTAGTTATCTCCACACACCAAAACACAAACAGCATGAAGTGTTACAGGCAATGGGAAGCATCCTGGGTATCACAAGGGAGGAAATGGAGCCACTGTTTCAGGAAGAGCATGGCACTGCTACCAGGTGGATGACTGGGTGGCTTGAAGGAGGATCAAAAAGTGTCCCTAAAACACCACTGGGGCTGAATCAGCAACCTGCCCTTAATGGTTCTTTTTCAGAACTTTTTGTTAAATTTCTTAAAACAGAATCTCTTTCATCTACTCTTCCAACAAGTCTTCCTCCTCACAATTCTCCAGGAAAGATCAAACTCGCTAAAAATGTACAACAAAGTTTAGGAAACACCCCAGCATCCATACCCAGAGGAGCAGATGCCAATCCCTGCCCCTCTGCTCTCTCTTAGGAGCCTGGCTGGACTTGGACCTGGTGGGTCGGGGCATCATCTGTCAAATGCTGCTGCAGAGGCTTTGCCCGCATCTGCACCTCCGCTGATGTCACCTGGCCAGAGTGCAGGAGCTGGGCTGATAGGCTGTCAAGGCAACAGATGATTCTCAGAGACTATGAAAGATCAAGCCATGCTGTGTATCTACTTTATCACTAATGGCCTTTTGGAAACAGTCATTTCATTTTCAGTCATACTTTCTTTAAATTTAATAGAACTATTGCAAGGAAAATTTTTAAGAGTCTCTGAAGGACTGGCCGGGTGTGGTGGCTTATGCCTGTAATCCCAGCACTTTGGGAGACCGAGACGGGTGGATCCCCTGAGGTCAGGAATTCAAATCCCGTCTGGCCAACATGGTGAAATCCCGTCTCTACTAAAAATACAAAAATTAGCTGGGTATGGTGGTGTATGCCTGTAATTCCAGCTACTCGGGAGGCCGAGGCAGGAGAATTGCTTGAACCTGGGAGGCAGAGGTTGCAGTGACCTGAGATCGCGCCACTGCACTCCAGCCTGGGCGACAGAGAGAGACTCCATCTCAAAAGAAAAAAAAAAGAGTCTCTCTGAAGAACTGTAAAGGTATTCACACAAGTTCACACTATGGTTGCTTCTTGTGAGGCTGGGTGTTGGCCAGACTGAGGTTGTGTTTGAGGGATAGTTGAAGTAGTTTTATAATGCTTTCAGTGTTTTATAAGGAGCAGGTACTTTTGTATGCCTTCGGTAATTAAAATATTCATGTGTGTTAAGGATCAAATATTGTAAAATACACGAGTGTATAGTTGGTATATAAGAAAAACAGATGAACAGCAGAAAAGCATAAGTTGCATAAAAATTAAAAAATTTAAAGTTCAGCATGAAGTGACTCACACCTATAATTCCAGCACTTTGGGAGGCTGAGGGGGATGGATAGCTTGAGCTCAGGATTTCAAGAACAACCTGCACAACATGAAGAAACCCTGTTTCCAAAAAAAAAAAAAAAAATAGAAAAATTAGCTAGGTGTGCTGGTGGGCACCTGTAGTCCCAGTTACTCAGGAGGCTGAGGTGGGAAGGTCAAATGAGGCTGGGAGGTCTGGGTTGCCATGAGCCGTGATCACAACACTGCAATCCAGCCTGGGCAACACGGTGACAGCCTGTCTCAAGAAACAAAGAAAAAAAAAGTAGAAGTTCTGTTTTTTGGCTATGTCCTACTCTTTTCCATTTCCCAGAAAACTATTATTAATCTGTATTTTTTCCAGATCTTTTAAAAATATGTGCATGTCTGTATTAATGATAGTATATTATTCTCTGATATGCTTTCTAAAAAAAAATCACTACACCTTGAAGATCTCTTAAAATGTGAATGACTCCATTTTATTCCTTTTAAAAGTAGAATTTCTTCCTATAGATATCCTCCAATTCATTTCAACAGCTCCTATTCATCAGCGTGTAAGCAGTTTGTGCCCCAAATGCTATCAAATGTCCGTGGTCAGCTCCCTTGAGATCAATTTCCTTAAGGGCCCCTCCAAATCTTTATCACTTTCCTCAGGCATGATCATGCCTTCTACCCTCTTGCAGACATTAAAGACCAGCAGTCAAGACCCCCATACCCCCTGCCTATATCCCACCGTCCTCTCTTCATTCATCTCTACTCCTTCCCTTTTGCTCAGAGGAAAAGGGATCCAGCTTTGCAGTTGAAGGCTAACAGTCCCCTGGGCATTACCCATTCAGACTTCTTCAAAGACCTCATTCTACTGATCTCCCATTCTGCTTTGTCTTTCATCTCTCTCTATCCCTAAGCACACAAGTATGTCCATTTTTCCTGGCACATCGCATTCTCCTTTCTGCTCCTCCAGCAACCAACCACTTTATCTGTCTACCTTTCACAGCCAAGCCTCTGAAAGATCACCATCTCGTTGTTCATTGACTTGTTTTTGAAAGCTCTACAAAATCTTGTCTCACTCATGCCCCAGCTATTTTCTGTTAAATCCAATGCATACTCTGTTTACTTAACCTTTCCGTAGTGCCTGATAAATATGAAACACCACATCTTCATTCTTTACATTTTCTCTGCATTCTTCATTTTTAATGATACCACTCTCCCTCCTAATGTTAGAACCTTTTTTCTTAGTCTCTTTGTGGCTTCTTGTTCTGACACTTCTTTTTTTGGAGATGGAGTTTTGCTCTTACTGACCACACTGGTGGGCAGTGGCGCAATCTTGGCTCACTGCAACCTCTGCCTCCCGGGTTCAAGCGATTCTCCTGCCTCAACCTCCTGGGTAGCTGGGACTACAGGCGCCCACCACCACGCCCGGCTAATTTTTTGTATTTTTAATAGAGATGGGGTTTCACCACGTTGGCCAGGCTGGTCTCGAACTCCTGACCTCCTGACCTCAGGTGATCCGCCTGCCTTGGCCTCCCGAAGTGTTGGGATTACAGGTGTGAGCCACCGCGCCCGGCCGTTCTGACACTTCTTAAATGTGAATATTCTCCAAGATACCATCATCAGCTAACAGGATCTTCTTACTCTGCTTGCAGTCTCAGGACAAACTTATCCACTCCCATGATTCAACTTTCACTGGTATGCCAATGACTTCTGAATGTCTATGTCTAACCTCATCCTTCTCCTGATTCCACACTGGTTTATCTAATTGTTTGCTGGATACTTCTATCAGGATGTCCATGGGCTTCTCAAAATCAACATGTCTAAAAAGAAACTCAATATATTCCATTATATCCTTATCACCCAAGGATAAGCCCTCAGAATCATGATTGATCTTTCTCTCTCTCATCCACTGCATATCCAATGAACCAACAGATATTTTCTAATTCTTTCCTTTTTTCTCCTGTTCCCATGGCAGTGGTCCATTCCTTCCTGTCCCCTCTACCAACTGGTACAGCTGACTCCCTGCTGATCTTGCTGGTTCCACCACTGGCCCCATCTTGAGTCCGTTCACATTGCTGTGAGGGTCCACTTCCTAGGATGAAAATCTGATAATGTTACTTCCCTGCTTAAAATTATATGAAGTTCCCACTGCCTGGAGTCCAACTTTAACAGGATATTTGAGGCCTTGCCTTTTTATCCTTGCTCTTTACTAAGGACCTACAGACTGGTCTCCCCTCAGCCACATCTGACAGTTTCTTTCTTTCTTTTTTTTTTTTTTTTTCTCATTTTTTTGAGACAGATTCTCTATCACCCAACCTGGAGTGCAGTGGCATGATCTTGGCTCACTGCAACCTCCACCTCCTGGGTTTAAGCGATTCTCATGCCTTAGCTTTTCAAGTAGCTGAGACTACAGGCATATGCCACTATGCCTGACTAATTTTTGTATTTTTAGTAGAGACAAGGTTTCACCATGTTGCCCAGACTGGTCTTGAACTCCTGGCCTCAAGTGAACTGCCCACCTCAGCCTCCCAAAGTGCTGGGGGATTACAGGCGTGCCACCATGCCAGGCCTGAAAATTTACTGACAGGTTCTTAATAGACATTTGTTGACTGGAATTGGTAATTGAATAATTCAATTCATAACTAAACAATTCCATAACAATTAAATAAACAAATGACACATACAGAAAACACATATAAAGAAATACAAATATAAGGACACATTCATTTCCACCTTAATGAAAAAAATTTAAATAGCTAGCAAATTTTTAAAACATACGTAAGCAACTAAGGTGGTGGCAAAAGGCGATACTCATCACGTCGTGTATAATGACATGCATTATAGTGCAGCATCGCTTTCTGGAGAATAAATTAAATGATAGCATTATCATCTTAGGAAATTTGGAATTACTGTCAAAAATAAATATTAATTTCCTCTAAATGTAGGAATTCTAAACTCTACAGAATTCATTGGAAAAAAATAATTTAGGATAGAACAGATATAATCGTAACAATGGTGACTACCACATCAGACAGAAGTGACAGCTAGATGACAAAAGGGATAAATCCAGCTCAAACCAGCAAAGCCAGCTGGATGACAATTATGAGTGCAGGTGAGAAACAATGAGCACCTGATGAAGGTAACAGGAAGGACAGCCACAGAGAAGGAGAGACCGAGTCAAAAGATAACCAAGGAGGTAGCACGGCCAGATCACAGTAATAGCCAGGGTATAGAAGACAGAGGAGAGGCTGGGTGCAGTGGCTCATGCCTATAATCCCAGCTCTTTGGGAGGCCAAGGCGGGCGGATCATGAGGTCAACAGATCTAAACCATCCTGGCCAACACGGTGAAACCCTGTCTCTACTAAAAATACAAAAATTAGCTGGGTGTGGTGGCGTGCGCCTGTAATCCCAGCTACTTGGGAGGCTGAGGCAGGAGAATTGCTTGAACCCAGGAGGTGGAGGTTGCAGTGAGCCGAGATCGCACCACTGCACTCCACCCTGGCGACAGAGCAAGACTCTGTCTTAAAAAAAAAAAAAAAAAAGAGGAGAAACAGGGGGACTGCCAAGTGTATGGTGAGTAACATGAGGGCATTCAATACCCTAGGGCAGGGGTCAGAATACTTCTTATTAAGGGCCAGAGAGTAAATACTATAGGACCTGTGAGTTGTATGGATCACTATTCCAACTAGGCAACCCTGTTGCTGTAGTGTGTGGCTGTGTTCCAATAAACCTTTTGTATAAAACATGCAATGGGCTGGATTTACCCTGCAGGCCAAAGTTTGGTGCCTTATGGACTAGGGGACAGGGGGAAATGAAGCCAATTTGAGGATGAAGTTCATGGGTTCAATTTCATTTTATTTTGAATTTTTTTTATAATAAAATGAAAGAATGGAGATGAAATCTCCCTCTGTTGCTCAGGCTGGTTTTGAACTCCTGGGCTCAAGCGATTGCCCCGCCTATGAGTTCAAGTTTAGCAGGTCATGTCAGCAGAGACATTCAAGACGGAGATGGCAGCATCACTCTAGGGATGAAGAGATGCCAGCACTGGAAGCATAAAACAGAGTCATCAATCATGAGGTGACAGTTATGGAGCTGAGATGACCCAGGGAAAAGATCTCAAAAGAGAGGACACGAAGGACATCTTTCTGTCCCAATATAAGGACAGATACCTAATGTTACTTCGGATCACTATGGCCCTGGAAAGGTAGAAAGATTACAATCTAACCTTTTTTTTTTTTTTTTTTGAGATGGAGTCTTGCTCTGTCACCCAGGCTGGAGTGCAGTGGTGCAGTGGCGCGATCTTGGCTCACTGCACGCTCCGCCTCCTGGGTTCATGCCATTCTCCTGCCTCAGCCTCCCCAGCAGCTGGGACTACAGGCGCCTGCCACCATGCCTGGCTAATTTTTTTTTTTTTTGTATTTTTTTTAGTAGAGATGGGGTTTCACTGTGTTAGCCAGGATGGTCTCGATCTCCTGACCTCGTGATCTGCCCGCCTTGGCCTCCCAAAGTGCTGGGATTGCAGGCGTGAGCCACCACGCTCAGCTACAATCTAACCTTTTTAAACTCCTACTTTTACTATATCTATATCTCTATCTATCTATCTATCTGTCTATCTATCTATCTATCTATCTACCTATCTATCTATCTATAGAGAGAGGTGGGGTCTCGCTATATTGACCAGGCTAGTCTCAAACTCCTGGCCTCAAGTGATCCTCCCATCTTGGCCTCCCAGCATGCTAGGATTACAGGCATGAGCCACAGTGCCTGGCCACTAAACTACTTTTAAGGAGGGCTCCCATTTTTAAAGTGGGGCTTTCATTCCCTTTTCCAAGATAAAAAAATTTAAAGTTTCAAATTTGTAGATAAGAAGGAAACTTCCCACTGGCCAGAAAATGAGGCAGGTCTAAAATAAAGTGACTAGCAAGTTGTCTAGGTTTTGTTTGTTTTTTTGTTTTTTTGGACGGAGTTTCGCTCTTGTTGCCCAGGCTGGAGTGCAATGGCGCGATCTCGGCTCACTGCAACCTCCGCCTCCTGGGTTCAAGTGATTCTCCTGCCTCAGCCTCCCAAGTAGCTGGGATTACAAGCATGTGCCACCATGCCCTGCTAATTTTTTGTATTTTTAGTAGAAATGGGGTTTCTCCATATCGGCCAGGCTGGTCTCAAACTCCCGACCTCAGGTGATCCACCCAACTTGGCCTGTCTAGGTTTTTTTATTATGAAATATTTTATACACAAAAACCATACAGCATATATATGGGGTGTAATGAATAATTACAAAACATATGTATCCATCCACATCTCAAGAAGTAATTCATTACCAAAAACACTGACAACTTTTCATACCATCGGCATTAATCTGCAAATCAGAAGTAAAGCAGGCAGCCTGCAGCCAGATAAAACCTGCAGATTATGTTTTATTTGGCTAATACAGTGAGTTTCTTTTTTCTTTTTGGTTGCCAATATTTAAATATCAAGAAACTTCACATGGAATTCAGCATTCTGGAGTATCATTAAAAATGGAAGATGAGGCTTCACTACTCCCACATTCACCATGACAATACGTGGCCATGTTCCCCTTTGAATGAACACGTACTCACCGGTTCACTACAGTCCCCCCATTCCCTACTGTCCTATACCCGCCTCCCACTTATTTATTTTACTGGCCCTTGCACTTGAGTTTGTGACCCCTGCTTATACAATATAACTGTGGTTTCCAACCTTTTGGAATATGGAAAATATTCTTTAAAGTAAAAAAATTTCACAGACTCTCAATAGGTACTTATACTAAGACAGGTCCACAATCCCTATCTACCATTTTGAAATCCAAAAAGCTCTACAAAATAAGTTTTTTTTGTAACTTATTTGGCAACAAAAGTTGACCTGAGTCGACATGAAGCTATGTATAATCTTTACGCATCCATGAAGTGTGAAAATATTCATACATTTTGCTATAGTAACAATAATATGTTTGACTATCGGGTGTTGTCCCAGAGCCCAGAGCATTATATAACCACATCATACGTGCATTATTACTTTTAGAAAAATCTGAAACAATCTGAATTCTGAAAGTTATCTGACCCCAAAACTTCCAGATAAGAGACTGTGACTCTATTGTACTTTTAATATCTAACTTTAAGGAAAGACACATACACCAAGCAGAGAGGAGCATGATTTTTTTGAGTCAGAGTCTCACTCTGTCACCCAGGCTGGAGCGCAGCGGCAAGATCTTGGCTCACTGCAACCTCTGCCTCCTGGGTTCAAGCAATTCTTCCACCTCAGCCTCCGGAGGAGCTGGGACTACAGGCGCCTGCCACCACACCGGCTCATTTTCGTATTTTTAGTAGAGACGGGGTTTTACCACGTTGGCCAGGCTGGTCTCAAACTCCTGACCTCAAGTGATCCGCTCGCCTCCGCCTCCCAAAGTGCTGGGATTACAGAAGTGAGCCACTGCGCCTGGCCAGGAGTAAGATATTTTAAAATGGATTTGTACTTCATTAATTACTATGGCATCTCCAACATTTGAGAAAGGGAAATAGAATGATATAGGCAAAACATCCTGTTGTCTGACAAAAACATGTAAACTACATAATAAGGCCATGAAAGCTTAGATCGAAAAGAAGCTGCAATGACACAGGATTTCTTTCCACCCCTGCTCTATGCAGAGGTTGATGGAATCCACTCAGACTGAAGCAAAGCGCACATTACCTACCCCTTCTCAGAAATACTGTTCAGAGTTCCCCTAGAAAAGGCAGAGTGAAGATCAGTGGGAGGAAAAGGACACAGTGGAGTGGGTGAGGGATGCAGAATGTTACTGCTGGCAACGTAAGGATAAGGTTTGTGATCATCAAATATAGGTAGGGCTGACTCGAGGAAGTGAGATGAGATTCATTCAATGCAGCAGCAGGGGACTGTTCTGGGACCAGCAGGTAGAGACGCATTTTGACTCTGAGAATTCAGCGAGGTAGTGGGTCCTCGACTCCTGGAGAAGGTCATTAGATCTCTGTAATGAGAATTTACAGCTGTTTCAGAATGAGAAACCTGGGTTTAGGTCCATAGCTCTGTCATTTACTAGCTCGATGACCCCTTTAATCGCTGGCATCCTCTGTTAAATCAGGAATAAATAACATCACGTCTGAGGCTTGTTGTGAGAAAGGAGTGAGATAAATGTATGCAAAGCACCTAGCCCTGCACCTTCATAAGCACAGATGTTTAATAAACATTCATCCTTCCCTGGTGAAGAGGCAGCCCAGTTCCTGTACTCAAAATGACATGAGAGCCACCATTTAGAAGCACTGATACAGCCGGGTGCGGTGGCTCACGCTTATAATCCTAGCACTTTTGGAGGCCAAGGCGGGCGGATCACAAGGTCAGGAGATCAAGACCATCCTGGCTAACACAGTTAAACCCCGTCTCTACTAAAAATACAAAAAATTATCCGGGCGTGGTGGCGGGCGCCTATAGTCCCAGCTACTCGGGAGGCTGAGGCAGGAGAATGCAACCTGGCACGCAGAGCCTGCAGTGAGCCAAGATCTCACCACTGCACTCCAGCCTGGGCGACAGACTCCATCTCCAAAAAAAAACAAAAAAACAAAAAACCCTGATTCAAGTTTCGCCTCAACCACTTAGTAGCTATCTAATTTGGCAAGTTACGTTTTCTTCTTTCTAAGAAAGAAGTGATCATTGTCAGTAGGTGAGAACCAAGCCAGGAGGTTTAGCACAGCACTTTGTAAACCAAACCACCATAGAAATGTTGATGAGTATTACTATTATACCTTTTAAAGATTTCAGTAAAGGGGCTGGGTGCAGTGGCTCACGCCTGTAATTCCAGCACTTTGTGAGGTCGAGGTGGGAGGATCACTTGAGGCCAGGAGTTCGAGACCAGCCTGGCAAACATGGTGAAACCTTGTCTCTAATAAAAATACAAAAACTAGCCGGGCGTCATGGCGGGTGCCTGTAGTGCCAGCTACTTGGGAGGCTGAGGCAGGAGAATCATTTGAACCTGGGCGGTAGAGGTTGCAGTGAGCTGAGATGGCACCACTGCACTCCAGCCTGGGTGACAGAGCGAGACTCCGTCTCAAAAAAAAAAAAAAAAAAAAAAAAAAAAAAAGATTTCAGTAAAGGGAATGATGAGCTGCTCTTCCACAAATGCAAATAACTGAAAATGCTGCAAATGTAGTAATATCAGGGTACGTTACAGGGAAAAATAAAATAACAGGAACTGTTAATTTCTGAGTCCTTCCAGACAAGCAGTTGCCAACCGGTGACCCACATATTTTGTTTAGTTCCATGGAGTGTAAGGGTAGTTGCTTAATGCAGATTTCAGGCCCTTCTTGAAAATTACAAAGGTGGTCCACACCGGGCCTAGAGCCACTTTGGTAGGTCCTGGTCCTCCAGGTCCCGTGAGATCCTCATCTGGCCCAAGTCACTGATTTTACTAGGTTGGCCCTCTAGGAGTTTGTGTTTATATCCTTGGCTTTCTAAAAACAACCATCTGGAAAAGCAGTTGGACCTCCAGAGGAAACTTCGATCACTGAAGAAATCAATACCGCCTGACACACTCCCCACCAGAGCCTAGGCACTATGCTCTCTTAGTTATGTTCCTCAAATTCCTTCTGTTTGACACTTTCTCCTCATACCTTCAAGCTCCTCATCCCAGTGTATTCTTTTCTCCCTATTTGGGTTATCACTTCTCCCAAAATACCAACTGTATCCACCGGATTATCTGCATCTAAGGGTTTTTAAGAAACAGTAACTTATCTTTTAGGCCGGGTGCGGTCGCTCATGCCTGTAATCCCAGCACTCTGGGAGGCCAAGGTGGGCAGATCATGAGGTCAGGAGATCAAGACCATCCTGGCCAACATGGTGAAACCCCGCCTCTACTAAAAATACAAAAATCAGCTGGGCGTGGTGGTGCATGCCTGTAGTCCCAGCTACTTGGGAGGCTGAGGCAGCAGAATTGCTTGAACCCGGGAGGTGGAGGCTGAAGTCAGCTGAGATCACGCCACTGCACTCTTAGCCTGGGCGACAGAGCAAGACTCCGTCTTAAAAAAAACAAAACAGTAACTTATCTTTTTTCAGCAGGACTACGAACGAAAGGCCCACCATGACCTTTATTGCTTGCCTGATTACCATCCATTCTCCCTGCCTGCTGGTGACAGTGCCCAAGTTTACCTTAGGGAACCAGCACTCCTCCACCTCAGTCCATATGGCTTGAGTGGTGCTCACTCAAGTCCATTTCTGGGGAAAGGTATAGGACCCAGAATAATTCAGAGCCGATCCTGGTACTCTGTCACAGTGACTGGGAGAAGAGTTTTCTTTCTCTCTGGGACTCGGAAGACTGGGAACTCTCCCAGTGGACTGTCTCTCTTTGGACCTGCCCAAAGAGTGAAACCCCTGGATGTAGCCAAATCTGCAGCCACACTACTCTTGGACTCTTGTGATTACTTAGGAGACAACTAATTCCTATCTTTGCTTGAAGAAGTTTTAGGTTTTCTTTATGGCCAAGAGACCTAATCAATACAAGTAGTATTTGAAAGCAGTGTTTAAAGACGGATGACAAAGTCTCTGCTCAGATTTTTCATCTCTGGGTAGCTTTTGTTACCTCCCTCCATCTAATGACAGCTAGGTTTTGTTCAGTGCATTAGCTATCCCTCCATAAGCACACATCTTCCGTATATAAATTATTTTTGTTTGCCTATGTTTCTTTTCAAGCATTCAAGCAGTACCAAAGGAACATGGAGAAGTAGCTGTCTCCAAATCCAAGAGGAAGAAGACTTTTTAAACTGGCACAAGGTGTCTCCCAGTTCTAAATTTCTAAATGTCAAGAACTTGCAGCAGCAGTCAAGTTCCTAGGAATACTGGTTTCTGAGACTGCACCACCTCCGAATTCCCTCGCAGGCGTTCTGAAATTCACTAAGCAAATCCGACTGGCTTTCATATATCCCTTTATTTCTTGCTACCATGCACTTAAAGGACTCCCAACAGCGGGTCAACCCGGAAAGTCTGACAATGCTGCCCCCCACAGCACAGCGCTCGGCACAGCGTTAGGGACAGAAGTCATCGGAGTTTTAGCACAGGGCAGCGGTCCCAGGCTGGCTGTGTCCTCCGGAAGAGAGGAGAAGCATCGGGTGTAGTCCTCGCAGGGCAATGCTCGCCGGGGTAGGGACAATGGGCAGGGGGCACCCGAGGGGTTGCTACAGAGGAGGCAGCGGCCCGTCCCAGATGGTCGCCAAGGACCAGGGGGCGATTGAGCGGCAGCGGGCGTCCCGCTGGCCTCGGGCTGGGCTGTGGTTCGGTCCAGAGCCGACCGGCCCATAGTCAGGTCGGCCACCTGCTGATGAGGTTGAACTGCTTCTTCAAGGCAGCGGCGGCGGCAGCCCGCGGGGCGCCGCCTGGCAGGTAGGGCTACACCCAGACGGCTCCTACATGGTTCACAGCTGAGGTGACCGGTGGCTGCGACGGCTGCTGTAGCTACCCGGGCCATTGACCTCGCTCTCTCGCGTCACTTCCGGCGCGCCGTCCACCCGCCCTCTTGGCCGACCGTTCGGGGCCGAGGCCAGTCGAGCCGAGTCCAGCTGGACCGATCGGAGCCGAGCCCAGACGAGCCCGATCTGGCAAAGATCGCGAGGACCAGGGCGCAGAGCAAAGTGGCCTCTGCGTGACTTTGCCCCAGCCCTTGGTACCTCAGGTTCAGCGACGCCATCCACCTGCCCTCTGGCAGATGGTGGCTGAGAGGTCCTTGAAACAGGCAGAACATATTAGCTATAATAGTCAAATATTTACCACATTGAAATTTAGTGGGATTCTCATGTATTTTAAGGGTCCCCTCCACTCTTCCAAATTCCAAGTCACGTGGTTTTCGTCTCCATCAGATCACTCGTGGTGTGGATCTTCAGGGAAGTTATGGGGAAAGGGAGACCAGCAGCCTGCCCCGTGGGTGGCCATCCTCCTCCCCACGGGAGTGCCAGGCAATCTCCCCAGTGCTGGGGTCCTCTCCTGGTAAGTTCATTTTGTTTAGGGTCCAGCTGGGGCCATTGAACCCCTTGACCAAATATGCAAGCAACACTGCGAAGCAAAGCCCAGGGTTGTCAGTTTGGGGTTTTCCATCGAGAGAGAAGTTGAACAACAAATGCCATTCCCTGTCCATTTTATTTTTTTCATCATCAGTGACTAGGCCACTGACTGCCAGGGATGTGCATTTCTTAGGGGTCAGAAGAACAGAGAGCAGCAGCAGCGCAACAGTGCCACAGGAAACATCACTACCCTTGCTAGAACAATTACTGTTAGGACACAGGCAGGGAGCCATTCCTAAATCTTCCTGGGGTGATGGGTGATGGTCTCCTTCCTTGCCACAAACAACATAAAGGATTGTTCCCATGACTGTGCTGGGGGCACACTTTCCTAACAGTGTCTCTATGGCTGTCCCAAGCAGCTAGTGATGGTCACAAGGCTAGACGCAGTGACCAAAGAGTTCTAATCTGAACATCAGTGAGTAGAACTCAAGCACCCACTGGTTAGGATGTTGTGTTGCTGCTGCCCCCAGGTGGGAGCCTCAGAGACCACGTGGCGGACACACAGGCCACACCTGATGGCACCTACCAAGTTCAAGTGTGGCAAAAAAGAGAGCTCTGCTAATAAACTGAGCAACTTCCATTCAACTCCTGGGATTCATTCTGATTGGAACAACCTGGTTAGCCCTTCCCCCAATCCCCACCACCCTCTGAAGCATGACAAGGTGATTTTGGGTGCCAATTGGCCAGACCTTGGCAAGTTTCCACCCCTAGAGTCAGGCAAGGAGCCTTGCTTTTTTTTCTTTTTCTTTTTCTTTTTTTCGAGACAGACTTTCGCTCTTGTTGCCTAGGTTGGAGTGCAGTGGCACGATCTCGGCTCACTGCAACCTCTGCCTCCTGGGTTTAAGCGATTCTTCTGCCTCAGCCTCCTGAGTAGCTGGGACTACAGGCGCGCACCACCATGCCCAGCCATTTTTTGTGTTTTTAGTAGAGATGGAGTTTCACCATGTTGGCCAGGCTGGTCTTGAACTCCTGACCTCATGATCCACCCGCCTCGGCCTCCCAAATCCCGCCTCGGTGACTGGGATTACAGGTGTGAGCCACCACGCCTGGCCAGGAGAGAAGCTTAGTTTTCCATAAGAAGCTGTAGCTTTTTTTTTTTTTTTTTGGAGACAGTTTCGCTCTTGTTGCCCAGGCTGGAGTACAATAGCGCAATCTCGGCTCACCACAACCCCTGCCTTCAGGGTTCAGGCAATTCTCCTGCCTCAGCCTCCGGAGTAGCTGGGATTACAGGCATGCGCCATCATGCCTGGCTAATTTTTATTTTTAGTAGAGATGGGGTTTCACCATGTTGGTCAGGCTGGTCTCGAACTTCTGACCTCAGGTGATCCACTTGCCCCGGCCTCCCAAAGTACTGGGATTACAGGCATGAGCCACCATGCCAGCTTTTTGTTTGTTTTTTGAGACGGAGTTTTGCTCTTGTCCCCTAAGCTGGAGTTCAATGGCACGATCTCAGCTCACTGCAACCTCCACCTCCCGGGTTCAAGTGATTCTCCTGCCTCAACCTCCCTAGTAGCTGAGATTATAGGCGCCTGCCACCATGCCTGGCTAATTTTTGTATTTTTAGTAGAGACGAGGTTTCACCATGTTGGCCAGGCTGATCTCAAACTCTTGACCTCAGGTGATCCACCCACCTCGGACTCCCAAAGTGCTGGGATTACAGGTGTGAGCCACCGCGCCCAGCCCACTCTAGCTATTTTTTATAGAAGAAAGAGATACTGGAGAGCCAAAGCAACAATTGTCCATTGTAGCCTTTTGGGGAGAGATTCCATGGTGAATGCCTAACTTTTGGCCCACAATATTAATGTCCAAGAGCTTTTACACTTCCACAACTCTTCTCCTGACTTTGTCAAAAGATGCAGTCTAGTTGGCAGTGAACTTTCTCTGGCTGGGATATGGCTCAAAGACTACCCCAGCATTGTCTCTTGCATTAAGGTATCATTTAGCCTGAGATGGCTAAGCTTGCAATCTCCAGACTCCACGCTGTCATAAACTTTCAGATCCTCAACCAGGAACTTACATGGAATGAGCTGGCCCTGGAGGTCAGCTGGAAGATGGCCAAATTCCTCTGAATCACCAGCTATTTTGAATCAAAGGCTCATCCAACAACAAAAGTGTATAAACCCATCTGCCTCCGCCTTCTTCCAGTCACCCCCAGTCTCACTGTCCAGACCTGTGGGATTAACACCGTATAGTACTTGCTGTTAACACTTACTATCCACTAACACCCGTGGAATGTGGACACTGCTAAGCTGGGAGATGATGCTTGTGCAATAGTTTGTATTACCCTTTTGGCAAAGGACCACTCCAAGAAAATGGTGTATTTCATCCCATCAGCATTCCCCCTGGCAAAGCTCTCCACCCTTAGTCATTCCCCTCTTGTCATTTCTACTGTGGCTATCAATGAGATCTTGTGCCTCCATTAGAATACTGAGCTAGCATTTGATATTTGACCTCACTCCAAGGTGTGTATTCTGGGTTTCTGTTGTTGATTTTCTTTTTAAAAAAATGAGTGCAATTCAAAGTTCTTAAAGTATATCTGTTTCCTGCTTCCAACAACTGACAGATAACAAAATGGAATATACAAAGACATTTTTAATTTATAATGTATATTAAACATTATTATACATATACAACTTACAAGGGTTGCTTCTGGCTGGATTCTCTGCCAATCGCCCGAACACTGAGGATTCTGCTAGTTGTTCTGCCCTGAGTTAATTATAGCTATAAAATTTCATCACCAGCAAGAAACCAGGCGACTTCCCCAGTACATCTTGAATTTATACATATATTTTGTACTAGATTTAGTACAAAATAAATCCAAAACATCTTGAATATGCCTCATAATGAAACAGACACACGTGAACCCACTCCCACGTGAGAAACTGAGGATGTGTCTATGTGCTCCTTCCCTGCCTCTCCCTCCCCCTCTTGTGTGCTACCCTCCCGGCTCCCTAAAGATCACCAATATCCTGATTCTTTTTTATTTTTTTTTCTCATGTCTTGCCTTCTCTGTACAGTATTTTACCATATATGTACGTTTCTCTAAACAACATTAGTTTTACTTGGTTTGAACTTTACAAAAGTGTTGTTAGACTTCCTTCTTTCACTGAACATCGTGTTTCTGAGATTCAGCCATTGATGCTGCTACCTGGTAGCTCTAGTTCATTTATGATCGCTGCTACATGGCTTCCTATTGTATTACTTTTCCACACACTACTTCCCTCACTACATTTCTTTTCTTTCTTTCTTTTATTTATTTGTTTATTTATTTTTTTGAGACGGAGTCTCGCTCTGTCGCTCAGGACGGAATGCAGTGGCGCCACATGGGCTTACTGCAACCTCCGCCTCCCGGGTTCAAGCGATTCTCCTGCCTCAGCCTCCTGAGTAGCCAGGACTAAGGCGGCCGCCACCACGCCCGGCTAATTTTTGTACTTTTAGTAACAACGGTGTTTCACCATGTTGGCCAGGCTGGTCTCGAACTCCTGACCTCAGGTGATCGGCCCGCCTCGGCTTCCCACAGTGGTGGGATTACAGGAGTGAGCCACTACGCCCGCCCCCCTCACTACATTTCGAAGGCAATTTTGGGGGCAAAGCCCTCAGCACAGTCGCTGGCAGAGTCAGCACACAACAAAATTTTGTAAAATTGAATGACACTGAGCCCGGACTGAATGTAACAACTTACACATGTTGCTTCTGGCTGGATTCTCTGCCCTTTGCCCGAACGCTGAGGATTCTGCTAGCTGTTCCGCCCTGAGTTAATTATAGCTATAAAATTTCGCGACCAGCAAGCAGAAACCGGGCGACTTCTCCAGACACCTAAGACTACGCTTCCCAGAAAGGATTGCGATACTCTCCTACTGTTTAGTTTCTTTTTCCTATCGTCAAATTTCCGGGTTATGTGGGCGGTGCCAAAATAATTATCCAATGAGCAACTTCGTAGGCTGAGCGGGCAGGAGAATTGCTCAATGAGCGACTCGGAAGAGGAGCCAATAAGCGGAGAGGTTGCTGGGGTAGCCGGCGTGGGCGGCGTCACTGAGCCGCGCCAGCTGAGCCAGGTAGGGCCCTACCCTCTTCTGTTGCTTTCTCCCTGTGGCTCGCGCCGTCCCCCGCCGCCCGTCGACCCCGCTTCCATGTCCCTGGCGGACACAGCTCCCAGGAACCTCCACGCCCATGGCCACTAGGCAGAGGGAATCCTCTATCACCTCCTGCTGTTCCACCTCGAGCTGCGACGCAGACGACGAGGGCGTGCGCGGCACCTGCGAAGATGCTTCCCTGTGCAAGAGGTGCCTGTCGGGCGCGGGGTTCGGGGCCGGCATCTGGGGCGCGGGCCTAGGTGGGAGGTGGGCCTGCATCTGAAGAATACGCTCAAGGCTGGCAGGGATGCAGCCCCCGCCTCGCACGACCCTCGCTTCCCACCTGTGAAGTGCACGGAGCAGGGCTTCATTTATTTAACGAATCGTTTCTGAGCTTTTGCTGTGAGCCAGGCAGGGGGCCAGCCTGGGTATCGTCGATGGGAGCAGGCCCCTGAGCCAGACAGACGAGGCCTTGGGCTTCTTGGAGCTAAACGCTGCTGGAAAGACAGACATGAAGCAAATAGTAGCTCCAGCCTCGATGGGTTACGAGGATGAGAGGTGTAGGTTCTCTCTCTTTTGTAGGTTGCATTCTTTAGGGGGTTGGTGTGATCCCTGTTGTGCACCTGAAACTCAGGATGACGAGGGGAAATAACCCACCCAGAGCCAAGTAATATCTCTTTGCAGAGCCAGTACCGCACTAAGTCTCCACTGTTAAGGGTGTGGTGGTGGGGATGGGGGCGTAGCCAGCAGAGGTACGTGTCAGAGAAAGAGAAAGCTTGAGGCTTGAATGTCCACCATTTATTCTTTCATTCAACAAAATTTTTTGAGACCTTACTTTGTGCCAGGCCTTTACTTTGCAGTGGTTAGTAGGAATTCGATGGTGGAAATACACCAAGAACAAGACAGACATGGTGTCAGACATACTGGAACTCACAGCTTTGTTGGAAAAGAGAGACAGGAAGCAAATAATTACCTATGAAATATATAATTATGATTTTTTTGTGTTGAGTGCTGACAAATACGGCAGTGCCATTAGAGTTTGTAATTTTGTCAGTGATGTTTAAGGTGAGAAGAGTTTGGGCGCGGTGGTTCACGCCTGTAATCCCAGCACTTTGGGAGGCCGAGGTGGGCAGATCACGAGGTCAGGAGTTCGAGACCATCCTGGCCAACATGGTGAAACCCCATCTCTACTAAAAATACAAATATTAGCTGGGTGTGGTGGCGGGCGCCTGTAATCCCAGCTACTCGGGAGGCTGAGGCCGGAGAATCATTTGAACCCGGGAGGCAGAGGTTGCAGTGAGCCAAGATCACGCTATTGCACTCCAACCTGGATGAGAGTGCGAGACTATGTCTCAAAAAAAAAAAAAAAAAAAAGTGAGAAGAAAAGGCTTGAAAAATAGGAAAGTTGTAGGAGAGTGTTCAGAGGAGTGTGAACTGTTAGAGGAACTCAAAAAATGCTTTAAAGGTGGGAGAAGGAGGCTGAGGCCACGTAGTGATTGTAGAGTGGGGAAAACCAGTGTGTTGGATTAAACCTTGCACTTTTTATAGGTTCTTGGGGACTAAACTTTCAGAGCATGGATTCTGGAGCTAGACTCTGTCAAACTGAGCGTTGCCACTTACTGGCAGTATAAAGTCGGGGAAATTACTAAACTTTTCTGTGGCTCAGTTTCCTGATCTGTAAAATGGGGAGTATAATAACGCATCATAGGTGGGTGTGGACAAAAATGATATTTAATATTAGTAGAGCACTTGGAGCAGTGTCTGGCATGTAGTCCATGTAAGTGGTGATTGATTAAATTAATAAATACACAAGTATTAAAGTCTTAGAGAGAGTCCCTTATGAAATTTGTGAATTTGAGTGGATTATACTCAGCTTTTTCTTCTGTGGCTTTCAGTTGCTATTGGCCACAGCTGTCTTGGCTCCTGGTAACTTCCACCTGCCGGGTTCAAGTGATTCTCCTGCCTCAACCTTCCAAGTAGCTGGGATCACAGGCACACACCACCATGCCCAGCTAATTTTTGCATTTTTAGTGGAGACAGGGCTTCACCACGTTGGCCAGGCTAGTTTCGAACTCCTGAACTCAAGTGATCCGCTCGCCTTGGTCTCCCAAAGTGCTGGGATTACAGGCATGAGCCACCCCACCCAGCCTAGTCTTTTCATTTTTAAAACAGTGATAATAAAGGTAACCTTTATGGGTGTCAGGATTAAATGAGATTATCGATGCAGAGGATCTGACACAAAGTGAAGCCCTCAGTAAATTATTATTGCTAGTTTTGACTTCCCTCCAGGCTGAATATTGTTTAGTTAAAGTTGCTGAATGTGCAGTAGCTATGAGTTAGGGTGGTTCCTGCTGCCCTGAGTGAGTTATGGCTATAAAATAAAAAGCCAGTCAGCCTTCTGGGTACCTGTAAATCTTTTACTTCTGTTTAGTTTGCTTCTTCCTTTGGTATAGAGTCCTTCTGCGGATAAGTAGGATGTTATCTGTCTCAGAGGATTGCTGTGCAGGTGAAATGTGGAGTGCTTGCAGCAGTGCTTGGCATACTGGAGGTGTTCAGAATTGGTAGTTAACAGTCATCACCACCCCCCTCATTGTCATCAAATCATTATCATCATTGTGATCCTGGACTTGTGGTATCAGAAGTTTTCTGGTTGGATATATTAGGTTTACACTAACTCCATTTGACTCAATAGGTATCAATTGAGCACTTTTCATGGTAGCCCACTCTCCTTCCCTTCTCTGCTCTCCTTATGATGTCCATCATGCTATGCCACTGAGTCTGTTCTCCCCTCTTTTGTTTACCTGTGACCCAACCATCCCACCAACCCCTCACTATGTCCTCTGCAGTTACCACCTGATAATCAACATCAGCTTCTATTTTGTTAGCCTCTCCTTAGCCATTCCCTCCCTCCCTTTGCCTTCACCCTGACCTTTCCTCAGGGATATCCTGTTCTTGAAGCCCTCTCCCGTGGCTCCTCCTCCTTCTCATGCCCTGTGTATCTCAGGATCAGGGATTTGAGCTTTGTGTCCTCCTGTGTGTCTCCCGCGTCTCATTCCATGGAGAGCCTTCCTGCCCAACTGGAGCCCTCCTGATTGCTGTTGTTCAGCTCTCCTGATCATTCACCTCATTCATGGAAGACTGGGGTGCCTGGCCCAGAGTGTCCTCTACCTCAGTTCATGACTTCACCTTAGGTGACCTCAGCATCCACATGGAGCCTATGCACGAGGCACTCACTTTCTTGAACACCTGGTCTGCAGTGATCACCTCTTCCTATCTGATTCTGTCACCCATTCCCACCGTGACACCCTGTGCTTTTATCCTGATGCTGCACTGCCTCACAGATGAGAGTGCAACACTCTCCAGCTCTGACCCCTTTTTTCCAAGTTGCTTGACCAGTTATTTTCTATTTCCCATGCTGTGCCCATTTCTTCTTAGCACCTCAGTGGTTCTCTCTGTCTTTTAGATGTTCCCTCTGCTGTTACCTCTTAATTGATTACTTAGAGTTCATCCTTCATCCCTCGGTAATTCTGTTGACAGTGCATTTATCTTCCTTGCCCTTTGGTCTTAGTAGACCCAAAATGCTGGTTTAACCAAACTATCCATTTTTGCCTTGAATACAGGTGCTAGAAATCACACAGTAGGGTGGCTTGGTGCCGCTACGATCATGTCAGCCAACCTCAACTGTGCCCTTAACAGAACCTGACTATCCTAGTTTGTTTCTCAGATCAACTCACTCTCCCTTTCTCCGGATACTTAATTCAGACATTTTCCCCTTTCTTCAGACTTCTGATTTACCCCACTCCTTTTTCATTCTCAAGATAATATCAGCTATTGCTCAACATGGAAAATGGGAACCCTTAGAATGAAACTCCCTTAACCTCCCCCAGAAACTTTGTTTGTTTTGTTTTGAGAGGGAGTTTGGCTGTTGTTGCCCAGGCTGGAGTGCAGTGGCGCGATGTTGGTTCACTGCAACCTCTCCCTCCCGGGTTCAAGCAATTCTCCCACTTCAGCCTCCCGAGTAGCTGGGACTACAGGTGCCTGCCACCACACCCGGCTAATTTTTGTATTTTTAGTAGAGAAGGGGTTTCACCATGTTGGTCAGGCTGGTCTCGAATGCCTGACCTCAGGTGATCCACCTGCCTCAGCCCCTCAAAGTGCTGGGATTACAGGCATGAGCCACCACGCCCAGCCTTCCCCCAAGAAATGTAATCATCCTTTTTCACTTTTACAGTTGTGAATTCCTCCAATAAAGACCACCAGAAACACACCTGTAGTTAAACAAGCTGGGTTTATTACTTGTTGCAAGGAGGGAAGACTCACACTATGAGGAGCTGTGGGGCACATCAGTAAGAGAGTGTTAGACCTTTAGGATATGGGCTTTGGCTGGGTGATTTGGGGGAGGGTCAAGGGATTTTCTCTGTGTTGAGTACTGAAAGCAGGTGGGAAAATTCTATCCAGTAGCTCTGTCTTTTCTAGAAGGAGATTTGGCTGGAGTAAGGCTAAAGCTGTAACATGTAAAGAAGCCACAGTCACTTCTATCAGCTGGGAGAAAGAGATGTCTGGTATTCCGTGGGTGGCACAGTGACCTTGCTTTTTTCTCTGCTTAGACAAAATGATGAGGTGGTCTCGTTTCATCTCCTGTCATCAGTGGTGCAGAGTGCCCTTGTGTGGGTGGTCTGCGCGATTGTTTATGTCCAACAGGAGAACAACATGGCCTTCCTATGGGTGCCAGCCAGCTTCCAACAACATTAGGGCCTGGCCCACAGCACCAGACCAGGTCCTGGAGGTCAGTGCCACTCTTCTCTTTTCCACAGTGGAGGAGGTGTTAAAGAGATAAACTGGTAATCCTAGCACTTGGAGAAGCCAAGCGGATCACTTGAGCTCAGGAGTTCAAGACCAGCCTGGGCAACATGGAGAAACCTCCTCTCCACAAAAAAAAAAAAAAAAAATACAAAAAATTAACCAGTGTCGCGGTGCATGCCAGTAGTCCCATCTACTTTGGGGCTGGTGTGGGAGATCACTTGAGCCCAGGAGGTCGAGGCTGCAGTGAGCTGAGATTGTGCCACTGCACTGCAGCCTGAGTGACAAAATGAGATCCTGTCTCAGAAAACAAAAAAAAGAGATAAACCAGAAACTGGGGTTTGCCAGGCAGAAGACAGTAGCAGGAGCAGAGGCATGGAGACTGGAGTAGAGTGGTGTATTAGGTGAACTTGACAGAGAGTAGGGAGTGGGTAGCAGGTTAGAATTTAGAAAGCTGCTCAGGCAGTGAATCGTGGAAGGTCCCAAGGAGTATGGGTTTTATCCTAAGGGATTTTGAGTGCAGAACTGATATGATCTTGGTTTGTGTTTTAGAAAAATTCCTAGCAGCTGTGTGGGAGAAGGGTTGGTGACACAAGGGACATCTTCCTCTCTTTTCCACAACCATAGCCCTTGCTTGGCTCTCCTGACTCACCTGATCTGTTGCAGTGCACTCTTACCTGCTGGCCAGGGTGATTGTCAGGATCGCAAATCTTATTCTGTCACTCACCTAAAAACCTTTTGATTCCCCATCAGCTGCAAGGTAAACATCTGCACTTTGTTGTGTGACATATATACTGTACCTTTTCATGATCTGCTCACTCTAGCCTGATAGGCCGCCGGCTGGACATCTCCACTTGGATGTCCCAGTATTACCTCCAGTTCACTATTTCCAAAACTGCTTCATATCAGCTCCTCGTGTTCTCCCTGCCATTCCCAACCTGAAACTCAGTGAATGGTGCCATGGTTTATTCAGTTCACAAGTTAAGGCCTGGTGCGGTGGCTCACACCTGTAATCCCAGCACTTTCGGAGCCGAGATGGGTGGATCACCTGAGGTCAGAAGTTTGAGACCAACCTGGCCAACATGGTGAAACCCCATCTCTACTAAAAATACAAAAATTAGCTGGGCGTGGTGGTGTGCGCCTGTAATCTCAGCTATTGGGAGGCTGAGATGGGAGAATCGCTTGAACTGGGGAAGTAGAGGTTGCAGAGTACTGGGATCGTGCTACTGCATTCCGGCCTGGGCGACAGAGAGAGACTCCGTCTCAAAAAAAAAAAAAAAAATTTGACATCATCTTGGAACTGCCCCTTTATTTTCCCTCTTGTGCAGTCACCCAGACCTGTTAACTTTTATCTGCTAAGTATTTAGGGGATGAGGGAATTATTTGGCTAAGTAAGGAAAGGAATCAACTTTCCTTAACCTCTGTTTCTGCCGTCTGTGATCTGAACTATGGTACTAGTCTCCCAAATGGGCTCTCCCGATCTCTGTTACCTCCCCGAAATCTGTATCTCACACTGAAGCCAGAGGTTTGTAAAAGGCCCATTTGATCTTGTCACTCCCTAGCTTAATGGCCTCCTGTTGCCATTAGAAAAAGACCAGCATTTCTTACGTGGGCTATAGGGCCCAGCCTGCTCTGTGTACTTCCCCAGCCTCACTTCATACCACACTTCCCTCCCCCGTCACCGCCATCCTTTCAGTTCATCTAATATGCCCCATTTCTTCCATCCTCGGGGCCCTGGAGCATGCCATTCCCTCTGCCTGGAACGCTTCCTCCACCCTCCCTTGCCTGCTTAGTTCCACATTATCTCCTAGGTGAGTGCATTCACTCCACATTCTTTGTTGAGCGCCTGCTTCGGTTATGGAGGTGCTGTCCTAGACCCTGCCAATGCAGAAGTGAGCCAAACACAGGATGCAGCTCTTATGGAGCATTGGTTCCTGGAGTGGGGGTGGGTAGGGAATAGCCAGGAAACAAATCAGCACAATATGTGTCGTGTGAGACGGTGGGAGATGCAGTGGGTGTGTTGGAAGGAGTTGTCATCTGAGATGGGGTGGCTAGGGAAGGCCTCACTGAGGTCAGTGCAGAGGAAAGGCTTGCAGGGGGCAGGAGTGAGCCCTCTGGGTGTCTGGGGAAGCAATGTCCAGCAGAGAGAAGCAGGAGAGTAGAAAGGTCCTGAGGCAGGAGCCGGCCTGACCTGTTCCAGGAGCACCAAGACTAGGGTGAGGGATGGGGATGAGTGCAGGATAGATCTCGGAGAGCATGGGTGCAGGAGGCGGGGGCAGATGCTGCAGGTCACTCGAGGGAGGCTCTTGTAAGGACCCGACTTTTCCTCTCAGTGGGGTGGGAGCTGTTGGAGCATTTGGAACTGAAGAGTGAGGTGGTCTCACTTGGTTTTAATAGCATTGCTTCAGCCTCTGTTAGGAGCAGACTGCAGAGTTAAGGACGGAGGCAGGATCAGTTAGTCGGCTGTGGGGGTGTCCCCTGTGAGACAGGCTGGTGCTTGGATCAGGATAGTGGTGATGGAGGTGCTGAGAATGTATCAGATTCTGGGTGCATTTTGAAGGTGGAGTTGATAGAATGTTCTGGCAGAGTGGATGTGGGGCAAGACTGAGGGGCCCAAGATGACTCCAAGGTTTTTGGCTTAGCTCAAATGTGGCTCACTCCAAGAGGCCTCTCTGACACTCACAGACAAGATCTAGCTTCTGTTAAATGTTCTCGTAACACCCTGTTCATCTTCTTGGTGGTCATCGGCCCAGTTGTAATTTAGAAAGTGCCTAGTGTTCATCTCTGCCACTGGAATAGACGCGATACTGAGCACAGACCATTCCTACCTTTGCGCCACATGAGCTGTATTTGTCAGCTTGGCCACAGTGACGGGAACTGAGCGCACATGTTCAAGATTGTATTTCCTGATGAGGTCTTAACGTTCTGGTTTTCTATTTTACTGACTTTTAGTGGTCTATGTGTTCTAGAAAGCAGACCGGGGCTTATAAGGCTGAAATTTCATTGTGAAAATTATAGAACTTAATCTCATTTTCAGCTGCATGGAAAAATGTTCTCCCCTTTAGCAGGTCACAAGGTCTCTCCACAAAGCCAAGTTTTTCCTCACGGCTTAGCCCAGGGCCTTTCCGGCATCCTGATGACATCTTCTTAGCTATGCCCCAGAGAGTAAGGTCGAGATTGTGATCTGAAATATTTTCAAGGCAGGTGCTGCTTTCCATCCCCAGAGAAGACATGCCACTTCAGAGCTAGAACATTCTGTTAAACATAAATTAGCTGTAAAACTTGTCTATCAGGCCAGGCACGGTGGCTCATGCCTGTAATCCCAGCACTTTGGGAGGCTGAGGCAAGCAGATCATGAAGTCAGGAGATGGAGACCATCCTGGCTAACACGGTGAAATCCCGTCTCTACTAAAAATACAAAAAACTAGCTGGGTGTGACTGCGGGCGCCTGTAATCCTAGCTACTTGGGAGGCTGAGGCAGGAGAATCACTTGAACCCAGGAGGTGGAGGTTGCAGTGAGCCAAGATCACACCACTGCACTCCAGCCTGGGCGACAGAGCGAGACTCTGTCTGAAAAAAATATTTAAAAAAACCCCAAAAAACCTTGTCCATCAATAAAGTGAAATTTTATGGGTTTTTTTGTTTTGTTTTTTTGAGATGGAGGTTCGCTCTTGTTGCCCAGGCTGGAGTGCAGTGGTGCGATCTCGGGTCACTGCAACCTCCGCCTCCCGGGTTCAAGTGATTCTCCTTCTTCAGCCTCCCGAGTAGCTGGGATTACAGGCATGCGCCACCACGCCCAGCTAATTTAAATTCTATGGTTTTTGATTTCTTTTTTTTTCTTTTTCTTTTTTTTTTTGAGACAGAGTCTCGCTCTGTCACCCAGGCTGGAGTACAGTGGTGTGATCTCGGCTCACTGCAGCATCTACCTCCCAGGTTCAAGCGATTCTCATGCCTCAGCCTCCCAAGTAGCTGGAATTACAATTACAGGCATGTGCCACCACACGCGGCTAATTTTTGTATTTTAGTAGAGACGGGGTTTCACCATGTAGCCAGTCTGTTCTCGAACTCCTGACCTCATGTGATCTGCTTGCCTTGGCCTCCCAAAGTGCTTGGATTACAGGCGTGAGACACCGCACCTGGCCTTGTTTTTTTGTTTTTTTTTTTTGTTTTTTTTTTTTTGAGATGAGGTCTTACTCTGTGGCCCAGGGTGGAGGGCAGTGGTATATTCACAGCTTACTGCAGCGTTTACCTCCCCGGGCTCAGGTGATCCTCCCACCTCAGTGTCCCGAGTAGCTGGGACTGTAGGAGTGCATCACCAGGCCTGGCTGATTTTGTATTTTTTTTTTTTTTTTTTGTAGAGACGGGGTTTTGCCGTGTTGCCTAGACTGGTCTCAAACTCCTGGGCCTCAAGCAATCCTCCCACCTTGGCCTCCCAAAGTGCTAGGATTATAGGCATGAGCCAACACACCTGGCCTTGTTTTCATTTTTTTAAGGAGCAGATTAAATTTTGGGATGTGTTTGCCAAAGTTGATGATTTTTACATCAAGAATGTCAATTTTGGCCAGGCGTGGTGGCTCACGCCTGTAATCCCAGCACTTTGGGAGGCCGAGGCAGGTGGATTGAGACCATCCTGGCCAACATGGTGAAACCCCGTCTCTACTAAAAATACGAAAATTAGTTGGGGGTGGTGGTGGGAGCCTGTAATCCCAGCTGCTTGGGAGGCTGAGTCAGGAGAATTGCTTGAACCTGGGAGTTGGAGGTTGCAGTGAGCCGAGATCATGCCACTGCACTCCAGCCTGGTGACAGAGTGAGACTCCATCTCAAAAGAAAAAGAAAAAGATATCAATTTCAAATTATTTTTTTCTCTTAAAAGGTTAATTTTTTAATCACAGAAGAGTGAGTTCTTTTTTCTCCCCTTAATGGCTGTATTAGTTTGTTCTCATACTGCTATGAAGAAATACCTGAGACTGGGTAATTTATAAAGGAAAAAGGTTTAATTGACTCAGTTCCCATTGCTGGAGAGGCCTCAGGAAACTTAGTCATGGCGGAAGGCAAAGGAGAAGCAAGTACCTTCTTCAGAGGGTGGCAGGGTGGAGTGAGTGCTAGGAGGGGAAATGCCAGTCGCTTGTAAAACCATCAGATCTCATGACATGAGAACAGCATGGGGGAAACAGCCCCCATGATCCAGTTACCTCCACTTGGTCCTGCTTTTGACATGTAGGGATTATGGGGATTACAATTCAAGGTGAGATTTTGGGTGAGGACACAGCCAAACCATATCAGTGGCATAGTAGGAGCATATTGTCCATGTCATTTCACAGAGATCTGCCTCATTGTTTTTAATGGCTGCACAGTGTTCTGCAGTTTCGTACTTTGGCCACTCTTCTGTTGTTCATCATTTAGGTGGCTCTGGTTTTTGCTCTGAAAATAGTGTTGTGATCAGCATTTTTGCACATGTGTGTGAATTTTCTTGTGAAATAGATTCCCAGGGAGAAGTTTCTGCAAAATGCTTCTTGAAAGAGGTTATATCAGTTGTACCTACCCATGGTGAATGCAATGCTAATTATTCAGTAGTCTGTCTCTTTCCTTGTTTACCAGCTGCTGGGTAGAAAATAGGCTGTCTCTTTAATTTCTATCCTATAATCACTCATGAGGCTGAGCACTTAAAATCTGCTCATTGTCACTGATATTTCTTATGTGAATCCTCTCTCCTGATGATGATGATGATGATTATTGTTTGAGACAGTCTCACTCTGTCGCCCAGGCTGGAGAGCAGTGGCACAATCTTGGGTCACTGCAGCCTTGACCTCCCTGGTGGCTCAAGCGATCCTCCCACCTCACCCTCCCGAGTAGCTGGAATCACAGGCGTGCACTACCATGCCCGGCTGTGTTTTTTTAATTTATTTTTATTTTTTTATTTTTTATAGAGATGGGGTCTTACTTTGTTGCCCAGGCTGGTCTTGAACTCCTGGGCTCAGGTGATCTGCCCTCCTTGACCTCCCAAAGTGTTGGGATTACAGGTGCGAGCCACTGCTTCCAGCCCTTGTTATTTCCTGTTGGACTGTTTGTCATGTCTTGTTTGGTTGTGTTTTTCTTGCTGATTTGTAAGAACTTTTTATTTCAGGCGTAGTTATCCTGTGCCTCTGCTTTGCTTGCAGTATTTTCTGTCAAGCTGATGCTTGTCTCTTGGTTCAACTTGTACAGTACATTTCATAATTCAGAAATTGTAAATCTTTTTTTCTTTTTTTGAGACAGGATCTTGCCATGTTGCCCAGGCTGGTCTCAAACTCCTGGGCTCAAGTGATCCTCCTGCCTCAGTCTCCTGTGTAGCTGGGATATAGGCACTTGCCACTGTGCCCAGCTTCAGAAGTTTTAAATCTTTGTGATGCAGAATCTGACAATCTTTACCTTTATAGGTTGGGAGTTTTGGGCAATGCTTAGGCTATTTCCAATTATTTAACGTATCTTTTAGCATTTTTCTGGCTTTGGTTTTATGGTTGGCCTGTTCATCTGTCTTTTTTAGTGTTTGCAGTGCTAATTTTATTCCACATCATTAGCCATTTGTCCCCATACCAACTATTTAATGGTCTGTATTTCCCCATTGATTTGAGACAACACTTGTATTATATATAACTTCTTTTTTTTTTTTTTTTTTTGTGACAGAGTCTTGCTCTGTTGCCCAGGCTAGAGTGCAGTGGTGCAATCTTGGCTCACTGCAACCTCCACCTCTCGGGTTCAAGCTATTATCCTGCCTTAGCCTCTTGAGAAGCTGGGTTTACAGACATGCACCACCATGCCCAGCTAATTTCTGTATTTTTAGTAGAGATGGAGTTTCGCCATGTTGGCCAGGCTGGTCTCAAAATCCTGACCTCGGGTGATTCACCTGCCTCAGCCTCCCAAAGCGTTGGGATTACAGGCGTGAGCCACCGCACTCAGCCTTATATGCCAAATTCTTATTTACACTTTAACATTGCAATGTGTGTTTCATGCTTGACTTCCCGTTAAATTGCTTTCTTTTTTTTTTTTTTTTTTTTTTTTTGAGACGGAGTCTTGCTCTGTCACCCAGGCTGGAGTGCAGTGGCGCAATCTTGGCTCACCACAACCTCTGCCTCCTGGGTTCAAGCGATTCTCCTGCCTCAGCCTTTCTTGTAGCTGGGATTACAGGCATGAGCCACCATATGCGGCTAATTTTTTGTATTTTTAGTAGAGACGGAGTTTCACCATGTTGGCCAGGCTGGTCTCGAACTCCTGACCTCAGGTGATCCGCCCGCCTCGGCCTCCCAAAATGCTGGGATCACAAGCGTGAGCCACTACACCCGGCCTAATTTGCTTCCTTTCTTTCAAGTTGATAGCTCAAAATGTTGACTTCCAAAGGTTTTTAGTTGTAAATTGAGTCAGAGTTCCCACAACTTGTTTCGCAGGGGTAAGGATAGGTTTTTACCAGGGAATTACTGAGTATTCTTAGTCCATTTGAGTAGCTTTGCTCCAGGAGGGAAGAAGAAAAAGAAAGAATCCTAGGAAAGGACATCTGTCTCTCAAGAGTCCATTTCCTTTCATCAGGAAAGCAGTATCTTTTCAGGAAACTCTACACAGTAGACCTGTTATTATAAAACAGTAAAACACTGAAAAAGTTTAAATTTTTAAACAACATGTTTTTCAGAATGTATCCTCATCTTTAAGCAACACATGACTTACGTGTACATGTATACAGACAAACACACACACATCATTTAAGCAACTCAGGTGTTATGAGGGAAAAAACAAGTGTGTATGGGGGGCAGATTTAAATCCAGGTGAGTAAATTTGAACACCTACATTAAACCTTCAGTTCTCTATGTTTATAGAATTAAGTTCCACAGCTGATGTAACTGACTTCAGTCTGTAAAGTCAAGCCTGCCTTGTAGGATCTTATGGGGGTTCCTATTTGTATGTATTCATATTTGGTCAAGCATTTGGAATAATGCCTGGCACATAGTAAGCACTTGGTGACTTGATTAAAGAAGTCAATGAGGCACCAGGCTTGATCCTTATAGGCCAGGTGAGCAGGGAGGCCCCTTTTCATTCTTTGATGCCTCAGATGAGGAAATGCCTGTTGGAGGGGATTTCACACCTTTCAGAAGAAGGCCCCATTGTTCCAGTTGACGCTCGTGGAGACAGGTCTCAGTCAGTAAATGCTTCTTGAATGAAGCATTAGGTGGTTGGACCAGATCTGTCTTTCCCGTGGGAGGAAAGTGAGATGATTTTAGGTGTTACACAGATGCTTATCATTTTTGTAGTTAGCTATTTATTACAGTGTTGTGTTAGAAAATGTTAGGCAGCACCTCAAACCTAAGTATTTTTAAAAAGTGAGTGATTTAAAGACACACTAAATTGAACAGGTGGCATGTGAATGTCATGGAAACTGAAAGCATTTATGGATTGAAAGAAGACTGGGAAAATCTTTGAGGTCTTTCCAAATCTGAGATGTTTGATTTTTTGAATCTAGGCTTTGAATATGAAATCAGGATATACAAATAGAAGTGATGTTCTCTGGGTTTTGGGAGCAGAGATGTGTAATGGAAATTGACAGGCAGAACTAGATGCACAGTGTCATGCAGGGTGCAGAGATAACAGTGTATTAACACTTTGGTGTCTGCTGTGGGCAGCCTTGCATGTGTATGTATTCTCTAACAAAATTGGGAACATCCTACACATACAATTTTGTGATTAGGTTTGTTCACCTGATACTATAACTCTGTGTTCAGTGTTCCTGCAGAGAAATCTTTGTGCCCATACTTGATTTTCTTAGGATTAAATCCTAGAAATGGGATTGTGTGGTCATTGTGTACGCATGTGTTTCAGGCCTTTTATACTTGTCATCGCAGTGCCTTGCAGTGTGATTGTGCCAGTTTAAGGTTCCGGCAGCTTGAGTGCCCTCTTCCCTATCCCTCTCCAAAGCCAAGCTAGATTAAATAATAGTTTTGTTGGGTCGGGCGCGGTGGCTCACACCTGTAATCCCAGCACTTTGGGAGGCTGAGGCGGGCGGATCACGACATCAGGAGTTTGAGACCAGCTGCCCAAGGTGGTGAAACCCCGTCTCTACTAAAAATACAAAAATTAGCCAGGCGTGGTGGCGGGTGCCTGTAATCCCAGCTACTCGGGAGGCTGAGGCAGGAGAATTGCTTGAAACTGGAAGGCGGGGGTTGCAGTGAGCCGAGATCACGCCATTGCACTCCAGCCTGGACAACAAGAGCAAAACTCCATCTCTAATAGTAATAATAATAATAATAATAATAATAATAATAATAGTTTTGTTGCCAATTTGTTCAGCAGTTGGTTCACTTACTTTCCAACTGATGTCCTATAAATCCTAAAACTTGCTGCTTGTCTCCCTTCAGAACTGCCATCAGCAGCGCCCGACAGCACTCTCCTCCTCACTGCCCAACACTGGGTGGCAAATCTTTTCATCTTGGCCACTCTGATAGGCTGGACAGTGAGGTCCTTCTTCCTAGGGCGCATGGAAACCTGTTGCAGTCACCTGGGTTTGCGGAGTGGGAGGAGGAAAGTGTTAGGGGCACTAGGAGGTGGGAGCCGGTGGGAGTTGCTGGCTGGGTGTGTTTGCATTATGGACCCGTGCATCTCACCACTCTCTACCACTGTGCACCACTGTGACCACGGACAGGGTGCTCCTGAGGTCAGTCCCAGATGCCCTCCAGACCCTGCGTCCTGAGCCTGCTTCTCCCTCTGGCCTCCTCCCCAGTTTCTTACTGTCCTCCGGCCTCCCTGCCTCCTCTCTGTACTGGAGGCTCAGGTGTGTTCCCCGAGTCTTTCTGCCTGCCCTTCCTTCTGTCTGGAATGCCTTTTGGACACCTGACTCTCCCATTCTCCAGGGCTCGCCACGGCCATCCCCTTCTGAGAGAGGCCTCCCCCGTGACCGTCTTCCTCTCTACGAGTCACTGCCTTCATTCCTCATCATCTTGTAATTATCTGCCTCTCCTTTCTCTCCTTGTTTACCACTGTACCCCCAGTGCCTAGCACTTGGCAGACACCCACATGTTCCTTGGCTACACTAGTCGTATTGAACAGTGTAAAGAATCTGGAGGTGAGAGGATAGAACCTGCTCTTTATTATCCAAGAGTCCAGCAAGTTATGGCTTCCAGAGGGAGGCAAATTGATCAGGTTTTCAACAGAGCTGCTTAGCAGCGGGGCGAGTGCCTTCCTTGGGGAACTAGTAGTCAAGCAGTGACTTGATGTTGCTGCCTTGGTTCTTGCACGGGATGTTAGGGTTGATGAGATCATTTCTAAGGTCCCTTCTGATCCTTAAAACTGTGGGATGAGTATTCTCATCTGTGGGTTGCTGGGCTACCATTCTTGTTTCAACTGCAGATGTAGCTTTTACCACTAGATGACACTATATGATTTCTTTGAAATCAGTGTTTCCCAAACTGCCAACCACACAGAGGAAATACATTTTTCATTGCACTTACACCCTCAACACACACTTGAAACAAAAGTAGGCTGGGCACGGTGACTCACGCCTGTAATCTCAGCACCTTGGGAAGCGGAGGTTGGAGAATCACTTGAAGCCAAGAGTAAGCATCATAAATGTCTTAATCCTTACTATATGTAATGCATCCTATTTTTTATTTTACTTGGTTCAACATTTAAAAAAGTAATGCAGGTTTGCAAATGAATTGATTTTATTGTATTAATGGGTCATGACTAACTGAAAACCATTTTTTTAAGTATATTGTTATAAAACTGTGTGGGTATGCTGTTTTCCTTGGACAGTCTGGGCTTGTATAACAGATCGTGTCCATTAGTGAGTATTTTCCATGTTTCTGTGGTGAGTTGCTGCATGGAGCAGCTGAACATGTGCTTCCTTTTGGGTGTCTATGGATGGAAGAGGTTGGGAGATTGTGCAGAATTCAACACTTATTGTAGTCAGGCCAGAGGTAAGCCTTAGTAGCAGATTTAAAGCTGTATTATTTACTTCTAGAAGCTGAGAGACATGACACACCCATACCCTTAATTTCACCTTACTTAGCAGGCAACAAGAAATGGGGGCATTACTCAGGGTATCATTAGGATGCTTTGGGCTGCAAGTAACAGAAGCCTGACTCAAATTGGCTAAAAGGGTGAAGGCACTTATCTCACAAAATCGATGTTCAGAGGTAGAGCAGTCTGCAGGCCCACAGCAGCTGAGCATGGCCTTCGGGATCCCGCTTCTTTTCATGAGTCCTCAGTCATCCTAAAGCTGGTTCTACTCATGGTTGCAAGAAGGCTTCCTGTGCTAGATGAAGCCTTAATTCCTTGTAGTATAGACTGGCTAGAGAGAATTAAGGCTACTGTGGCATTTTCCACATTGTTTTGTTCGTGCTTGCTTTGTTCATTTCTTCCTAGTTTCCCCACTATGACCTCCCTAAGAAGAGTGAAATGATTGGCACCTAATACAGAGTCAGGAGAAACACTTGGTTAATTCATGCTGTTTGTCAAGTGTTTCTAAGTCTCCCTTCCTCTGGGCACAGGCTTTTTCATTTAGTGGAATTAACTGACTAGCTCTGGCCATGAGTTTGCAGAGTGAATAAATGGCTGCACATCTTCTGTATGAAGCATGAAGTGAGGCTATTTGCTATGTAGGGTCCTGGGAAGTGAATTAGCAATATGAGGGAAGGGAGTGAGAAGGCCCACTGTGGAAAATGTGATGGGTGGTGTAACGTGAACATAAAGATGAATGGATGGCTGCGTCTTCGCTTGTGTAACAGGGCACTAAATGTGCACTTGGCCTTTTGAGGTGGATGGTTGGTTTTCGTCGAGTTCCTTGATCTGGTTCCTGGGAACTTGGCAGTGGACCTTGGTCTGAACCTACTCAATCTCTACTCACCTTCCTCCTTTTTTCTCCCTTCCAGGTTTGCAGTAAGCATTGGCTACTGGCATGACCCTTACATACAGCACTTTGTGAGACTGTCTAAAGAGAGGAAAGCCCCTGAAATCAACAGAGGCAAGTGACCATCTCCCTCCCCAACAGCACCTCATCAGCTACCTGAGGTTTTAGGGGTTCATTCTTGAAGGAAGTCGTGGTGTGCTCCCTTTCCAGCTGTGCGCAAAAGTGCTTATTTCCCCAGATCTTCACCAACACGGTGTGTTATAAACTTGTTTGCAGCCATAAAAAGGAATGAGATCATGTCCTTTGCAGGGACATGGATGAAGCTGGAAGCCATTCTTAGCAAACTAACAGAGGAACAGAAAACCAAACACCGCATGTTCTCACTCATAAATGGGAGTTGAACAGTGAGAACACATGACACAGAGAGGGGAACATCACACACTGGGGCCTGTCAGGGGTGGGGGGCAAGGGGAGGGAGAGCATTAGGATAAATACCTAGTGCATGCAGGGCTTAAAAATCTAAATGACAGGTTGATGAGTGACAGGCCCCAGTGTGTGATGTTCCCCTCTCTGTGTCATGTGTTCTCACTGTTCAACTCCCATTTATGAGTGAGAACATGCGGTGTTTGGTTTTCTGTTCCTCTGTTAGTTTGCTAAGAATGGCTTCCAGCTTCATCCATGTCCCTGCAAAGGACATGATCTCATTCCTTTTTATGGCTGCAAACAAGTTTTATAACACACTGTGTTGGTGAAGATCTGGGGAAATAAGCATATATATATGGCATATATATACCTATGTAACAAACCTGCACATTCTGCACATGTATCCTGGAACTTAGAGTAAAAAAGAAAAAAAAAAGAACACAATATCTACTTCCACATTAAAATCACAATAGTTTTTGAAATTTTATTAAATTTAATGAATTCAAAAAAAAGTATTAATCTTCTTTAATCTGTCATGTGAAAAATGGTATCTTACTGCAATTTTAAAAATGTTTCTCCTATTTATAAGTGACGTTGAGGATCATTTTCATGTGTTTGAAGCCCATTTAAATATCTTTCACTGTAAACTGTCCCTATCAGGAATCACTTTTTTTTCCCCAATGAGAAAAATACATAAAGCTTTATTTTTCACATGTGTATTCCTACACTAATTGGATAAATATGGAGAAACTGCTTTATAGTACAGGTATGAGGAGGAGAGTCTCTTAGAATTTACATCAGACTTTTCCTCTGGTTGGTTGGTTGCCTATGGCTCATCTAGGTGTCTGGACTAATTATGTGGATTTAATTGGGTTTTTCTATAAGGAGACATTCCAAAGGCTTTTGTATATTTCAGGCTGAGCATATCTTAGTTTTCACGCCTCTTGTCTGTGTATGTGAATCTTCCCTAAGGATGGAAATTGAGGATTTCTGCCCAGTTGCGCAGCTTGAGGGTTTTAAGTCTAGAGGACGTGGGTCTTTTACAGCTTTGTTGATGTTCCTCACTGTGGGTGGGAGGGAAAGTGTTGTGAGACCTGGTAATTCTCAGATGAGGGAGGGCTCAGAGGTGCTGACAGCAGTAGGCCTAGGCTTAGGAGATTTGGCCCTTAAGATTCTTCAACAGGGCTGGACGTGATGGCTCACACCTGTAATTCCAGCACTTTGGGAGGCCGAGGCGGGCGGACCACGAGGTCAGGAGATCGAGACCATCCTGGCTAACACGGTGAAACCCCGTCTCTACTAAAAATACAGAAAATTAGCCGGGTGTGGTGGCGGGTGCCTGTAGTCCCACCTACTTCGGAGGCTGAGGCAGGAGAATGGCGTGAACCCGGGAGGCAGAGCTTGCAGTGAGCCGAGATCACGCCACTGCACTCCAGTCTGGGCGACAGAGCAATACTCCATCTCAAAAAAAAAAAAAAAAAAATTCTTCAACAGGGTTGGGTGCGGTGGCTCACGTCTGTAATCCTAACACTTTGGGAGGCCGAGGCAGGTTGATCACTTGAGCTCAGGAGTTCAAGACCAGCCTGGGCAACATGGTGAAACCCTGTCTCTACAAAAAATAAAAAATTAGCCAGGTGTGGTGGCATGTGCCTGTAGTCCCAGCTACTTGGGAGGCAGAGGTGGGAAGATCGGCTCAGGCAATCAAAGCTGCAGTGAGCCAGGATTGTACCACTGCATTCTATCCTGGGTGACAGAGCGAGACCCTGTCTCAAAAAAAAGAATCTTCAGTAGATTTATTTTCCTCCCCGGCTCACAGTATGAGTAGTGTTGGCCATTTAAGTATTTATTTATTTTGAAGCTCGCACCAACAGGTAACTTGTTCCAGAACATAGCTAGAATATGGTTTCAGATGCCTGCCCCTTAGAAACTCCAGAGCGTAAAGAGAAGTCTGTATCTGGATGTGCATGTGCCATGTGCAACATTTGATTGGCAGCAGCCTGAATGTGTTAAGTCCCCAGTTTCTCTTTCCCAGACAGCAGAGTATGCAGGAAAGGTAGTCATTCAGCTCCATTCTGGCTTAGCAGTGTAAAGCCTGAGAGGGAAGAGATGGAGAATTACTTTTTGATGCCTTATTTTAGTGTTAATGACACTATTAGGCTCTGCAGATAATTTCCATCAAGGAAGTCAAAGGCTTTGAGACAGGAGCCTGCCTTATTCTCAGCCAGATTGAGAAATTGACCAAATGACTATAATTCTTGTGTGTGCAGGGAATCTTGGCTCTCAAGTTGGATCCTGTAGGTGGGTTCTATAAGAAATGCCAAGAAATTTTAAAGTGGTGGTTTCTGAAAACAAGGACATGCAATTTTATTTTGCATTCCCTCCCCTGCTTTTGAGGCAGATTTCCTAACAAATGCTGCACAGGCAAAGACCCCCACCCCACGCCCTGGCGGCACCCCTCTCTTCTACCCTGTATTTGAACCTTTAGAATGCAGCCAGATTGGAGAGTGCCTCCCAAATGGTGTATGGTGAGGACATTTTTCCCCCAGTGTCCAATCCATCGCGGATGATATCTCTGTAAAATACAATAGAAATGATCTAGAAAAATAAAATGAAAATGACATACAATGTACAATTCCAAATCATTTATTAGTAGATTGAACAGACTTGAAATTTCTCTGTCAAATTGTAATAAAGTTTCTAAATGCTATCAGATTTTTTTCTTAAAATAGTCACATACTGTTAACAGCCATGCACATACTTTGAGCAGCATAGTTTTAGAGCACAGACAGACCTTGTGATCTTTTCTTCTTTATTTCCATCTCCTTTTCCCCAACCCTCCACCCGAAAACTTAACAGTGGCGCAATCTTGGGCCACTGCAACCTCTGCCTCCTGGGTTCAAGCAATTCTTGTGGTCTATCCTCCCAAGAAGCTGGGATTACAGTTGTGCACCACCATGCCTGGCTAATTTTTGTGTTTTTAGTAGCAAGCCATTTTATTAGGCAGCAATTTGCTGGTCTTCTCTGCGACCCCCATTTTACATAGAGACTAACCCATTCAGGGTGGAGGTGAAGGGAACAGGATAACAAATATAGCTTCCTTTGTGTTAACATTCATCTGCTCAGTTTCCTGACCCATACTATTATTTTTCATATGATCTCACAATTTTCAGGTTTACCCGAGTCCAGAGTGGCTTTCATTATAGCCATGAAAGGCACATTTCCAAGATGGACTTTAGACGTTTCAATGTAAAACACTTATTTTTCATACATAAAACTATAGCTCATTTTTTCAAAGGTAGTTAATTGCTTCATGAAATAGATTATACTTACCTTGGTTCAGATGCCTTTAACCAAAAAAAAAAAATTTGAAAGTTGCTGTTTCTCCCATAGAGTCTGCAGATTAACCTCTGACACTGCAGAAGGGCGCATGCTCTCTGTTTTGCTCTTCTCCTGGGGTGGGCTTCACAGGGATAATTTCTGTCATCACTGGGTGATAGCTTGTTTCTGTGCCTCCCCTCCCCCCTAGGATATTTTGCTCGAGTCCATGGTGTCAGTCAGCTTATAAAGGCATTTCTACGGAAGACAGAATGTCATTGTCAAATTGTCAACCTTGGGGCAGGCATGGATACCACCTTCTGGAGATTAAAGGTATGTTCAAATTCCCCTCCTCCCTCCCCAAGTGTTTAGATTTTTTTCGTTAGATTTTCACCTAATTCGAAATGTAAACATATATTAAAAGTTATGCAGCGAAAGCCTGTCTCCCACCCCTGTCCCATCTGCCTAGATGCCCCTACGACTCTCAGTCCTGTTTTATCTCACCAGGGCCCTGGTGACAGATATTTTAGGTTGTCTCTAATTGTTGTTACAAATGGAGCTATAATAAAAATCCTTATATTTCCCTCAGTATGAGTAGAAATATGTCAGGAGGAGAAATTCTACCAGTAGAATTGCTGGAATGGAGAGCTCATGCATGCATTTGTAACTTTTTTTTTTTTTTTTTGAGCCAGAGTCTTGCCCTGTCACCCAGGCTGGAACGCAATGGCACAATCATGGCTCATTACAGCCTCGAACTGCTGGGCTTAAGCAATTCTCCCACATCAGTCTCCCAAGTAGCTGGGACCACAGGCATGCGCCACCACATCTGGCTAATTTTTTAAGTTTTTGTGTAGAGACAGCGGTCTCACTATGTTGCCCAGGCTGGTCCTGAACTCCTGGCCTCAAGCGATCCTCCTGCCTCAGCCTCTCAAAGTGCTGGGATTATAGGCATTAGCCACTGCGCCCAGCCTATATTTGTAATTTTGACAGTAACTAAGATTTTGTCAGGATAATGGCTTCTTGGGTAAAATTTGGAGATTCATATGGCTGGGTGATGATAATATGTTGCAAAGCCATTTTGTAATCTTTTTCTGATTTGGTCTCTTAACTGCTCTGTTAGAGTATGAATGCAGGTCTAATTACATTCTCAGAGGGAAAGAAAACTGGAGTGTGGTCTTTGGCTCCTGGGCTTAGGTTTTTTTTTTTTTTTTTTTTTTTTTTTTTTGAGACAGTCTTGCTCCTCTGTTGCCCAGGCTGGAGTACAATGCCACAATCTTGGCTCACTGCAGCCTCCACCTCCCGGGTTCAAGCGATTCTCCTGCCTTAGCCTCCTGAATAGCTTGGACTACAGGTGCACACCACCATGTCTGGCTAATTTTTGTATTTTTAGTAGAGACGGGGTTTCACCGTGTTGGCCAGGCTGCTCACAATCTTCTGACCTTGTGATCTGCCTACCTCGGCCTCCCAAAGTGCTGGGATTACAGGCGTGAGCCACCGTGCCTGGCCTCCTGGGCTTAGATTTTAATAGCCAAACCGTTTCCCTACAAAGTCCTCACTAATTGGCCGGGCATGGTGGCTCACACTTGTAATCCCAGCACTTTGGGAGGCTGAGGTGGGCAGATCACTTGAGGTCAGGAGTTAGAGACCAGCCTGGCCAACATGGTGAAACCCTGTCTCTGTTAAAAACAGAAATTAGCTGGGTGTGGTGGTGGGCACCCGTAATCCTAGCTACATGGGAGGCTGAGGCAGGAGAATTGCTTGAACCCAGGAGATTGTGGTTGCAGTGAGTCGAGATCATGCCACCGCACTCCAGCCTGGGCGACGAGTGAGACTTCGTCTCTTAAAAAAAAAAAAAAAAAAAGTCCTCACTAATTGCATTTTTTTTTTGTAGGTTTGTACAGATTTTGCTTGGTTCTTCTGTCAGGTCCGTCATGTGACAGTAATGGGAACGTGCATTTCTCCAGATTTTTTGCGGATGTTGACCAAGACCCACTTATCTGTTTTGTCCCCTAATCAGTTCACCTGATATGAAGGTCTTTGGTCATCAGAGCTCTCAACCCTTCTCTTATTGAAGTGAGAAATCAGTGACTTCAACAGAGTGTGGGTATTTCTTTGCCTCTGCATTCTCTTCTCAAGATATAATCACTAACATCATGAAGTGTTTTTACATATATGACCTCATGAATTAACACGAGAACTCTGTAAGGGTGTTTTACACAGATGAGGGAAATGAGACTGCAAGATTGTCTTCCAGGATCCTGCAGCCAGAGGCTCTGGGGCAGGGATCAAGCATTGTTATCTGCCCATTAAACTCCGGATTTCTTCCTCTTTCCCCTGCACACAGCCTCTGTGGTTTTTCAGGAGGGTGACCTTCCCTTTTCTGTAGATCTGTTGTATCTTTGTTTTTCCGTCATTGTTATTTTTGAGACAGAGTCTTACTCACTCTCTCACCCAGGCTGGAATGCCATGGTGTGATCTTGGCTCACAGCAACCTCCACCTCCCGGGTTGAAGCAATTCTCCTGTCTCAGCCTCCCCAGTAGTTGGGATTACAGGCGTTCACCACCATGCACAGCTAATTTTTGTATTTTTAGTAGAGCTAGCATTTTACTGTGTTGGCCAGGCTGGTCTTGAACTCCTGGCCTCAAGTGGTCCACCTGCCTTAGCCTCCCAAAGTGCTGAGATTATGGGTATGAGCCACTATGCTCGGCTGACCTGTTGTGTTTTTGTAATGAGTTGTCCCATGGTGTGGTGTGAGGAACCAGAGCACAGTACAGTGTGAGAGAATGTGCTATGTCAGTGTTAACAGGCCGCTGGAGAGATCCTGCCATTGGACCTGAGACCCCGTTGACTTGTCACGCAATTTGTTTTTTTTCTCCCGTCTTGTAGATGGATTAATAATTAATAAATCTGAGCCTCTTATTTATGAGCAAAGTAACCTGAGGCTTACGTACCCCTCCTAAGAAAAAGGCAGTCAGTCAGTAGTGAGGAAGGAAGACTGTATAGTGTCTGAAAGTTCTTTGTGGAAATGTTTTGGTTTTGATTGGTAATTATATTGGGCTGAAGGCCTTTTTTTGGTCTGAAGTTTCTTTTAAAATATATATCTATATATATATATATAACATTTGTTTGCTTTTTTAGAGCAGGTGTTACAAACTGTAGCCCAGGGCCAAATCTGGCCCACAGCCTGTTTTTGTAAATAAAGTTTTATTGGAAGGCAGCCACTCCCATTTGTTTGCATATTGTGCTTCAGCAGCCATATGACAATTATAACAGCAGAGTTGAGTAGTTACAACAGAGACCATCTGGCCTGCAAAGGCTAAAATATTTACTTTCTGGCTCTTTACAGAAGCAGTTTGCCAATCTCTGTTTTAGAGGTATGTGTGTGTCTCTAAAAGTGTAGCGAAAACATTGTCTGTGGGTCTTAGTGTCTCATGCACCTTCCAGCCGGAATGGTTCCTAGGTTGCACCAGCAGAGGTTTAGCTGTGAGTCATGGGTGTGAGCTTATTCCATAAAATCTCAGGAGCCCAAGACTGTACAGTTAAAGACTCCCATCTGCTGGCAGTGAGCAGGAACAGGACAAAGAAGAGTTAGTCTTGTCACAAAAAAGGAATAAAGGGGCCAGGTGCAGTTGGTCACGCCTGTAATCCCAGCACTTTGGGATGCCGAGGTGGTTGAATTGCTTGAGCTCAGGAGTTTGAGACCAGCCTGGGCATCATGACAAAACCCCATCTCTACAAAAAATAAAAAAATCAGCCAGGCATGGTGGTGCACACCTGTGGTCCCAGCTACTTGGGAGGTGGAGGTGGGAGGATCACCTGAGCCCCGGAGGTCGAGACTGTAGTGAGCCAAGATCGTGCCACTGCACTCTAGCCTGGGTGTCCAAGCGAGATGCTGTCTCAAAAAAAAAAAAAAAAAAAAAGGAAAGGAATAATGGGTGAGTGAAACCCTTTAAGGGGCCTCCATTTCTTGGTGTCTCCAGAATTCTGTTTCCATGGAACCAATGGATCCCTACAGCCTACTTTTCTCCATCTCCCTGTGGAGGGAAGCAGGGTCAATTTTGGCAGTCTGTGAGGTGGTCAGCCATGTCGAGTCCCCTTTGGGTGCCCCATTCCTCCTGCCCTGTGGCAGCTGTTCCCAGTCTCGGTGTCTTCCATACCAGTCAGTTGCATGCAGGCTATTTGGAGTGAAATATCAAAAGGGCCATCAAGAATCACAGAAGAAGAAGTTGAAGCATCACTTGTCACAGCCATTTTGCCCCTTTCTCAAGAAACAGGATATCTTTTTTTTTTTTTTAAGTTCTGGGGTACATGTGCAGAATGTGCAGGTTTGTTACATAGGTACACACATGCCATGGTGGTTTACTGCACCCATCAACCCGTCAGAGTCTCACTCTGTTGCCCAGGCTGCAGTGCAGTGGTGTGATCTCAGCTCACTGTAACCTCTGCCTCCAAGGTTCAAGCGATTCTCCTGCCTCAGCCTTCCGAGTAGCTGGGATTACAGATGCGCACCACCGTGCCTGGCTATTTTGTAGAGATGGGGTTTTACCATGTTGGCCGGGCTGGTCTTGAACTCCTGGCCTCAAGTGATCCACCACCCTCAGCCTCCTAAAGTGCAGGGATTACAGATGTGAGCCACCGCGCCCCACAGGATGTCTTTCTTAAGCGCTCCGGGTGTGCCTTTTGTAAGCTTTCTCTGCTCTGACTTCTTATTCAGAAGTTTTACAAGGTTCTAATGCATGGGAAAGCTCTTTAAAAAGGAAGAAGTCCCATAAGAGCTGCAGGGCACTATGCTGTCTTTCATTTATATACCTTTAATTGTTCTCATTGTCTTCTGGAATTTTAGGTGATCCTTAACTTCCCATATGCTGTCAGTAAAAGTTCTTAAAAGGTGTTGTAGAAATTGAAATTCCTAGTGAAAGTTATTTCCATATCCCCCTACCCATACCAATTCTCCTGCCTCAGCCTCCCGAGTAGCTGGGATTACAGGCACCTACCACCATGCCCAGCTAATAGTTTGTATTTTTAGTAGAGACAGGGTTTCAGTGTTGGCCAGGCTGGTCTCGAACTCCTGACCTCAGGTGATCCACCTGCCTCAGGCTCCCAAAGTGCTGGGATTACAGGCGTGAGCCACTGCACCTGGCCCCCCTCAAGTATCTTGAAATAGCTTCTGCATAACCCTACCCAGCAGGCATGGGCTATACCTCTAAGTGTGATCAGCTCAGATTCATGAGCCCAAGTCTCCTTGGATGGCTTTTTCTTTTTTTTTCTTTTGTGACAGGATCTGGCTCGGTCTCCCAGGCTGGAGTGCAGTGATATGATCTCAGCTCACTGTAGCCTCCTCCTCCCAGGCTCAAGCCATCTTCCTAACTCAGCCTTCCAAGTAGCTGGGGACTACAGGTGCAAGCCACCATGCCTGGCTAATTTGTATTTTTGGTAGAGATAGGGTCTTGCTGTGTTGCCCAGGCTGGTCTCGAACTTCTGGGCTCACGCACTCCTCCTGCCTGGGCCTCCCAAAGTGCTGGGATTACAGGTGTGAGCCACTGTACTTGGCGTCCTTTTTTGTTTTAAAAAGATAAATCCCAGCCTGGGTCCCCTGGGATTCCAGCAGAGGACTGGTCTTTATGTGGGAGGGTGCTGTATCTTTCAGCCCTGATGTTTGCTCTTAAGGGTCATTCACCTACTAGGATATGGTTACTGGTGATTTCTGCCCCCATCATGCTGTCCACAGGAGGTCTGCTATGCCGCACTCACCCCCCCGGGATTCATCTGTCCCTCTATACCTGTGCTCCATCTCTTGTTACTGTCTCCATGAATGGTTCTCTTACCTGCCCAGTTGCTCCAGTCAGAAACAAGGTGTCACCCTAACTTTCCTTTTCCTCCATCCCATCCTCTACCAGCGAAGCCATCACCAGGTTCTGGATGTCAGCAGTCTTCTTTGTTTTAAAAAAGTAGTTCTGTATTTCTGGGATAAGTGGAGAGGGGGAGAGGCTGGGCAGGTGGGCCAGGCTATAGAGTGCCTTGTTTCTTGCTGAGTTTTAGCAGTGTGCAGAGCTGCAGAAGGCCACCTGCAGTAGATAGTGCAGTACACAGCAGCGTGCAGCTTTGAGACACCAGAGGGGGTGCTGGGACAGTCTGGGCTGGAGGTGACAGAGCTCAGGAGGAGTGAAGGGATTCCAGAGGCATCAGCAGGGCTGAAGTACTGGGTGGCTGGATAGCGAGGAGGGCACCGAGAGAACACTAGGATGATAGGATGATGTGTGCGTGACTGGGTAGGGAGGGTGTAGCTACCAAGCAAGCCAGGTGACCCAGGGCTGTGTGTGCGCATGTGCGTGTGTGTGTGTGGTTGTGTGTGTGTGTATGTGTGTCTTTCATATTTGTTTGACTGCAGGCCACAAGAAGAAATAAATGTTACATCCTGAGCCAGGGCCCCCATCTCTATACCTGTGTCTGTAACAATAAAGGCACACACGTGTTGATTCAAATGCTAGAGACCTCATTTTAGGGTGCTGCTTTCCTTTGATCCCCGCCCTAGTTTCCTTCTTGCCCTGGCACCTTCTTTCCAGCACGTTGTGCAGTATTCAAAACGCAGTATACCTTCCCTTATTGTTACAGCTCACAAGCTCTTTGGATCCCCGTGTGATAATTTTACTAAGGTCAGGCCATTTCCTGTGAGCCCCACATGTATTGCCTCATTAATCTTCACAACCCCATAAAGTGTTAGCATTTTCTTCACTTTTCTCTTTTCTTTTTTTTTTTATTTTATCTTTGAGACGGAGTCTCGCTTTGTCGCCAGGCTGGAGTGCAGCAGCGCGATCTCAGCTCACTGCAACCTCCGTTTCCCGGGTTCAAGCAATTCTCCTGCCTCAGCCTCCTGAGTAGCTACTTTTTGTATTTTTTGTAGAGATGAGGTTTCATTCACCATGTTGGCCAGGATGGTCTCGGTCTCTTGACCTTGTGATCCGCCTGCCTCAGCCTCCCAAAGTGCTGGGATTACAGGCGTGAGCCACGGGTGCCCGGCTTCTTCACTTTTCAAACAAGTAAATCCTGGCCCAGTGAGTTTACTGACTTTCCCAAGACCTTACAGCATGTAAGTGGTGGAGCTGGGGTTTGAGCCACTCCAGCTCCAAGAGTGCCTGTTCTTTAATCTATCATACTTCACTATCACAGAGAAAAATGTATCAGAGGCTGGGCACCTGTAATCCTCGCTACTCTGGAGGCTGAGGCAGGAGAATCGCTTGAACCCGGGAGGCAGAGGTTGCAGTGAGCTGAGATCATGTCATTGCACTCCAGCCTGGGTGACAGAGTGAGACTCCGTCTCAAAAAAAGAAAAAAAAAATGAAAAATATATCAGAAAATAATACCCTTAATATATGTGATGCTTTTGATACTGGCTGTTTTAACCTATTTCACCCAAAAAATAATGCTCGTCAAAACCTACTACATTGATTTCCTGACCCTCCTAATGGAGCTCAAGCTGCCTTTTTTGTTGTTGTTAAATCGTTTAAACTTTTTAATTTTTTTGCATGGACAGGGTCTCGCTGTGTTGCCCAGGATGGCCTCAAACTCCTGGCCTCAAACGATCCTCCTGCCTCAGCCTTCTAAAGTGTTGAGATTACAGTCGTGAGCCACTGCACCTGGCCTCAAGCTGCCTTTTGAAAATACGGAGTATATTCTACTTCCAAAGCACCTCTCAGCTCCTCCCCATCATCCCAGCTGCCACCTGCTAGCTCAGGCTCCTTCCTGGACCTTACCTTCTTACCTGGCTGACTCCTCTGGCTTCCTGACTTTTTACCTTCATCTGTGCTTGCTTCCCTCAAATCTATTCTTGAGTAATTCGAAAAACACGTCTGCCCATATCAGTCCCCTGATTTAAAAATCCTTAAACACTATTGCTCTTAGGTGCCTAGTGCTTGATATGTGGAAGATGATCAGCACATGTAAGAGTAAAGAAATAAAAAGTATTGTGTGTTTTTCCCCAGGATGAAGATCTTCTCCCAAGTAAATATTTTGAGGTTGACTTTCCAATGATTGTCACGAGAAAGCTGCACAGTATCAAGTAAGTGTGGCATGGCCAGAAGAACAAAAGCCAGCGAGAATTCAGATCCAGCTCTCAAGAGATGGCAGATCTGAATGCCAGAGACTTCACTTTAGGGTGTTGCCTTCCGTTCACTGCCCCCCACCAACTTTTTTTTTGCCCTGGCACTCATTCCAGCATGTTCTACAGTCTGCAAAATGCAATATACATTTCCTTATTACAGATCACAGGCTCTATGGCTCCCCATGTAATTACAATTAACACGAGGCCAACCAAATCTCCCAGACAAGGTTTTTGTTTTTGGGGCTTGTACTCAAGTACTAGGGAGACAGCAGAGGCACAAGGACTGTCTTGTTGGCTCCCTGAAGAGGCTTGCAGAGATGTTTTTATTAGCGAAACTTGGGAATTGACATCATGAGTAAGGTATGCAGGCTGGGCTGGGCAAAGCACATGAGAGGTAGGAGATGCGGGTCAGCGTATCTGGTTGCGCTGGTTCTCTTGGTTAATGGGCCACTTGGTGGTCTGGCTGGCGGCAAGAAGACTGTCAATCAGTTGTTCAGTGTTCCTTCCTGAGGTGGGATACTCCATAACCTTGGTTTCATAGTTAGATTTCCTAAGGCCAGTTCCTAGAACTTTAAGTAGAAGGCATGGTTAAGTATTATGAAGAAGCAACCCCATTCCATTTCTGTTCTATCTCTATTTCCCCCTGAGAGATTTCACCCTCTATTCTTAAGGAGAAAGGGCTGAAGATCTCATCTTCTGAAGCGACTTCCTGCTGAACAGGGATGTCGTCCCTGCCTAACTTTAGGGGGTGGGGAAATCTCTCACTGGCTGTCCTAAAGACCTGTAGGGACTGGGGTGCTCCTGGGATGTTATGGGTTGGAATTCTTGGGCCATCATTAGCTTGACTTGGAGCTATTGAAACCTGAAAGACACAAACTTTACCAAAAGGTTAAAAACACAATACGCCAAAAGTAATAGCAATTAAATGACCACTTAGGGTCCGAAGAAAGGTAAAAACCATGTCATACTTTGTAGGTATCCACTGATGGAGCCCCAGATGGTTTGAGCAGTAGAGTCATTACGATTATGTAGCCAGGTAGCCTCTTGGTGAATCTTTACTTTTATTTTCTTTTGGAGACAGGGTCTCACTCTGTCATCCAGGTAGGAGTGCAGTGGTGCCATCATGGCTTACTGCAGCCTCAACCTTCTGGGCTCAGGCAATCCTCCCACCTCAGCCTCCTGAGTAGCTGGGAATAAAGGCACATGCCACCAAGGCCACCTAATTTTTTTTTCTTTTTTTGTAATTTTGTAGAGATGGGGTTTAGCCATGTTGCCCAGGCTGGTCTCAAACTCTTAGGCTCAAACGATCCACCCACCTTGGCCTCCCAAAGTGCTGGGATTACAGGCATGAACCATTGTGCCTGGTCTTGGTAAATCTTTTGAACTTGCAGTTTAGCCAATCCTGAACTGTTAATGTAAGAACAACAGATGTGGTTTATTACTGTGCATACCCGCCCTTGTTCAGCCAGAAGATATTCCAGGGCAAATCTGTTATCCAAGACAGCATTGGCTAGGGAGTGCAGGGAGGCTTGATGTCCTTTTATGGCTCTGCCTGTACTAGTTGCCAGTGTTTCAAGGGTTTGAAAGTTTCTCAAAGCTGTCTGACAGTATGCAAAGCCATCCCAAGGGGCTATTCCAACTCCTGCCAAAATTAGCCCTATTGCCTTTTTAGATTTCACCACATGTGTGATATTATGAACTGTTATTCTACTGGGACTTAAAGTACCTAACATGCATTCCTTATTGCGTTGTACATTATCCACACAAGGGCACGCTAGTGCAAGTAACAGAGAGGTGAAATTGGCTGAAGGGTAGCTGTTGATCAGATGGCAGTCTGGGTGTCCACAAAGGAACAGAATACCCCATGGGTGCACAAACTTACACAAGGCGAGAGGAGTTCAGGTGAGCAGCTAAGCTGTGGAGAGAGGTATGACTGTTTTGGCATGGGGGAAAAGATAGCCTTCCTGAGCCCAAGTTTGATTAGGGTTTTTCTTTACTGCTAAGAGAAAACCCGGTGGGATTTCAAAGTAGGCAGTCCAACTTCTCTTTTTTCCACCCTTTTTGGTGACCAAAGCATTTAGCAGCCCAATGAGGTTTATACATTCAAAGGAAAGGGAGACACTTAGGTCCACCATAAGAGGTGCAGAGGTTATTTTAGGTTTCCATACCTCTTTTGTGAAGTTGGTAGTTGAGCTTTTAGGGAGTGCAAGAGGCAGCCCCTCTGAGCCTGGGGATGATGGTAGCACACCCAGCAGTTGGACAAATTATTACCTGAAGCTATAATGCCGGAAAGGTTGTCAAGAGAGTTTGTTTCTCATTTTAGTAGGCCTAGCCTACCCTGTGCCCTGATGGGGAGGAGTAGGAACAAAGTAAAGAGTAGCATCTTTATACCCAGCAGGGACAAACGAAGTCTTTACCTGAGGGAGGAGGCTGAGCAAAGCAACAGAATAATAGTAAACCAATTAGTAATACAAGGAAAAGTATTGGACTCAAGATCTCTAACCACATTACTTCTCCGATGATGAATTGGCTCTCCTGAATTTGAGGTCTTCCACAGGTTTTCAGGAGTAAAATGGGCCATCTGGGCGAGTCTGGAAACATTTAGGAGAAAGCATTTCTGATCGGGAGAGGTGTACCCAGCTAGTGATTCCTTGTGAGTTGGCTGCAGTTGGAGTGGTCAGGATCACCCAGTAAGGGCCCTCCCATTTAAGCAAGGGGTGGTCCTCCGGGGAGCCTGCCCTTCAAGCCTTTAGGAGGACTTGGTCCCCTGGATTAACTTGTAAAGGGGTTTTCCCATCCTTAGTGGGGACTGGCAGGATTTTGTTTCCATATTCTGAAGTCACCTTTTGAATCTGTCCTAAATCGATACTGTAATTTTTTATGTAATTCTTCACCTAACAGGAGGTCAGTGGTGAGGAAAGGCCTCTGGTAGATCATCTGAGAAGAACTAAGTCTTAGGCTGCACGAAGGGGCCCTGCGGACCCTGAGAAGACTGGGAGCATCTTAACCCAGGACTCGTGCGTCTCCTGAAAGAGTTTGGCTAGAGTCGTCTCAAGTGTATGGTTCATCTTAACTTTCCCTGATGATTGGGGTGCCAGTTCATAATCTATTCCTAAGGTTGTGGAGAGGCTCTGAGTAATCTTACCCATGAAGGAGAGCCTGTTACCACTCTGAGGGGACTTGGGGAGTCCAAATTGAGAAATTACTTCCTTTAGTGAAGGTTTACAGACTTCTACTGCTTTTTCTGTACAGGTAGGGAAACCCTTGACCCGTCCAGTAAAAGTATCCACAAACACCAGGAGATATTTGTACCCTAGATTTGGAGTCATTTGGGTTAAAACAACCTGCCAGTCTTCTCCCAGATAAGTTCCCCTGTGTTGAACCAGTTTAAGTCAAGAAGGGGGAATTGGATGGGTGTGGGGATTATTTCGGGAACACAATTCACTGACAAAGGTTACTTGTTTTACACTTTTTCTTAGTTTCTTTCTGGTGAATATTTTATGGACAGAATTCCATAAAACATGTCTCCATTAATGAGTGGCATCATGGAGATGCTTAGTAACTTTCAACTGGTCAGTTCCTGGAATAAAACTTGTCACCATCTGTGAACCATCCAGCACTGTTTTCCTGGTACCCCTGCCCCTTAGCTTCCTCTTGCTCTTGTTGTGAGTATTGTAGGTGATTAGGAAGGTTGGTAGGGTCTGTCATTAAGGCCAACACATTGCTGGATTCCTATAACCAGGTTGCCTGTTTTGTGGCCCTATTTCCTTGGCTGATGAGGGACCAGTCCCTCTGGTGGCCTTTGCAGTGAATGACTGCCACCTGGCAGGGAAGTTGTGCCGCTTCCAGGAGAAGTTGGATTGGATCCTTACGTTTGCCTGGGGAATTTTTAACTGTTAACATTCCCTTTTCCTTCCATATGGCTGCATGGGCACACAGCAGGAGAAACCTATACTTTGAGTTGGTGTATAAATTTACTCCCTCCCTTTCTCCCAGTTGTGAGGCTCTGTTAAGGCCTCTAGTGCTGCTTTTTGTGCCATTTTGGGGAGGAAGGGCTTTAGTTTCTGTAGTCTCCTTCAGGCTTACTACTGCATGTCCTGCCTTTTGGGTCTCCCTCCACAAAGCTACTGCCATCAGGATATCATTCCGTCTTTGCATTCTCAAGAGGCTTATCTCACAAGCTAGGCCTGCTGGAGTCTGTTTTGTGGGCCCTGTGCATTGATGCTGTGAGTCCTCATCATCTGTGGTTGGGAGTGAGGTTGCTGTGTTCAAAGTCTGACATACCCTTAAAGTAATATCCAGGGTGTCTAATAAGAGAGCTTGGTAGTTGGTCAGCCTCCCTGCAGTGAGCCAATGGTGTCCCTTGACTTCTAACCCAGTCTGAACCTGGTGGGGAGTCATAGCTTCTGTATATTGTCCCTGTGTCAGCTTAGATGCTTCACTAAACAGCAGGGCAGTGGCTGCCACTGCCCTCCAGCAGCCAGGCCGCTTCTGTGCAACTGGATTTGTCTGTTTCGAAAAATGAGCCACTGGCTTCTGAACAGGTCCTAACCTTTGAGTTAAGACTCCCAAAGCTATTCCTAGTCTCTCACAAACATACAAGGTAAGTGGTTTTTCTCAGGGAGTCCAAGGACAAGGGCTTGACCCAGCTCAGTTTTTAGAGGTTCAAAAGATTGTTGACATTTCTTCTCCCAGTACAAGGGCTCTCTTTCTTCCCCCTTTTGGGTCTCACATAGGGGTTTAGCCGTCAGGCCATAATTTGGAATCCAAATACTACAGAAGCCCACCATTCCCAAGAAACCCTGGGGCTGCCTTTTTGTTTGTGGGACCAGCAATGAAGTGATTGCTTTTTCCAGTCCACAACTAGTGTTCGGGCTCCTGGGGTCAGAATGAACCCCAGATATCGGAACTTCTGTAAAGAAATCTGGGCCTTGGATGGGGCTGACCTTGTATCACCGCTCAGCCAGGAAATTCAAGGTTTTAATGATATTAAAATCTGAATCCTGCCATGTTTGGCTGACAATGAACAAGTCATCCACATATTGTAATAAAAGTCCCATTCTGTAGGCTTAGCTCCCTGCATTCCCAAAAAGGTGGGGGCCTTCCCAGAAGCCCTGGGGAAGCACAGTCCATGTGTACTATGTGGCTTTCTGGGTATCAGAGATTTCTCCATTCAAAGCAAAAAGATACAGGGATTCTGGGTGGAGAGGGCTACACAAAAGAAAGCATCCTTGAAGTGTAGTAGAGTGAAAAACTGAGCATCTCCAGGTATCTGAGCACAGACAAGCTTGGGACCAGTGTTGGGTGGATGGGAATGACTGCCTCATTAACCCCCTTCAAGTCCTACACAAACTGATATTCTCCATTAGGCTTTTTAACAGGGAGGACCGAGGTGTTGCCTGGGGACTGGCAGGGTTTAGCCCTTGCTATAGGAATTTGTGGAGTAATGGCTGAACCCCATTCAGTGCCACAGGTTTTAGGAGGTATGATTTCCTCCATGGATAGCCCATCCCAGGCTTCAGGTCTGTCTTTACTGGCGGAACTTTATTAGCCTGTCCTAGGACTGAAGTGTCCGATAGGGAAGGGGTGATGTGATCCTTGCTTTCTTTGGGTATGTTTTGGGTCTCAAGTTCCTGTCCATTTAAGAGTGCTAGCAGGTGGATTCCCTGTTCTGGCTCTGCCTCTACCTGCAGTCTGTCCTCTTCCAGGGAGATGGTGGCTCCCATTTTGCTTAATAAGTCTCTACCCAGCAATGGAGTAGGACATTCCGGGGGGCATACAGAAATGAGGAGAAAAAAGCCTAGACATGGCCTCACAAGCAAGAGGGAAAGTAAATTTTCTTACCTTAGGACACCTGTCTATTCCCATTACCCTGCAATTGCAATTGGAGAGGAGGCAAATAGGCTGGGTCAGGACCGAGCAGGCAGCTCTGCTGTCCACGAGGAACTGTTTTCCTACCTGCCACATCAAGGGTGACCTGAGGCTCCGTGGTGTGATGACGATGGAGTGTGCTGCAGTCAGAGCCAGGGTGCTGTCAGGCGGTGTGTATCAATCTCATCTGAAAGCTTGGTGAGGAGTGGCGGCTGGCCAGGGTTGCCTGCCGGCTGTCCTGTTTTAAGGAGGTCAGGGCAGCCTCTCTTCCAGTGACCCCCTCCATCCTGCAGTAGGCACATTGGCTCCATCCAAGGTTGGCTGTCTTCGATTAGTTGGTCTCCTGAGAATCCTAGGGTCACCCTGAGATGGTGGATGAATTAGGGCAGCCAGAAGCTGTGCTGTCTTGGTCAGTCTCCTCTTCTTACCTGCCATCTGTGTCCTGTCCGTTATTGAAAACCTTAAAAGCCGCCTCTGCCAAAGTCAACAGCAGGGTCTGGGGTCTGGCCTCCAAATTTTCTGTAATTTCCTTCTAATGTCCGGAGCTGACTGAAGGATAAAATGCATGGCACGCGATGCTTCCCCTCTGCTGCCTCTGGGTCTGCATGGGTGCATTTCCCAAGGGCCTCAGGGACTCGATTGAGGAAGACTACTGGGATCTCCTTCTTTCTCTGGGTAATTTTCTTGACCCTGTCATAGTGTACAGGTTTTACTATACATTTCCTTCTTCCTTCAGTCAGGCAGGTGACAAAGTGGCTCATTCTAGCTTTTTCTAGGTTTTCTCCATAGTCTCACTCACGTGGAGACTATGCCTGGGACCGCATCTCCCCCTAAACAGATGACTGCATATTGGTCTTTAGTGACCACCTGGCTATTGGCATATTCCTTAGCCTTTCCAAATATGTGTTGCTTTTCATCAGTACTGCAAAGTGACCATAACATCCTGCCACGTCAATGAAAAGGCAAGATTTAGTTTAACAAATTCATCTCTAAACTTACCAGGATCCTCTGAAAATCTACCAAAGTGTTTTTTACATAGTCCTAGATCCACCACCAAAAAAAGGAACTTGGATCCTTGTCACTCCCCCGTTTCCATCCATTTCTCTGAGGGGAAAACAGCCCTGGGCCAGTGGGGAAGCAAAAGAGGGTGCCTGTTTGGAGTCCGATTGGAGCGCTGTTGGGGACAGCACAGGGGCTCCCCTCCCCAGGAGGCCTGCTTAGGGTAGGGAGGGAGTGCTCGGGGCCTGAGGCTGTGGAGGTCCGCTTCTTCAGGTTCCTTCAGGAGGAACCTGGAAATAGGGGCCACACACACCTGACAAGAATCCAGTAGCTCTGGGTCCTAGCATAACTTCATAAAAGCTTGTAGCTAGGTATCTCTCCCCATTTCTCTGTCCATTCACAGAATAGGTCGGGCGGTAAGATAGTGTTAAAACTAGGAGATCCACTTCTGCCCATGGCCATTTTTCTTGATCTAATGTGTACTAGGGCAGGTTGTATTACAGAGGAAAATCAGTTTCTTTTTTTTTAATTAAAAAAAAAATTTGATTTTGAGGCAGGGTCTCACTCCATTGCCCAGGTTGGAGTGCTATGGTATTACCACAACTCACTGCAGCCTCAACCTCCTGGACTTAAGCGATCCTCACTTTAGCCTTCTGAGTAGCTGAGACCCCAGGAAGGCACCCCCACACCCGGCTCATTTTTCCTGTTTTTTGTAGAGGTGGAGTCTTCCTATGTTTCCCAGGCTGGAGTTTCTTTTTCTTTAAACCATCTGATTTGGATTCCTTCCATTTAGAAATGATACATCCCAGGTGTGAGTCTTGGAAGATGCCTGGGGCATTGCCCATGACTGTAGCCCCTGTGTCTGCTTGTCTTATTAAAGGACCAGGGGCAGGGTGCAAGCACAGGTGTCAGGCGACGAAAAGAGAGTTGGCTCCCAGCCCCACACAGCACAACAGTACAGGTCACACAAGAGGGCCGGCGTGAGCAGTGAAGAGAACTCCCCAAAACCGAGTGCCAGCTTGGATGGTTTCTTTTTCTTCTTCAGCCTTACAGCAGGTCCAGGTTCTACTGACCAGTGTCCTGCATTTGGTAGTAACCGAATGACAGTCAATAAGATGTTGAATTAAACATACAAAAAGGAAAAACAGATCAGGGCATGAGCTAGGCAAACTCCAGCCCCATGTGCCGTCAATTCTCCCCGCATAAAGGCAGCACCCAGAGTCCGTAGGCTCAAACACTGAACAGACAGAGAAAAGCTCACAGGCTTCCCTTCCCAACAGGTGTGGCAAAGGGAGGGAAAGCACTGAAAGACTTGAAGATTGTCAACTATTGGGTCTGAAGCCAGGGCACCCAGTAGTTCCTTCCAGCCGTGTCAGTCCGTCCTGCACGGGTGTCTGTTCAGTTCGAGCCAATGAAGTTAAAAGTGAAGGAAGGAAAGCAGAAAGGAAGAAGGAAAAAGACAACAAATAGGGGACGCGAGGGAAGGGAAAACATTGTCTGGGGCAGGAGTGGTGAGGAGTCTTGCAGAGACCAGAGGAAAACTTACCAGTCGCGAGACTAGAGGAAAACTCGCCAGTCGCGGTGGCAGCGCTGAATCAGTGGGGCCTCCCTCCGGCTCGCAGGCTCACAAGCCTCCCCTGCAGGGAGGGAAATTACTCCTTGTGCTCCTACCTGGCTCACCAGATAATCTGTTATGGCACCAAGCAGATTTTCCAGACAAGGCTTTTAGTTGGGGGCTTGTGCTTGAGCGCACGGGGAGACGGCAGAGACTCTGCGGCTGGCTCTCTGGAAGAGCCGGGAGAGACGTTTTATTAGCAAAGCCTGGTAACTGACATCGGGAGAGGGCATGTAGGCTGAGCTGGGCAAAGCATGTGAGGGGTAGGGAATGCGGGTCAGCATATCTAGTGGCTGATGGTTATCTTGGTTAATGGACCACCTGGTGGGCTGGCCAGAGGCAACAAGGCTGTAATCAAGCTTGTTCAACCCCAGGCCTGCGGGCGGGGCGACATGCAGCCCAGGACTGCTTTGAATGTGGCCCAACACAAATTCGTAACATTTCTTAAAACATGAGATTCTTTTGTGACTTATTTTTTTTAAAGCTCATCAGCTATTGTTAGTGTATTTTGTGTGGCCCAAGACAGTTCTTCAGTGTGGTCCAGGGAAGCCAAAAGATTGGACACCCCTGCTGTAAATCAGTTGTTCAGTGTTCCTTCCTGGGATGAGACACTCCACCACCTTGGTTTGATATTTAGATTTCCTAAGGCTAGTTCCTGGGATTCTTTAAGTAGAAGGTCTGGTTAAACATGAAGAAGGAGCCGTATCCCATTCCTGTTCTTTTTCATTATGACTCTCCATCCATTAATGTAGTTGCCTGGAACATTTAAAAAGTGACCCCATATTTTCATAATCTGAATTTTTATGTCTTTTGTTTACTACTTTATTCCGAGGGCATGTAGAAAGTTACCTGGCCTTGCCCAGGCACAGTGGCTTATGCCTGTAATCCCAGCACTTTGGAAGGCCAAGGCTGGTGGATTGCTTGAGCCCAGGAGTTCGAGACCAGCCCAGGCAACATGGTGAAACCTCGTCTCTACTAAAAATACAAAAATTAGCTAGGCATGTTGGGTGCATCTATAGTCTCAGCTACTTGGGAGGCTGAGATAGAAGGATCACTTGAGCCCAGGAGGTCGAGGCTGCAGTGAGCTATGATCACACCACTGCAGTCCAGCCTGGGTGACAGAGCAAGACTGTCTCAAAAAAAAAAAAAAAAAAAAAAAGTAGGTTACCTGGTCCAGAATAGATGTGCAGTAAGTGGGTTTTTGTGTATATGAATGAATGAATGGAAGACTGAAGTTAGTTATTATAGATGACATATTATGGGGGCCATTCCGAGTCTAGTATCAAGGAGTTTACAGAGTTGCAGATGACAGGTTTGCTAATGTGTGCTGAGAGCTTTCATAGCCTAGTACCATGTTAAGTGCTTCACTTGGATTGTTTTCATTCAGTCCTTACAGCACACTCATGAATTAAGTGCTGCTGTTATCCCCTTTTTGCAGATAAGGAAACTGAGGCTTAAAGAAGTTAATTTGCCCAAAGTCTTTTATCTAGGAAAGGGTGGAGCTGAGATTCAAACTGTGACTTCAAGCTCAAGATCAAGGCATCTTCATAGTTTTCTGGTTTTTTTTTTTTTTTTTTTTTTTTTTTTGAGACGGAGTTTTGCTCTTGTTGCCCAGGCTGGAGTGCAATGGCACGATCTCAGCTCACCGCAACCTCCGCCTCCTAGGTGCAAGCGATTCTCCTGCCTCAGCCTCCCAAGTAGCTGGGATTCCAGACATGTGCCACCATGCCTGGCTAATTTTGTATTTTTAGTAGAGACGGGTTTTCTCCATTTTGGTCGGGCTGGTCTTGAACTCCCGACCTCAGGTGATCTGCCTGCCTTGGCCTCTCAAAGTGCTGGGATTACAGGCGTGAGCCACTGTGCCTGGCCCGCATCTTAATAGTTTTAACTACAGTCCCTCCCCATCCCCCCTTTTAAATTAGTCATTTAAATAAAACCCTAATTCTTATATTGAAAAAAATGTGAGTAAACATTAAGTGTTTCAGCTGTCCTTTAGAAAAGTCTGATCCTTATAAAGTGGAAATAATTTTCAAGCTTTATTTTTTCTAGATCCATGAAAATAATGGATCACCCTTTCCTGATATATTTAATTTTATATTAAATATGCTTTTTAAGTGATAAATGGCAATTCTGATGCTCTGGGAACTGCAAAGTACTGGCTGGTTAGAACTCTGAGTGGAATAAGAGTAACTGGCTCTAGGTTAAGTCCAGAGATGGTTTCCGGGGACAGAAAGTGTGTTGGTGTTTGATTATGGTTGTTGGGATATTGACGCGTGTCTGATTTCTGATTTTTTGCCTATTCTGGATTGGGGTAGTTCCCACATAAATGTTACTGAACTTCAAGTTTGTGTAAGAGTCAATTCTTCTGGCTACCTGTTACAAATAACAAGTATCTTTAAAAGTTTGATTGAGAATAGGCAGCAAACTAGAGATGGCCCAAAAAAACATTGGAACATTTGAAAAATTCTTGTTAGGTTATCTTTAGCTATTTCTAAGTCTAAATACTTCATGATCAGTTTGTGATTTGGACATCAAATGCTGAGTGTAATGCTTAGCCAATGTCACCTGAGACCTGTGTCCACTGAAGTTTTACCGTATGTGCTTAGGGTCAAAAGTAATTAAACTGAAGCCCTTTTTAGAGGGGCCCCTGCTTTGAACAATAGCAAATATATATTTGCCATTTTGGTAGTGAGTGTCTGCATTTGTGCAGTAAATGAGCTCATGAGTAAATTGAGGAGCAAATAGACTCATTTTTCTCCTCTTTCCCATCTTCCCATAGATGCAAGCCTCCCCTATCCAGCCCCATTCTAGAACTGCATTCAGAGGACACACTTCAGATGGGCAAGTATCAAGCTAATGCAAAATGGACTGTATCAGTATTTTTGCTTCCCACCCCCTTTTTGAAGATGGGGTTTGTGTTGGGTGTGTGTGTGTGTGTGTGTGTGTGTGGTGTTATACAATGTATTGTCAACTGAAGAATGACGAGGTTCATAAATTAGGAAAGGAGAGCTTGCTTTCTCAGACAGGGTTGAGCCTGCAGGGTGGCCATTCTAACAGGCTGGGAAGCACAGCCTCCTGCTAGAAGTCAACAACAGACACTTTGAAGGAGGGGCAAAAGGAGGAGGAATTTATGCTCAGCCAGGTGGGTGAACATACATATTTAATAAGCTATAGGAGTCATCATGAATATTTATGAAGGGCGAACTGTGTATGTGTGCAGTTGAGCTTCACATCCCATCATAGGTCCCATGTATAAAAAAATGGCAGTGTTAGCATGATCCAAGGGTGGAGGTTTTGGCCCTCTGACATCAAAAGGTGAAGCAGAGGACACAAAAACCCACATCTTTCGGAGACTGGCCAGAACCACTCCCTGTTCTGTGGTCTCATCAGGAAGGAATGCTGGTTGACCATTTCAAAGTGGCCAAAGAGAGGGGCAGCAGTCAGGCAGTTGGGTTGGATGACAGCAGCAGTAGTCTTTTGAAAGGGCTGGTTGCTGTTTAGCCCTTAGGGAAGAACGCCTACAGGCAGTTAGTGAGCAAGGGTTTTGAGAAGGCATCTGACCTCCCATCCTGACGTGGCCAAGAACTCAGTTTTCAAGGTCACTCTGGGGTCCCCTTGGTTCAGGTGGCTGGGGAGCTTAGAATTTTATTTTTAGTCTATAGTAGACTTTTGCCGATACATTTAAACTTGGGGTTACCATGAAGGAATTTTCAACGACTTTCTAAATGAGTCTTTTTAGATGTCCTTAGGTCTCTAATCTTCAGTCATTCTGTAAAGACCTTGAGTTAGTTGCCAACATTTCAAAAATAGACTTCTCATGAAAAATCTCGATTTCTAGCTTTTCTTGGAAAAAACTAGAAGACGTGGTAACATTAGGCCATGTAATATTACCACGATTTCTACATGGGAACAATTAAATAGTGGCTGCCTCAGTTAGAGGAGTTGCCCATCCTCCAGTTCTGTCCCCACGACTCTCTGGTATCTTACACTTGATCTGCTTCACTCAATTCTGCTACCTGTTTGGCCCTGGCAGTCAATTTTCTCCGTTTTTTCCCTCAACTTTTAATTATGACTGTGTCTTAACAATGCTTTTCTCATTTCTGAGCCTTTCAAATTATGGGTCAGTCTCTACCACAGTCTTCCTTTGTTTTCAGTTTTTGTCTGAGAGAAGTTAAAGGGGTTTATTAGTAATTCAGGTCAGAGATCGTGCAGAGAGGACAGCCTTCACCAGTAGTCAGCACAGGTAACACCGTGGGCATCAGGTGACTAGATGAGCCAGGTTTATTACAACAAGCAGGGACATGAGAGGAGGGAAAGTGTTCTCTGAGGCGGGGGTGGCAAGGAGTCTAGGCTTTTTCTAGCCCACTCCTCCAGATTC